>NC_000023.11:56027131-56343187 GCF_000001405.40 Homo sapiens | reverse complement strand
GCTGACTCTGGAGTGTCAGGGTGGTCAGCGTAGCACACCTGCTCTGCCAACCGGCAGCCAGACTGCTTCTTTAAGCGGGTCCCTAAACCTGTTCCTTCTGAATGGGTGAGTCCTCCCAACAGGGGTCTCCAGAAACCTCCTATGGGAGAATTCTGGCTGGTGTCAGGCTGGTGCCTCCTGGGATGGAGCTCCCAGAGGAAGGAGCTGGCTGCTATCTTTCCTATTTCACAGCATTCACTAGTGATACCTCCAGGTGCAGGAGGGACTGAGGTGACTAGGGTCTGGAGTGGACCCCCAGCAAACCCCAGCAGTTCTACAAAACGGTGGCCTGTTAAAGGAAAAACAAAGAGAAAGCAACAATATCAACAAAAAGACCCCACAAAACCTTATTCAAATGTCAGCAAACTAAAAGATCAAAGGTAGATAAGCCCAGAAAGATAAGAATCAACACAAAAACACTGAAAACTCAAAAGCCAGAGTACCTCTTCTCCTCCAAATGACTGCAACGTCTTTCCAGCAGGGACAGAGGACTGGGCTGAGGCTGGCATGGCTGAATTGACAGAAGTAGGCTTCAAAAGGTGGGTAATAAAGAACTTTGCTGAGTTAAAGGAGCATGTTGTAAACCAATGCAAATAAGCTAAGAATCATGATAAAACAATACAGGGGCTCATAACCAGAATAGCCAGTTTAGAGAGGAACATAACTTACCTGATGGAGCTGAAAAACACAACACAAGAACTTCACCATGTAATCACAAGTATCAATAGCAGAATAGAGCAAGCAGAAGAAAGAATCTCAGAACTTGAAGACTATCTTTCTGAAATAAGAGAAGCAGACAAAAAGTGAGAAAAAATAATGAAAAGGAATAAACGAAACCTCCAAGAAATATGGAATTATGTGAAAAGACTGAAGCTACAACTGGTTGGGGTACCTGAAAGAAATGGGGAGATCAGAACCAAGTTGGAAAACATACATCACAATATCATCCAGGAGAACTTCCCCCAACTAACAAGACAGACCAACCTTTAAATTCAGGAAACCAAGAGAAACCCAGTAAGATACTCCATGAGAAGGTTAACCCCAAGAAAAATAATCTTCAGATTCTCCAAGGTTAAAATGAGAGAAAATATGTTAAGGGCAGCCAGAGAGAAAGGCCAGGTCACCTAAAAAGAGAAACCCATCAGACTAATAGTGGACCTCTCAACAGAAACGCCACAAGCCAGAAGAGACTGGGGGCCAATATTCAACATTTAAAAAAATAATTTACATTCCAGGAATGTATATATTGCCAAACTAAGCTTCATAAGTCAAACAAGCAAATGCTGAGGGAATTTGTCATGACAAGGACTGCCTTGCAAGAGCTCTTGAAGGAAACAAGAAATATGAAAAGGAGAAACCGGGGTTGGAGCCAAGATGGCCGAATAGGAAGAGCTCCAGTCTGCAGCTCCCAGCATGAGGAACGCAGAAGACAGGTGATTTCTGCATTTCCAACTGAGGTACTGGGTTCATCTCACTGGGAAGTGCCAGACAGTGGGTGCAGGACAGTGGGTGCAGTGCACCGTGCATGAGCCAAAGCAGGGCGAGGCATCACCTCACCTGGAAAGTACAAGGGGTCAGGGAATTCCCTTTCCTAGTCAAAGAAAGGGGTGACAGATGGCACCTGGAAAATAGGGTCACTCCCACCCTAATACTGCACTTTTCCCACGGGCTTAACAAACGGCACACCAGGAGATAACATCCCGCACCTGGCTTATAGGGTCCTACGTCCATGGAGCCTCGCTCTTTGCTAGCACAGCAGTCTGAGAACAAACTGCAAGGCAGCAGTGAGGCTGGGGTAGGGGCGCCCACAATTGCTGAGACTTGAGTAGCTAAACAAAGTGCCAGGAAGCTCGAACTGGGTGAAGCCCACCACAGCTCAAGGATGCCAGCCTGCCTTTGTAGGCTCCACCTCTGGGGGCAGGACACAGACAAACAAAATGAAGCAGTAACCTCTGCAGACTTAAATGTCCCTGTCTGACAGCTTTGAAGAGAGTAGTGGTTCCCCCAGCATGCAGATTTAGATCTGAGAACCGGCAGACTGCCTCCTCAAGTTGGGCCCTGACTCCCGAGTAGCCTAACTGGGAGGCACCTCCAGTAGGGGCAGGCTGACACGTCACACGGCCCGGTACTTCTCTGAGACAAAACTTCCAGAGGAACGATCAGGCAGCAGCATTTGCGGTTCACCAGTATCCACTGTTCTGCAGCCACTGCTGCTGACACCCAGGCAAACAGGGTCTAGAGTGGACCTCCAGCAAACTCCAACCCACCTGCAGCTGAGGGTCCTGACTGTTAGAAGGAAAACTAACAAACACAAAGGATGTCCACACCAAAAACCTATCTGTACATCACCATCATCAAAGACCAAAGGTAGATAAAACCACAAAGATAGGGAAAAAACAGAGCAGAAAAACCGGAAACTCTAAAAATCAGAGCACTTCTCCTCCTCCAAAGGAACGCAGTTACTCACCAGCAATGGAACAAAGCTGAACGGAGAATGACTCTGACGAGTTGAGAGAAGAAGCTTTCAGAAGATCAACTACTCCGAGCTAAAGGAGGAAGTTTGAACCAATGGAAAAAAGTTAAAAACTATGAAAAAAAATTAGATGAATGGCTAATTAGAATAACCAATTCAGAGAAGTCCTTAAAGGACCTGATGGAGCTGAAAACCATGGCACCAGAAATACGTGATAAATTCACAAGCCTCAGTAGCCAATGCGATCAACAGGAAGAAAGGGTACCAGTGATGGAAGATGAAATGAATGAAATGAAGCAAGAAGAGAAGTTTAGAGAAAAAAGAATAAAAAGAAAAGAACAAAACCTCCAAGAAATATGGGACTATGTGAAAAGACCAAATCTACATCTGATTGGTGTAGCTGAAAGTGACGGGGAGAATGGAACAAAGTTGGAAAACACTCTGCAGGATATTATACAGGAGAACTTCCCCAATCTAGCAAGACAGGCCAACATTCAAATTCAGGAAATACATAGAATGCAACAAAGATACTCCTTGAGAAGAGCAACTGCAAGACACAAAATTGTCAGATTCACCAAAGCTGAAATGAAGGAAAAAATGTTAAGGGCAGCAAGAGAGAAAGGTCGGTTTACCCACAAAGGGAAGCCCAGCAAACTAACAGCTGATCTCTCGGCAGAAACTCTACAAGCCAGAAGAGACTGAGGGCCAATATTCAACATTCTTAAAGAAAAGAATTTTCAAACCAGAATTTCATATCCAGCCAAACTAAGCTTCAGAAGTGAAGGAGAAATAAAATCCTTTATAGACAAGCAAATGCTGAGAGATTTTGTCACCACCAGGCATGCCCTAAAAGAGCTCCTGAAGGAAGCACTAAACATGGAAAGGAACAACCGGTACCACCCACTGGAAAAACATACCAAATTGTAAAGACCATTGAGGCTAGGAAGAAACTGCATCAACTAACGAGCAAAATAGCCAGCTAACATCATAATGACAGGATCAAGTTCACACAAAACAGTATTAACCTTAAATGTAAATGGGGTAAATGCTCCAATTAAAAGACAAAGACTGGCAAATTGGATAAAGAGTCAAGACCCATCAGTGTGCTGTATTCAGGAAACCCATCTCATGTGCAGAGACACACATAAACTCAAAATAAAGGGATGGAGGAAGATCTACAAAGCAAATGGAAAACAAAAAGGCAGGGGTTGCAATCCTAGTCACTGATAAAACAGACTTTAAACCAACAAAGATCAAAAGAGACAAAGAAGGCCATTACATAATGGAAAAGGGATCAATTCAACAAGAAGATCTAACTATCCTAAATATATATGCACCCAATACAGGAGCACCCAGATTCCTAAAGCAAGTCTTTAGTGACCTACAAAGAGACTTAGACTCCCACACAATAATAATGGGAGACTTTAACACTCCACTGTCAACATTAGACACATCAACGAGACAGAAAGTTAACAAGGATATCCAGGAAGTGAACTCAGCTCTGCATCAAGCAGACCTAATAGACATCTACAGAACTCTACACCCCAAATCAACAGAATGTACATTCTTTTCAGCACCACACCACACCTATTACAAAATTGACCACATAGCTGGAAGTAAAGTATGCCTCAGCAAATGTAAAAGAACAGAAATTATAACAAACTGTCTCTCAGACCACGGTGCAATCAAATTAGAACTCAGGATTAAGAAATTCACTCAAAACTGCTCAACTACAAGGAAATTGAACAACCTGCCCCTGAATGACTACTGGGTACATAACGAAATGAAGGCAGAAATAAAGATGTTCTTTGAAACCAATGAGAACAAAGACACAACATACCACAATCTCTGGGACACATTCAAAGCAGTGTGTAGAGGGAAATTTATAGCACTAAATGCCCACAAGAGAAAGCAGGAAAGATCTAAAATTGACACCCTCACATCACAATTAAAAGAAATAGAGAAGCAAGAGCAAACACATTCAAAAGCTAACAGAAGGCAAGAAATAACTAAGATCAGAGCAGAACTAAGGGAACTAGAGACACAAAAAACCCTTCAAAAATCAATGAATCCAGGAGCTGGTTTTTTGAAAAGATCAACAAGTTTGATAGACCACTAGCAAGACTAATAAAGAAGAAAAGAGAGAAGAATCAAATAGATGTAATAAAAAATGACAAAGGGGATATCACCACCGATCTCACAGAAATACAAACTACCATCAGAGAATACTATAAACACCTCTATGCAAATAAACTAGAAAATCTAGAAGAAATGGGTAAATTCTTTGACACATACACCCTCCCAAGACTAAACCAGGAAGAAGTTGAATCTCTGAATAGACCAATAACAGGCTCTGAAACTGAGGCAATGATCAATAGCTTACCAACAAAAAAGAGTCCAGGACCAGATGGATTCACAGCCGAATTCTACCAGAGGTACAAGGAGGAGCTGGTACCATTCCTTCTGAAACTATTCCAATCAATAGAAAAAGAGGGAATCCTCCCTAACTCATTTTATGAGGCCAGCATCATCCTGATACCAAAGCCTGACAGAGACACAACAAAAAAAGAGAATTTTAGGCCAATACCCTTGGTGAACATTGATGCAAAAATCCTCAATAAAATACTGGCAACCAAATCCAGCAGCACATCAAAAAGCTTATCCACCATGATCAAGTGGGTTTCATCTCTGGGATGGAAGACTGGTTCAACGTGCGCAAATCAATAAACATAATCCAGAATATAAACAGAACCAGAGACAAAAACCACATGATTATCTCAATAGATGCAGAAAAGGCCTTTAACAAAATTCAACAACGCTTCATGCTGAAAACTCTCAATAAATTAGGTATTGATGGGACGTATCTCAAAATAATAAGAGCTATCTATGACAAACCCACAGCTAATATCATACCGAATGGGCAAAAACTGGAAGCATTCCCTTTGAAAACTGGCACAAGACAGGGATGCCCTCTCTCACTACTCCTATTCAACGTAGTGTTGGAAGTTCTGGCCAGGCAAATCAGGAAGGAGAAGGAAATAAAGGGCATCCACTTAGGGAAAGAGGAAGTCAAATTGTCCCTGTTTGCAGATGACATGGTTCTATACCTAGAAAACCGCATCGTCTCAGACCAAAATCTCCTTAAGCTGATAAGCAACTTCAGCAAAGTCTCAGGATACAAAATCAATGTGCAAAAGTCACAAGCATTCTTATACACCACTAACAGACAAACACAGAGCCAAATCATGAGTGAACTCCCATTCAAAGTTGCTTCAAAGAGAATAAAATACCTAGGAATCCAACTTACAAGGGATGTGAAGGACCTCTTCAAGGAGAACTACAAACCACTGCTCAAGGAAATAAAAGAGGATACAAACAAATGGAAGAACATTCTATGCTTGTGCGTAGGAAGAATCAGTATCAGGAAAATGGCCATACTGCCAAAGGGAATTTATAGATTCAATGCCATCCCCATCAAGCTACCAATGATTTTCTTCACAGAATTGGAAAAAACAACTTTAAAGTTCATATGGAACCAAAAAAGAGCCCGCATTGCCAAGTCAATCCTCAGCCAAAAGAACAAACCTGGAGGCATCACACTACCCGACTTCAAACTATACTACAAGTCTACAGTAACCAAAACAGCATGGTACTGGTACCAAAACAGAGATACAGACCAATGGAACAGAACAGAGCCCTCAGAAATAAGGCTGCATATCTACAACTATCTGATCTTTGACAAACCTGAGAAAAACAAGCAATGGGGAAAGGATTATCTATTTAATAAATGGTGCTGGGAAAACTGGCTAGCCACATGTAGAAAGCTGAAACTGGATCCCTTCCTTATACCTTATACAAAAATTAATTCAAGATGGATTAAAGACTTACATGTTAGATCTAAAACCATAAAAACCCTAGAAGAAAACCTAGGCAATACCATTCAGGACATAGGCATGCGCAAGGACTTCATGTCTAAAACACCAAAAGCAATGGCAACAAAAGCCAAAATTGACAAATGGGATCTAGTTAAACTAAACAGCTTCTGCACAGCAAAAGAAACTACCATCAGAGTGAACAGGCAACCTACAGAATGGGAGAAAATTTTTGCTACCTACTCATCTGACAAAGGGCTAATATCCAGAATCTACAATGAACTCAAACAAATTTACAAGAAAAAAAAAAAAAAACCATCAAAAAATGGGCAAAGGATATGAACAGACACTTCTCAAAAGAAGACATTTATGCAGCCAAAAGACACATGAAAAAATGCTCATCATCACTGGCCATCAGAGAAATGCAAATCAATACCACAATGAGACACCATCTCACACCTGTTAGAATGGCGATCATTAAAAAGTCAGGAATCAACAGGTGCTGGAGAGGATGTGGAGAAATAGGAACACTTTTCCACTGTTGGTGGGACCGTAAACTAGTTGAACCATTGTGGAAGTCAGTGTGGTGATTCCTCAGGGATCTAGAACTAGAAATACCATTTGACCCAGCCATCCCATTACTGGATATATACCCAAAGGATTATAAATCATGCTGCTATAAGGACACATGCACATGTATGTTTATTGTGGCACTATTAACAATAGCAAAGACCTGGAACCAACCCAAATGTCCAACAGTGATAGACTGGATTAAGAAAATGTGGCACATATACACCATGAAATACTATGCAGCCATAAAAAACGATGAATTCATGTCCTTTGTAGGGACATGGATGAAGCTGCAAACCATCATTCTCAGCAAACTATCGCAAGGACAAAAAACCAAATACTGCAAGTTCTCACTCATAAGTGGGAATTGAACAATAAGAACACATGGACACAGGAAGGGGAACATCACACACCGGGGACTGTTGTGGGGTGGGGGGAGGGGGAAGGGATAGCATTAGGAGATATACCTAATGCTAAATGACCTGTTAATGGGTGCAGTACACTACGGTGGCACATGTATACATATGTAACAAACCTGCACCTTGTGCACATATACCCTAAAACTTAAATTATAATAATAATAAAATAAAAAAATAAAAGGAGAAACCATTATCAGCCACTACAAAAGCACACTGAAGTACACAGACCAGTGACACCGTGAAGCAACTGAATAAACAAGTCCACAAAACAACCAGCTACCGTCATGACCACAGGCTCAAATTCACACATAAAAATATTGAATACTAACCGAAAATGTAGATGGGCTAAATGCCCCAATTACAAGACATAGAATGGTAAGCTAGATGAAGAGTCAAACCCCATCAATCTGCTGTATTCAAGAGATCCGTCTCACTTGCAAAGACACACATAGGCTCAAAATAAAGGGATGGAGGAGAATTTACCAAGCAAATGTAAAACAGAAAAAGAACAGGGGTTGCAGTTCTAGTTTCCATCAAAACAGACTTTAAACCAACAAAGATCATAAAAGAGAAAGAACGGCATTACATAATGGTAAAGGGTTCAATTCAACAAGAAGAGATAACTATCCTAAGTACATATGCACCCAATACAGGAGCACCCAAATTCATAAAGCAAGTTCTCAGAGACCTTCAAAGAGACTCAGACTCCCATCCAATAATGTTGGTAGACTTTATCACCCCACTAACAGTATTATACAGATCAGCAAGACAGAAAATTAACAAAGATATTCAGGTCCCGAACTCAGCTCTGGATCAAGGAGACCTGATAAATATCTACAGAACTGTCCACAACAAAACGACAGAATATACATTCTTCTCATTGCCACATGGCAACTACTTTAAAATTGATCATATATTTGGAAGGAAACCACTTCTCAACAAATGTAAAAAAAAAAAAAATTGAAATCCTAACAAAAAGTCTCTTATACCACAGCACAATCAAATTAAAACTCAAGATTAATAAACTCACTCAAAACCACACAACTACATGGAAATTGTACAACCTGATCCTGAATGACTCCTGGGTGAATAATAAAGTTAAGGCAGAAATCAAGAAGTTATTTGAAACTAATGAGAAAAAAAGACAATGTACCAGAATCTGTGGGATGAGGCTAAAACAGTGTTTTTGTTTTTTGAGATGGAGTCTCTCTCTGTCTCCCAGGCTGGAATGCTGTGGCATGATCTTGGCTCACTGCAACCTCCACCTCCTGGGTTCAAGCAATTCTCCTACCTCAGCCTCCTAAGTAGCTGGGATTACAGGCTCATGCCACCACACCCAGCTAATTTTTGTATTTTTAGTAGAGATGAGATTTTGCCATGTTGGCCAGGCTGGTCTCAAATTCCTGGCTTCAGGTGGTATGCCTGGCTTGGCCTCCCAAAGTGCTGGGATTACAAGCATGAGCCACCGTGCCCTGCCTAAAACAGTGTTAAGAGGGAAATTTATAACAGCAAATGCCCATATCAAAAATCTAGAAAGATCTCAGATCAACAACCTACCACCACAACTAATATAACTAGAGAACCAAGAGCAAAGAAACCCCAAAGGTAGCAGAAGGCAAGAAATAACCAAGATCAGAGTGGAACTGAAGGAGAGACACAATAAACCCTTCAAAAAAAATCAATGAATCCAGGAGCCAGTTTTTTGAAAAAAATTAATAAAACAAATAGGCAACTAGCTACACTAATAAAGAAGAAAAGAGAGAAGAATCAAACAGACACAATAAAAAATAATTAAAGGGATATCATCACTGATCCTGCAGAAATACAAACAACCATTAGAGAATACTATAAACACCTCTATGCACATTAACTAGAAAATCTGGAAGAAATGGACAAATTTCTGACACATATCCCCTCCCAAGGCTGAACCAGGAGGAAATTGAATCCCTGAATAGACCAATAGTGAGTTATGAAGTTCCAGCATTAATAAATAGCCTACAAACCCCCCAAAAATTTAAAAAGCCCAGGACCAGACGAATTTACAGTTCAATTTTACCAGAGTTAGGAAGAAGAGCTGGTACAATTTCTACTGAACAAACAAAACAAAACAATAAAAACCTAGGACCAGGTAGATTTAAAGCTGAACTCTACCAGAGGTAGAAAGAAGAGTTGGTATGATTTCTACTGAAAGTATTCTAAACAATTGATATGGAGGGACTCCTCCCTAACTCATTTTATGAGGCCAGCATCATTCTTACACCAAAACCTGGCAGAGATAAAAATAAAAATAAAAATAAAAACACTTCAGGCCAACATCCCTAATGAACATCAATGCAAAAATCGTCAATGAAATACTAGCAAACTGAATCCATCAACAAATCAAAAAGCATATCCACCACGAACAAATTGGCTTCATCCCCGGGATGCAAGGTTGGTTCAATATACACAAATCAATAAATGTAATTCATCAAATAAACAGAACTAAATACAAAAACCACATGATTATCTCAATAGATGCAGAAAAGGCCTTTGATAAAATTTAACATCCCTTTATGTTAAAAGGTCTCAATAAACTATGTATCTAAGGATCATACTGCAAAATAAAAGAGCCGTATATGACAAACCTATAGCCAATATCACACTAAATGGGCAAAACCTGGAAGCATTCTCCTTGAATACTGGCACGAGACAAGCATGCTGTCTCTCACCACTCTTATTCAACATGTTATTGGAAGTTCTGGCCAGAGCAATCAGGCAAGAGTAATAAATAAAGGGTATTCAAATAGTCAGAGAAGAAGCCAAATTGTCTTTGTTTGCAGATGACATGATTCTATATCTAGAAAACCACATCATCTCAGCCCAAAAGCTTCTTAGCCTGATAAGCAACTTCAGTAATGTCTCAGGGTACAAAATCAATGTTCAAAAATTGCGAGCATCTCTGTACACCAACAACAGGCAAGCAGAAAGCCAAATCATGAATGAATTCTCATTCATAATTGCTACGAAGAGAATAAAATACCTAGGAATACGGCTTACAAGAGAAGTGAAGGATCTCTTAAAGACAACTACAAACCACTGCTCAAGGAAATCAGAGAGGTCACAAACAAATGGAAAAACATTCCATGCTCTTGGATAGAAAGAATCAATACCATAAAAATGGCCATACTGTGCAAAGTAATTCATAGATTCAATGCTATTTCCACTAAAGTCCCATTAACATTTTTCACAGAATTAGAAAAAAATTATTTTAAAATTCATATGGAACCAAAAAAGCCCATATAGCCAAGACAATCCTAAGCAAAAAGGACAAAGCTGGAGGCATTATGCTACCCAACTTCAAACTATACTACAAGGCTACAGTAACCAAAATACCATGGTACTGGTACGAAAACAGACACAGACTAATGGAACATAATAGAGAACTCAGAAATAAGGCCACACACCTACAACGAAGTGATCTTTGACAAACCTGACAAAAACAAGCAATGGGGAAAGGACTACCTATTTAATAAGTGGCTCTGGGGAAACTTGCTAGCCATATGCAGAAAATTAAAAACTGGACTCCTCCTTAAACATTATACTAAAATTAACTCAAGATTGATTGAAGACTTACATGTAAAACCTGAAACTATAAAAACCCTAGAAGAAAATCTAGGTAATACCATTCAGGACATCAGCACAGGCAAAGATTTCATGATGAAAATGCTGAAAGCAATTGCAACAAAAGTAAAAATTGAAGAACGGGATCCAATGAAACTAAAGAGCTTCTGCACAGCAAGATAAGCTATCATCAGATGAACAGATAACCTACAGAATGGGAGAACACTTTTGCAATCTACCCATATGACAAAGCTCTAATATCCAGAGTCTACAAGGAGCTTAAAAATATTTCCAAGAAATTTGGAGGGGACAATTATACAAACCATATCAATGTATCTATAGTGTTGGTTGGATAAGGCACTTAGGCTTTGATTCTGGATGAACACAGTAGTAGAGTCTTCATATAATTTCTTCAGCTATAATCAGTGTCAGTGTTGTCTTGTGAGTTCCTCAGAGTTCCACAGCCCTCAGGCTGTGGCTGTTAGTGGAGTATGTAGTGAGGCTTTATCAGGGGAAATTCAGCCAGATATTGGATGAAATTCACCCACGAAATAAAGGGTCAGAGTACAAAAAAGAGAAATTTTAAAGCTGGGTGTCTGGGGGAGACATCACAGGTCGGCAGGTTCTGTGATGCCCCCTGAGCCACAAAACCAGCAAGTTTTTATTAGTGATTTTCAAAATGGGAGGGAGAGTATGAATAGGGTGTGGGTCACAGAGATCACATGCTTCACAAGGTAATAGAATATCACAAGGCAAATGGAGGCAGAGAGAGATCACAGAACCAAAGGACCAGGGTGAAATTAAAATTGCTAATGAACTTTCGGGCATGAATTGTCATTGATAACATCTTATCAGGGTTTGAGAGCAGACAACCAGTACGACCAAAATTTATTAGGTGGGAATTTCCTCATCCTAATAAGACTGGAAGCACTATGGGAGACTGGGGATTATTTCATTGCTACAGTTTTGACCATAAAAGATGGCCACCCCTCAAAGTGGCCATGTTAGAGGCCTACCCTCAGGGACACATTCTCTGTCTCAGGGATGTTCCTTGCTGAGAAAAAGAATTAAGCGAGCCAAGATGGCTGAATAGGAACAGCTCCGGTCTAAAGCTCCCAGAGTGTGCGACACAGAAGATGGGTGATTTCTGCATTTCCATCTGAGGTACCGGGTTCATCTCACTAGGGAGTGCCAGACAGTGGGCGCAGGACAGTGGGTGCAGTGCAGCATGTGCGAGCTGAAGCAGGGGGAGGCATTGCCTCACTCGGGAAGCACAAGGGGTCAGGGAGTTCCCTTTCCTAGTCAAAGAAAGGGGTGACAGATGGCACCTGGAAAATCAGGTCACTCCCACCCCAATACTGTGCTTTTCTGATGGGCTTAAAAAACCGCACACCAGGAGATTATATCCCACACATGGCTCGGAGGGTCCTACACCCACGGAGTCCCACTGATTGCTAGCACAGCAGTCTGAGATCAAACTGCACGGAGGCAGCGAGGCTGGGGGAGGGGCGACTGCCATTATCCAGGCTTACTTAGGTAAACAAAGCAGCCAGGAAGGTCAAACTGGGTGGAGCCCACCACAGCTCAAGGAGGCCTACCTGCTTCTGTAGGTGCCACCTGTGGGGGCAGGGCACAGACAAACAAAAAGACAGCAATAACATCTGCAGATTTAAATGTCCCTCTCTGACAGCTTTGAAGGGAGCAGTGGTTCTCCCAGCATGCAGCTGGAGATCTGAGAACGGGCAGACTGCCTCCTCAAGTGGGTCCCTGACCCCTGACCCCTGAGCAGCCTAACTGGGAGGCACCCCCCAGTAGGGGCAGACTGACACCTCACACGGCCAGGTACTCCTCTGAGACAAAACTTCCAGAGGAATGATCAGAAAGAATCATTTGTGGTTCACAAAAATCTGCTGTTCTGCAGCCACTGCTGCTGGTACCCAGGCAAACAGAGTGTGGAGTGGACCACTAGCAAACTCCAACAGACCTGAAGCTGAGGGTCTTGACTGTAAGAAGGAAAACTAACAAACAGAAAGGACATCCACACCAAAAATCCATCTGTACATCACCATCATCAAAGACCAAAAGTAGATAAAACCACAAAGATGGGGAAAAAACACAGCAGAAAAACTGGAAACTCTAAAAAGCAGAGCACCTTTCCTCCTCCAAAGGAACGTAGCTCCTCATCAGCAATGGAACAAAGCTGGATGGAGAATGACTTTGATGAGATGAGAGAAGAAGGCTTCAGACGACCAAACTACTCTGAGCTACGGGAGGAAATTCAAACCAAAGGCAAAGAAGTTGAAAACTTTGAAAAAAATTTAGATGAATGTATAACTAGAATAACCAATACAGAGAAGCACTTAAAGTCGCTGATGGAGCTGAAAGCCAAGGCTCGAGAACTAAGTGAAGAATGCAGAATCCTCAGGAGCTGACACAATCAACCGGAAGAAAGGGTATCAGTGATGGAAGATGAAATGAATGAACTAAAGCAAGAAGGGAAGTTCAGAGAAAAAAGAATAAAAATAAATGAACAAAGCCTCCAAGAAATATGGGACTATGTGAAAAGACCAAATCTAGATCTGATTGGTGTATCTGAAAGTGACAGGGAGAATGGAACCAAGTTGGAAAACACTCTGCATAATATTATTCAGGAGAACTTCCCCAATCTAGCAAGGCAGGCCAACATTCAGATTCAGGAAATACAGAGAATGCCACAAAGATATTCCTCCAGAAGAGCAACTGCAAGACACATAATTGTCAGATTCACCAAAGTTGAAATGAAGGAAAAAATGTTAAGGGCAGCCAGAGAGAAAGGTCGGGTTACCCACAAAAGGAAGCCCATCAGACTAACAGCGGATCTCTTGGCAGAAACTCTACAAGCCAGAAGAGAGTGGGGGCCAATATTCAACATTCTTAAAGAAAAGAATTTTCAACCCAGAATTTCATATCCAGCCAAACTAAGCTTTAGAAGTGAAGGAGAAATAAAATCCTTTACGAACAAGCAAATGCTGAGAGATTTTGTCACCACCAGGCCTGCCCTAAAAGAGCTCCTGAAGGAAGCACTGAACATGGAAAGGAACAACCGGTACCAGCCAGCACAAAATCATGCCAAATTGTAAAGACCATCGAGGCTAGGAAGAAACTGCGTCAACTAACGAGCAAAATAACCAGCTAACATCATAATGACAGGATCAAATACACACATAATAATATTAACTTTAAATGTAAATGGAATAAATGCTCCAATTAAAAGACACAGACTGGCAAATTGGATAAAGAGTCAAGACCCATCAGTGTGCTGTATTCAGGAGACCCATCTCACGTGCAGAGACACACATAGGCTCAAAATAAAGGGATGGAGGAAGATCTACCAAGCAAATGGAAAACGGAAAAAGGCAGGGGTTGCAATCCTAGTCTCTGATAAAACAGACTTTAAACCTAGAAAGACCAAAAAAGAAAAAGAAGGTCATGACATAATGGTAAAGGGATCAATTCAAGAAGAAGAGCTAACTATCCTAAATATATATGCACCCAATACAGGAGCACCCAGATTCATAAAGCAAGTCCTGAGTAACGTACAAAGAGACTTAGACTCCCAGACAATAATAATGGGAGACTTTAACACCCCACTGTCAACATTAAACAGATCAACGAGACAGAAACTTAACAATGATATGCAGGAATTAAACTCAGCTCTGATCCAAGCAGACCTAATAGACATCTACAGAACTCTCCACAGCAAATCAACAGAGTATACATTTTTTTCAGTACCACACCACACATATTCCAAAATTGACCACATAGTTGGAAGTAAAGCACTCCTCAGCAAATGTAAAAGAACAGAAATTAAAAAAAAACCTGTCTCTCAGACCACAGTGCAGTCAAACTAGAACTCAGGATTAAGAAACTCACTGAAAACCGCTCAACTACATGGAAACTGAACAACCTGCCCCTAAATGACTACTGGGTACATAACGAAATGAAGGCAGAAATAAAGATGTTCTTTGAAACTAATGAGAACAAAGACACAACATACCTGAATCTCTGGGACACATTCAAAGCAGTGTATAGAGGGAAATTTATAACACTAAATGCCCACAAGAGAAAGCAGAAAAGATCCAAAATTGACACCCTAACATCACAATTAAAAGAACTAGAAAAGCAAGAGCAAACACATTCAAAAGCTAGCAGAAGGCAAGAAATAACTAAAATCAGAGCAGAACTGAAGGAAATAGAGACACAAAAAACCCTTCAAAAAATTAATGAATCCAGGAGCTGGTTTTTTGAAAGGATCAACAAAATTGGTAGGCCCCTAGCAAGACTAATAAAGAAGAAAAGAGAGAAGAATCAAATAGATGCAATAAAAAACGATAAAGGGGATATCACCACTGATCCCACAGAAATACAAACTACCATCAGAGAATACTACAAACACCTCTATGCAAATAAACTAGAAAATCTAGAAGAAATGGATAAATTCCGCAACACATACACTCTCCCAAGACTAAACCAGGAAGAAGTTGAATTTCTGAATAGACCAATAACAGGCTCTGAAATTGTGGCAATAATCAATAGCTACCAACCAAAAAGAGTCCAGAACCAGATGGATTCACAGTCAAATTCTACCAGAGGTACAAGGAGGAACTGGTACCATTCCTTCTGAAACTATTCCAATCAATAGAAAAAGAGGGAATCCTCCCTAACTCATTTTATGAGGCCAGCATCATCCTGATACAAAAGCCTGGCAGAGACATGACAAAAAAACAGAATTTTAGACCAATATCCTTGGTGAACATTGATGCAAAAATCCACAATAAAATACTGGAAAACCGAATCCAGCAGCACATCAAAAAGCTTATACACCATGATCAGGTGGGCTTCATCCCTGGGATGCAAGGCTGGTTCAATATACGCAAATGAATAAATGTAATCCAGCATATAAACAGAACCAAAGACAAAAACCACATGATTGTCTCAATAGATGTAGAAAAGGCCTTTGACAAAATTCAACAACACTTCATGCTAAAAACTCTCAATAAATTAGGTATTGACGGGACGTATCTCAAAATAATAAGAGCTATCTATGACACTCAAAATAATAAGAGCTATCTATGACAAACCCACAGCCAATATCATAATGAATGGGCAAAAACTGGAAGCATTCCCTTTGAAAACTGGCACAAGACAGGGATGCACTCTCTCACCACTCCTATTCAACATAGTGTTGGAAGTTCTGACCAGGGCAATTAGGCAGGAGAAGGAAATAAAGGGTATTCAATTAGGAAAAGAGGAAGTCAAATTGTCACTTTTTGCAGATGACATGATTGTATATCTAGAAAACCCCATTGTCTCAGCCCAAAATTTCCTTAAGCTGATAACCAACTTCAGCAAAGTCTCAGGATACAAAATCAATGTACAAAAATCACAAGCATTCTTATACACCAATAACACACAAACAGACAGCCAAATCATGAGTGAACTCCCATTCACAATTGCTTCAAACAGAATAAAATATCTAGGAATCCAACTTACATGGGACGTGAAGGACCTCTACAAGGAGAACTACAAACCACTGCTCAGTTAAATAAAAGAGGATAAAAACAAATGGAAGAACATTCCACGCTCATGGGTAGGAAGAATCAATATCATGAAAATGGCCATACTGCCCAAGGTAATTTACAGATTCAATGCCATCCCCATCAAGCTACCCATTACTTTCTTCACAGAATTGGAAAAAAACTACTTTAAAGTTCATATGGAACCAAAAAAGAGCTTGCATTGCCAAGTCAGGCCTAAGCCAAAAGAACAAAGCTGGAGGCATCACACTACCTGACTTCAAACTATACTACAAGCCTACAGTAACCAAAACAGCATGGTACTGGTACCAAAACAGAGATATAGATCAATGGAACAGAACAGAGCCCTCAGAAACAATGCCGCATATCTACAACTATCTGATCTTTGACAATCCTGAGAAAAACAAGCAATGGGGAAAGGATTCCCTATTTAATAATGGTGCTGGGAAAACTGGCTAGCCATATGTAGAAAGCTGAAACTGGATCCCTTCCTTACACCTTATACAAAAATTAATTCAAGATGGATTAAAGACTTAAATGTTAGACCTAAAACCAGAAAAACCCTTGAAGAAAACCTAGGCATTACCATTCAGGACATAGGCATGGGCAAGGACTTCATGTCTAAAACGCCAAAAGCAATGGCAACAAAAGCCAAAATTGACAAATGGGATCTAATTAAACTAAATAGCTTCTGCATAGCCAAAGAAACTACCATCAGAGTGAACAGGCAACCTACATAATGGGAGAAAATTTTCACAACCTACTCATCTGACAAAGGGCTAATATCCAGAATCTACAATGAACTCAAACAAATTTACAAGAAAAAAAAACAACCCCATCAAAAAGTGGGCAAAGGACATGAACAGACACTTCTCAAAAGAAGACATTTATGCAGCCAAAAAACACATGAAAAAATGCTCATCATCACTGGCCATCAGAGAAATGCAAATCAAAACCACAATGAGATACCATCTCACACCACTTAGAATGGCAATCATTAAAATGTCAGGAAACAACAGGTGCTGGAGAGGGTGTGGAGAAATAGGAACACTTTTCCACTGTTGGTGGGACTGTAAACTAGTTCAACCATTGTGGAAGTCAGTGTGGCGATTCCTCAGGGATCTGAAACTAGAAATACCATTTGACCCAGCCATCCCATTACTGGGTATATACCCAAAGGACTATAAATCATGCTGCTATAAAGACACATGCACACGTATGTTTATTGCAGCATTATTCACAATAGCAAAGACTTGGAACCAAGACAAATGTCCAACAATGATAGACTGGATGAAGAAAATGTGGCACATATACACCATGAAATACTATGCAGCCATAAAAAATGATGAGTTCATGTCCTTTGTAGGGACATGGATGAAATTGGAAATCATCATTCTCAGTAAACTTTCACAAGGACAAAAAACCAAACACCGCATATTCTCCCTCATAGGTGGGAATTGAAAAATGAGAACACATGGTCACAAGAAGGGGAACATCACACTCTGGGGACTGTTGTGGGGTGGGGGAAGGGGGAGGCGTAGCTGTAGGAGATATACCTAATGCTGAATGACGAGTTAATAGGTGCAGTGCACCAGCATGGCCCATGTATACATATGTAACTAACCTGCACATTGTACACATGTACCCTAAAACTCAAAATATAATAATAATAATAAAAGAATTTAGTGATATTTCTCCCCTTTTGAAGGAAGAGAAATATGACTCTGTTCTGCCCAGCTCACCAGCGGTCAGAGTTTAATATTATCTCTCTTGTTCCCTGAACATTGCTGTTATCCTGTTCTTTTTTCAAGGTGCCCAGATTTCATATTGTTCAAACACACATGCTCTACAAACAATTTGTGCAGTTGACGCAATCAATCATCAGAGGCTCCTGAGGTGACATACATCCTTCTCAGCTTATGAAGATGATGGGATTAAGAGATTAAAGTAAAGACAGCCATGGGAAATCAAAAGGGTATTGACTGGGGAAGTGATCTGTGTCCATGAAATCTTCACAATTTATGTTCAGAGATTGCAGTAAAGACAGGCATAAGAAATTACAAAAGTATTAATTTTGGGGAACTAATAAATGTCCATGAAATCTTCACAATTTATGTTCTTCTGCCATAGCTTCAGCCAGTCCCTCCATTTGGGGTTCCTGACTTCCCACAACATCTCTCCCTTTCTTTTTATATAAATGTGCCATGGCGATGAAGGCTTGTTCGTTCTCTCGATTTTGATGCAGGATTCTTTGACTGGCCTTGTACACTAAAAACAAGCCAATTAAACAGAGAAACAAAATTCCAAAATTTACTGCAGTTGAACCCCCAATAGACTTAATCCAAGCCATGGGGTTTAGTCCATAAAGATTTTCTGCCACCTGATCTAACACCTCAGCTCCAGGCACAATGGATAAGTGAGCTCGAGAGGCTTCAAAAATTTGTTTTTTTAATTTGCTTACGTCCTTCCCTATCCAGAAGGTGTCCTTTGACCATTTCCCATGAATGATCAGTCCGCTACAGGAATAAGGGGTGATACAGAAATCCGAAGTTTTGCAATCACACTGCATTTGCATGCGATGTTCAAGATTGACCAACTGATCTCCAAGCCAAATAACAGACTGTCTTAAATCATTAATTTCATGTGCCAATTTTTGATAATGCTTGTGATTTTTGCACATTGATTTTGTATCCTGACACTTTGCTGAAGTTGCTTATCAGCTTAAGGAGATTTTTGGCTGAGATGATGGGGTTTTCTAGGTATAGAATCATGTCATCTGCAAACATGGACAATTTGACTTCCTCTTTTCCTAATTGAATGCCCTTTATTTCCTTCTCCTGCCTGATTGCCCTGGCCAGAACTTCCAACACTATGTTGAATAGGAGTGGTGAGAGAGGGCATCCCTGTCTTGTGCCAGTTTTCAAAGGGAATGCTTCCAGTTTTTGCCCATTCATTATGATATTGGCTGCGGGTTTGTCATAGATAGCTCTTATTATTTTGAGATACGTCCCATCAATACCTAATTTATTGAGAGTTTTTAGCATGAAGGGTTGTTGAATTTTGTCAAAGGCCTTTTCTGCATCTATTGAGATAATCATGTGGTTTTTCTTTGGTTTTGTTTATATGTTGGATTACGTTTATTGATTTGTGCACATTGAACCAGTCTTGCATCCCAGAGATGAAGCCCACTTGATCATGGTAGATAAGCTTTTTGATGTGCTGCTGGATTTGGTTTGCCAGTATTTTATTGAGGATTTTTGCATCAATGTTCATCAAGGATATTGGTCTAAAATTCTCTTTTTTGGTTGTGTCTCTGCCAGGCTTTGGTATCAGGATGATGCTGGCCTCATAAAAGGAGTTAGGGAGGATTCTCTCTTTTTCTATTGATTGGAATAGTTTCAGTAGGAATGGTACCAGTTCCTCCTTGTACCTATGGTAGAATTGGGCTGTGACTACATCTGGTCCTGGACTTTTTTTGGTTGGTTAGCTATTAATTATTGCCTCAATTTCAGAGCCTGTTATTGGTCTATTCAGAGATTCAACTTCTTCCTGGTTTAGTCTTGGGAGGGTGTATGTGTTGAGGAATTTATCCATTTCTTCTAGATTTTCTAGTTTATTTGCGTAGAGGTGTCGGTAGTATTCTCTGATGGTAGTTTGTATTTCTGTGAGATCGGTGGTGATATCCTCTTTGTCGTTTTTTATTGCGTCTATTTGATTCTTCTCTCTTTTCTTCTTTATTAGTCTTGCTAGCAGTCTATCAGTTTTGTTATCTTTTCAAAAAACCAGCTTCAAGATTCATTGATTTTTTGAAGGGTTTTTTGTGTTTCTATTTCCTTCAGTTCTGCTCTGATTTTAGTTATTTCTTGCCTTCTGCTAGCTTTTGAATGTGTTTGCTCTTGCTTCTCTATTTATTTTAATTGTGATGTGAGGGTGTCAATTTTAGATCTTTCCTGCTTTCTCTTGTGGGCATTTAGTGCTATAAATTTCCCTCTACACACTGCTTTGAATGTGTCCCAGAGATTCTGGTGTGTTGTGTCTTTGTTCTCATTGGTTTCAAAGAACATCTTTTTTTCTGGCTTCATTTCGTTATGTACCCAGTCGTCATTCAGGAGCAGGTTGTTCAGTTTCCATGTAGTTGAGCGGTTTTGAGTGAATTTCTTAATCCTGAGTTCTAGTTTGATTGGACTCTGGTCTGAGAGACATTTTGTTATAATTTCTGTTCTTTTACATTTGTTGAGGAGTGCTTTACTTCCAACTATGTGGTCAATTTTGGAAAAGTGTGGTGTGGTGCTGAAAAAAATATATATTCTGTTGATTTGGGGTGGAGAGTTCTGTAGATGTCTATTAGGTCCGCTTGATGCAGAGCTGAGTTCAATTCCTGGATATCCTTGTTAACTGTCTGTCTTGTTGATCTGTCTAATGTTGACAGTGGGGTGTTAAAGTCTCCCATTATTATTGTCTGGGAGTCTAAGTCTCTTTGTAGGTCACTCAGGACTTGCTTTAGGAATCTGGGTGCTCCTGTATTGGGTGCATATATATTTAGGATAGTTAGCTCTTCTTGTTGAATTGATCCCTTTACCATTATGTAATGGCCTTCTTTGTCTCTTTTGATCTTTGTTGGTTTAAAGTCTGTTTTATCAGAGACTAGGATTGCAACCCCTGCCCTTTTTTGTTTTCCATTTGCTTGGTAGATCTTCCTCCATCCCTTTATTTTGAGCCTATGTGAGTCTCTGAACATGAGATGGGTTTCCTGAATACAA
Organism: Homo sapiens; assembly: GCF_000001405.40. Lineage (NCBI taxonomy): Eukaryota > Metazoa > Chordata > Mammalia > Primates > Hominidae > Homo > Homo sapiens. The sequence continues at coordinate 56,321,878 of NC_000023.11, read as the reverse complement.
CACACTGATGGGTCTTGACTCTTTATCCAATTTGCCAGTCTTTGTCTTTTAATTGGAGCATTTACCCCATTTACATTTAAGGTTAGTATTGTTATGTGTAAATTTGATCCTGTCATTATGATGTTAGCTGGTTATTTTGCTCATTAGTTGGTGCAGTTTCTTCCTAGCCTCGATGGTCTTTACAATTTGGCATGATTTTCCAGTGGGTGGTACCGGTTTTTCCTTTCCATGTTTAGTGCTTTCTTCAGGAGCTCTTTTAGGGCAGGCCTGGTGGTGACAAAATCTCTCAGCATTTGCTTGTCTGAAAAGGATTTTATTTCTCCTTCACTTCTGAAGCTTAGTTTGGCTGGATATGATATTCTGGGGTGAAAATTCTTTTCTTTAAGATTGTTGAATTTTGGCCCCCACCCTCTTCTGGCTTGTAGAGTTTCTGCTGAGAGATCAGCTGTTAGTCTGATGGGCTTCCTTTTGTGGGTAACCCGACCTTTCTCTCTGGCTGCCCTTAACATTTTTTCCTTCATTTCAACTTTGGTGAATCTGACAATTATGTGTCTTGGAGCTGCCTTCTCAGGACATATCTTTGTGGCATTCTATTTATTTCCTGAATTTGAATGTTGGTCTGCCTTGCTACACTGGGGAAGTTCTCCTGTATAATATCCTGCAGAGTGTTTTCCAGCTTGGTTCCATTCTCCCCATCACTTTCAGGTACACCAATCAGACGTAGATTTGGTCTTTTCACATAGTCCCATATTTCTTGTGGGTTTGTTTGTTTCTTTTTATTATTTTTTCTCTAAACTTCTCTTCTTGCTTCATTTCATTCATTTCATCTTCCATCACTGATACTCTTTCTTCCAGTTGATCGCATCAGTTACTGAGGCTTGTGCATTCGTCATGTAGTTCTGGTGGCATGGTTTTCAGCTCCATCAGGTCCTTTAAGGATTTCTCTGCATTGGTTATTCTAGTTAGCCATTCGTCTAATTTTTTTTCATAGTTTTTACCTTCTTTGCCATTGGTTCGAACTACCTCCTTTAGCTCAGAGTAGTTTCATCTTCAGAAGCCTTCCTCTCTCAACTCGTCAAGGTCATTATCCGTCCAGCTTTGTTCCGTTGCTGGTGAGGAGCTGCATTCCTTTGGAGGAGGAGAGGTGCTCTGATTTTTAGAGTTTCTGGTTTTTCTGCTCTGTTTTTTCCCCATCTTTGTGGTTTTATCTACCTTTGGTCTTTGATGATGGTGATTTACAGATGGGATTTTGGTGTGGATATCCTTTCTGTTTGTTAGTTTTCCTTCTAACAGTCAGGACCCTCAGCTGAAGGTCTGTTGGAGTTTACTGGAGGTCCACTTCAGACCCTGTTTGCCTGGGTATCAGCGGTGGTAGCTGCAGAACAGCGGATATTGGTGAATAGCAAATGTTGCTGCCTGATTGTTCCTCTGTAAGTTTTGTCTCAGAGGAGTACCCGGCCGTGTGAGGTGTCAGTCTGGCCCTACTGTGTGGTGCCTCCCAGTTAGGCTACTCGGGAGTCAGGGACCCACTTGAAGAGGCAGTCTGCCCGTTCTCAGATCTCAAGCTGCTTGCTGGGAGAACCACTACTGTCTTCAAAGCTGTCAGACAGGGGCATTTAAGTCTGCAGAGATTACTATTCCATTTTGTTTGACTGTGCCCTGCCCCCAGAGGTGGAGCCTACAGAGGCAGGCAGGCCTCCTTGAGCTGTGGTGGGCTCCACCCAGTTTGAGCTTCCTGGCGCTTTGTTTACCTACTCAAGCCTGAGAAATGGTGGGCGCCCCTACCCCAGCCTCGCTGCCACCTTGCAGTTGGATCTCAGACTGCTGTGCTAGCAATCAGCGAGGTTCTGTGGGTATAGGACCCTCTGAGCCATGTGCGGTATATAATCTCCTGGTGTGCCATTTGTTAAGCCCATTGGAAAAGTGCTGTATTAGGGTGGGAGTGACCTGATTTTCCAGGCGCCATCTGTCACCCCTTTCTTTGACTAGGAAAGGGAATTCTCTGACCCCTTGCACTTCCCGGGTGAGGCGATGCCTCGCCCTGCTTCAGCTCATGCATGGTGCACTGCTCCCACTTTCCTGCACCCACTGTCTGCAACTCCCCAGTGAGATGAACCCGGTACCTCAGTTGGAAATGCAGAAATCACCCATCTTCTGTGTCGTAGACTGGAGCTGTTCCTATTTGACCATCTTGGCTCCTCCCCCCCGCAGAGTTTCTTAAAAGAATTATCTTGGATTATTTGTCATGCAGTTCACATATCTCCTCCATTTTGGGGGCTTTTCTACTGGAAAATTATTGTATTCTTTTGGTGGTGTTACACCTCATTTTTTAATGTTTCTTGTTGCCATATATTAATATCCACTCATTTGTATAAGTAGGTAATTATTTCAGTCTTTGCAGACTGACTTTTTCTGAGAAAACTTTTACCAGCCTGTCTAGTAATTATGAGAATGCCATCTAGTGTGGGCTGTGATTGGACTTGTTGCTGAAATCCTTGGGTAACCTGGTCTGAGTCAGCAGGTGAGAGGCCCTGGCATCTGAGTCCATGGGGTTTGGCTTGGGAGTTTTGGAGCTTGTATCTACCAGGAGAAACCAGCTAATTGGGTCTGCAGTAGTGGGCCTGGACCTTGTATCCAGGAGGGTGGGCCTGGGGCATTTGTCCTGTATCCACAGGGGCTTACCTGGCATAAGGGTCAGCCTTGAGCCTGAGTTTGCAGAGGCCAGCCAGGAACTAAGCTGGAGCTGGGCCTGGCCCTTGGGTCCACTGAAAAACGTCTGGGGCCTCACTCCATAGGGGCAGTCCTATGACCTGGGTCCATAAGTGTTGGCCTAAAGTCCTTGTCTGCTGGAATGGTCCTTAGCCTTGATTCATGGAGGCCAGTCTGTCACTGGGATCCCCTGGGTTAGGCCTGAACTTTTGAGTCTAATGGAGCTGGCTTGAACGCTTGGGCCACTAGAACCTGGGGCTACAGAGCCTATCCTAGAGCCAGCCTGGTGCAGGGGTAAGCATGGAGTCTAGGTCTGTGGCAGAAGATGTGGATCCAGGCATTATGCATGCTGGCCTAGAGCCTTGAGCCACAGGACCTGGTCTGGAGGCTGAGGCTGTGGGACTGACTTGGAGCCTGACTATTCTGAGGCCAGCTTGAAAGCTAGCTGTGTGGGTGTTGGCCCACAGGCTAGGTCCGCAAGAGTTGAACTTGGACCACAAGGACTCACATGGGACCTGAGTTCACAGGGGCAGACCTGAAGCTTAGGTATGTGGGGTCTGGCCCAGCACTGGGATCTTCTCTGATAGGCCTGGACTCTGGATTTTCTGGAGCAGGATTGGACCCTGGATTTGCTAGAGCAAGGGACTGTAAGGCCAGCATGGAGAGTGCAGAGGCAAGGACCAGCCTAGCCCTAAGCAGACCTAGAATCTATGTCCACAAGTGCCAGTGTGGTACTTGAGACCGGGGGTGCTGACTTGGCAGTGGGGTGGGCCTGAAGCCTGAGGATGTGTTTGCCAACTTGACTCTGGGTTGGTCTGAAACCTGGAGCTGACTTGTAGCAGGGCATGCAGGGGCTGGCTAGGTACTGAGTAATCTTAGAGTTTGTATACACAGGGGCCAACATGGAGGCTGGCTTGCAGGTACCAGCATGATGACTAGGATTGGAGATTTGTCTGTTCCTGGGGTTGGCCAGGAGCCTGAGTCTGTGGGGAATGGCCTGGTACTACAGTGGATCTGAAGCCCAGGACAACTGGGGCCAGTCCTGGAGCGTGGGGCCACTGTAATTAACCTGGTGGTATGGTGATCCAGAGTCCAAGTCTGTTTTGGCATGCCTGGAGCCTGAGATTGTGGGATTTGACCTAGTGTTGGGGTGGGCTTAGAAGCTTAGTCTGTGGGTACTGCCATGGGGTCTGGGTTGTGGGGGCATGCCCAGTGCTGGGTTTTACTTGGGTCAGCCCACTGTTGGGGTCCAAGGCAAAGTCCTGTGATCACTTCTCCCTTCTCCCCCAAGCATAGGGTATCTCTCTACACACTGTGCTGCCTGGGTATGAAAGAAGAGTGATGTGGGTATTGTAAAACTGTCCTCCCTACATTCCTTAATGCATCTTTTTAATTTTTGTGCTACATCTAGGTTTTGTAATAGTTCACCAGGTTTCCTTAGCTTTTGTGAAGGTATTTTCATGTGTGGAGTGTTGTTCAAATTGATGTTTCTGTAGGGAAACAAACACTGAAAAGTCCTATTCCACCATCTTCCTGATGTCTCCATAATTTTCAAAAAGTAATGAGAATCAAAAATGTTTCAGATATCTGCAACAAATGAAATTGGTATAAAAATGTGTGCAATGCACACTGTTGAGGAGGTACTATTGATACAACTGTGGCTTGTTTATATTCACAGTAGAAAGAAATGCTAAATTTCAGTTAGAGGTTAATGAAAATAACAACATAACTTCTTTCCCCATCCAAGTTCACAGATCTCCTTGAATTCTATTCACTGGTCTCTCAGGATTCCATAGACCCAGAGTAAAAGAACCATGGTATATGAGTGAAGCAAGCAGAATCAGGCATGCCTGTTTTGCCGGAAGAAGGCAGCCCTACTTAGCTCTACCCATTTGTTGCCCGGGAGGAATGCAGGTTCACTGGTGTCAGATTTTCTCTTTCCAGAGAAATGGGAAATCTCTATTTTAACACGCTGGTAAATAAATTTAAAAACAGAAAAAAAAACACTTTGCAGGTCATATGCAACATCTCTGTGGGCTGTATATGGACAAGGAACCAACAATTGTACCTCCTCTTTAAAGTATTATTTTCTTAGGCTTTCTAAACTCCTTTGAATTTCCCCTCCTCTTGGCTTTGTAATGCAACTGCTTCTGGGAGGCTAGAGATTCATAGCTAATAAGGAGTAAAATAGGCTATGTACAACTAGATCAAGGATTATCTTTTACTATAACAGAAAGATAACTATAAATCATTAATTTTTAAAGAGTAAAGCAGGGCAGAAAAAATATTTTCATCAATTTCAACCATAAAATATCAAAGAGCCTAAAGTAACTTCAATCTAATAAGCATATGTGAGAACCTATTCTGTGCTGGATGATATATGGTAAAAGAAATTACAGGTACTATCCTGTTTAAAAAAATATTTTTGCCACTGATGAATGCAAACCTAAATCATAGTTTAGTTTTGCCTGTTTTCATCACGTTGAGCTTTGAAGTTTCCTTGTGTTGTTTCAAGTTTAGAGGCAACAATGTTAGGAGAAACAATATTTCTATGAATGTTCTTTCAAATGTCTGAGGGTATACATGTGCAAGAATTTCTCTAAGGAAAATATCTAGGGATGAAATTGCTGAGACAAAGGCATTTGCTTTTTGTTGTTGTTGTTAGCTAGATTATGCAAAATGTTTCTCAATGCAGTTACGCGAGCTTGCATTTCCACCAGTAGTGTAGGAGGATTTTAATTTCTCTACATCTGTGCGAATATACAGTACAGTCTTTTTTTAATTTTTACAATTTAATGGTGTATAAGTGTATTTTATGGGGTCTTTGGCATTTTCTTGTGGACTAATGAGACAATTTTTTCATATATTTATTGACCTTTTGGATTTTTCTATTGAATTGTTTGTTGAAGTCTATAGTGGATGCTATCATGTACCTCCAAGATACTCCTCTCCAGGACAGAAGCACTCATTGTCAAGCTACTGAGAGTGTTGGCAACAGATACATCTCAGCTGAATTTCTCCCCAAGATAGGGCTGACCAAAATATACATACCTTTCTCAGGGTCAGCCTGCATCCAATAGCTGTTTGATGTGAGTATATAAAGGTCCTGACCTCCATCCCAATTCAGGATGGCTTTGAAGGGCCATTCTAGCTCCAGAAGCCCCATAGGATTGTCTGAGGTCTTTGCTGTGACTGCATTGCAGTTCTTCCTTTCCTTCTGTCCTGTGCTGCTTCTTCCACTTCCCCATAAGTTTCGATCCTGAGATCATGTCCCAATGCATTTTCTATGTTATTTTTAAAATCACTACATTTCTGGCCGGGCACAGTGGCTCATGCCTGTAATCCCAGCACTTTGGGAGGCAGAGGCAGGCAGATCGCTTGAGGTCAGGAGTTCAAGATCAGCCTTGCCAACATGGTGAAACCCCGTCTCTACTAATAATACAAAAGTTAGCCAAGTGTGGTGGCTCGCATCTGTAATCCCAGCTACTCGGGAGGCTGAGGCAGGAGAATCTCCTGAACCTGGGAGGTGGAGACTGCAGTGAGCCGACGTTGTGCCACTGCACTCCAGCCTGCACAAGAGTGAGACTCTGTCTCAGAAAAAAAAAAAAAATGAAATCACTACATTTCTGTCTTTCAAATTTAGATCTTAATTCATCCTGTAATTAATTTTTGTATGTGATGTGATAGAGTTCTTGTATCATTTTTTACCTACATGGATGGCCAGTTGTCCCAGCATTGTTCATTGAAATACCCACCCTTTCCCCACCAATATGCAATACCATTTCTGTTACATTAAGTAATGCAAGTGTCAATTTTGGGGCCTCCATTTTTGTTCAAATACTACACACACTGTTACTTATAATAGTTTTATAATTAGGCTTGATACCTGGTGGAGAAAATCTCATGAGTATCAGTTTTTCTCCTTTAAACCATTGAGTGGATTGTATTTTTGTAATGTTAAATCAACTTTGCATTCATAGAATGAACTCACCTTGATCATAATGTATTATCTTTTATATACATTACTATACATTTCTGAATTTGGTTTGCTAACATTTAGACGATGAATAAGATTGGCCTGTAATTTATTTTTTATGAATTGTCCTTGCCAGGTTTGAGGATCAAAGTTTTATTGGTCTCATAAAATCAATGTGAGTATGTAACAAACCTGCACTTTGTGCACATGTACCCTAGAACTTAAAGTATAATAATAAAAAAAAAAAAGGAAGTGGGGGCCAGGCGCAGTGGCTCACTCCTGTAATCCCAGCACTTTGGGAGGCTGAGGCGGGCAGATCACCTGAGGTCAGGAGTTCAAGACCAGCCTGACAAACATGGTGAAACCCCATCTCTGCTAAAAATACAAAATTAGCTGGGCGTGGTAGTGTGCACCTGTAATTCCAGCTACTCAGGAGGCTGAGGCAGGAGAATGGCTTGAACCCTGGAGGTGGAGGTTGCAGTGAGCCAAAGTCGCACCATTGCACTCCAGCCTGGGCAACAAAAGTGAAACTACATCTCAAAAAAAAAAAAAAAAAAAAAGGAGGTGGGTTATGTAGAAAAACTGGGATGACAGTATATGACTTGGTGGCAAGAAGCCAGGCAAAGCAGAAAATGAAACCAAAAAGGTCTGGTATGTAAAATGCAGTGTGGTTTGATAGAATGGGAAACATGGTACTGGGTTAAGCCTGGTTTTACATCATTCCTCTCCCCTCAGATAGCACCTTGTCCATAGGTCAGTCACAGCACTTCTAAAGTGGACCGATTTATATGTTGTGTCTCTCTTTTTCTGTTAGGTTGTAAACGTGCTGAGCACAGGAAACATGCATGAGTCTTTGGATCCCTGGTCTTTAACAGATATTCCTGCACATGGCTGATAAATGTTGATTGACTGAGATAAGCAGTATAGTCTTGAGATCATTATCTGTGGAATGGTTTTGCACAAGTTCCATGAGTTAATAAAATTTTGAAAATACCAAAATTTGTCCCTAGAACAAGGATCTTGAGCAGTCCCTAGAATAAAATGTTTGGAATTTATCCACAAGAGTTAATTAGGCTGCATATGGTTCTTGTTGTTTTGTTCTGTTTTGTTTTTTACTAAAGTTATCCTTTTTATTAAGCGTTTAAGAAACTGTATCACAGCTTCTCCATTGAAGTCATGCATCTGATGTTTAGGCTCTGCTGATAAACTCACTGCACTGTCTTTACAATGTGTGGGATAAAAGGATTCACTCCATGGGTGTCTGTGACTGGTTCTGTTAATAATTGTTTTCCTTTTCTCATTATAGTTCGACATTTTAGAAGCCAAATGCTGTTCCACACTCTATTAGCCTCTTGCACTGGATATTGGGACTGAGGTTTAGAACAAAGATAAAGTAAAAATGGAAAAACATGTAAGACTGAAATGGCACAACCAGGATAATAACTTTAGCTCAAATCACCTGCTGACACCTGTAAATTAAGGAGCAATCACGCAGACCCATCAAAGGAAAGGTGCGAAGAGCCAAGGACAGAGCAGCCTGCCCCAGGTGCTAGTCAGTTCCTTTCTCATGGGTGTTGTCAGTTACTAGAGTATCAGTCAGCCATTGTTGCAAAATATACAACCACAAAATTTCAGTGTCATACAACACTAAGGTGTTGATTTCATTCACATGTGGCTGATATAGGCTGGGTTTGGCTGGGCAGCTGTAAGCTGCTGATTGGACCTAAGTCTGCCTGAGGCTTCATCCTTCTTCAGTTAAACGCTTTCCATGGGAAACTGAACTAATGGCAATGTGAGAGAAACAAGAGAGGCTGCACAACCAGGCAAGCCCAGACCACATGGCCAAGCCCAAACTCAAGGAGGTAGTGAAGCATATTTTTTCCACAGAAGTGTCAGAGAAGGAAGTAAATATTTTGGAATGACTAATGTCCATAGGCAGAGGCCTAGTCTGAAGCATTTCTATAATAATGGAGATAATTGTGCTAAAGAAGTCAAGGGTAGGTGATTCTTGTATTTCTAAGTCCCGGATATTTTTACCGGGAAATGTTGCTGATAGGACAATGAATTGATACTATCTTTCTAGGGCATATTTGCAATATATATTAGCAATTTATTATCTATTGACTTCTAAGAATTTGTCTGAGATGTATAGAAAGATTTTTATATAAAGTCATCCACCTCACTTTTATATTAGTGAAATACTGGGGAAAAATACAGGTGTTTGGTTGAATAAAATATGTGACATCCAGATAATGGAATATTTATGCCACATTTCAGTGATGTTATACCAGAATCTTTGATGACATGGGACAGTATTGCCAATATTCTTGCTTAATGAAAAAAAGCATGTTACAAAACAGCAGATATTTTGTTTTTAAATCATGTATATATGGGTATTCATATTAAGCTTCTGTAGGGATATCAAATAAAATATAATAGTTATTTGTGGATGGAGCTAATTTTCATCTGAAATTTATTCTACCTACTATGATCTGAATGTTGGTGTTTCCCCCAAAATTGATTTGTTTGAACTTAATACCCAATGTAATAATAACATTAAGAGGCAGGGTCTTTGGGGATGAGATTTGTGTCCTAATAAATGAATCTGAAGGGAGCTGCCTTGCCTTTCCACCACATGAGGTCACAGTAAGAAAGCACCATCTTGGAAGTAGAAAGCAAGATATCACCAGACATTGAATGTGTTGTTGCCTTGATCTTGGACTTCCCAGCCTCCAGAAGTATGAGCAATAAATTTCTGTTGTTTATAAATTAAAAAAATAAAATAAAATAAAATAAAATGAACGTGAGACAGCTCCAGACTTTTCTATACTTTTTGGATATGTTTGTTTAAGACTGGAATTATTTATTCCTTGAATATCTCAGAGTTTTTTTTTTTTTTTTTGCCAGAATAATTTAATCTACTAGTTAAATGTTTTGGATATTTTATTCTTTCTTGAGTTAATTTTAATGTTATATTTCTCCTGGGGATTTGCTGGTTTCACTACAATTTAAAATTTACTATCATAAAGCTGTTAATAAATGCTTCACTTATTCTACAATTTCTTTTGAAATTTTTCAAACCTACAGAAAAGTTGAAAGAATATTGCAATGAACAACCACATACCCTTCATCCAAATTTACCAATGCTCATCATTTTGCCACATGACTCTTACCTATTTATCCACATGCGCACACACACACACACACACACACACATTTTTAGTTGAACGATTTGAAAGTGAGTAGAATAGAGGTCATGACAGTCAACGAATAAATAGTTTAGTGTGCATTGCTTAAGAATAAATATATTCTCCTACATAATCATAATGCATTATCACAATTGAGACAATAAAAATAATTCCATTATTTTGCCTACTATAAGGTTGTGTTGAAATCTATTCAATTGTCCCTGAAATGCCTTTTATAGTTTTTTTTTTTTTTTAATCTAGGATCCGGTGACGTTTTACACATTATATTTGGTTATATCTCTTTGGTCTTTTTTTTTTTTTACACTTTTAGTAGTTACTTCATTTTATTTTTTATTCCTTCAGGGATATGATATTCTTGATTTTAAAAAAAAATTCATCATGACAACATAATTTATTTTGCTGAAATTGAGGCAATAAATATACATTTTATGAGATAAATATATAATACATGATTCATGTATATATGTGTTTTACTACTTTTAAACCAACTCAATATTCAGACATTTTGATAATTAAATTCAGATGTCTTTGATACTTTACCAAGTTTTAGTTGTATAAAAACCATAGGTGTAATTCGCATTTTATTTCAATAGGCTTTGGGGTAACAGGTGATGTTTGGTTTCATGAATAAGTTCTTTAATGGTGATTTCTGAGATTTCGGTGCACCCATCACCTGAGCAGTAATGCGTGGTCTTTTATCCCTCACTGCCCCCACCCTTTCTCCCAAGTCCCCAAAATCCAATGTATAATTTTTATGCCTTTGCATCCTCATAGCTTAGCTCCCACATATGAGTGAGAAAATATGATGTTTGGTTCTCCACTGCTGAATTACATCACTTAGAATAATAGTCTTCAATCCCATCTAGGTTGCTGTGAATTTCATTATTACGTTATATATATATACACACACACACACACACACACACACACACACACACACACATATACACACATATATATATAGTAGTTCGTTTTATATATATATAAAACTATATCTATATAAAACATTTGTTTTATATATATATAGTATTTTGTTTTATATATATGTATATAAAATATTTTCTTTATCCACTCATTGATTTATGAGCATTTGGGCTGGTTCTGTATTTTTACAATTGCAAATTGTGCTGTCTGTATGGTGACCATGTCATGCTGGAAGCATGAGTAAAGCCCTTAAACAAAAGATCCTGAGGAAACAAAAGAACCTGAGGGCTTTACTCATGCTTCCAGCATGACAGAGTCACCATACAGATAGCAGTTCAGTCTCTCCTCTCTCCGAGCCCTCGATCCCCTGCTCTTCACCATGTGGCCTCCCCACCTTGGGCCAGCAGTGCAGCTTCCCCACCCTATGTATGAACATTCCCAGTACCAATGGCTCTACATTTTTCTGATGTAAGGCTTCCAGTGGTACTGCCATTGCTGCCTTCAGACTAGGAAAGGAGCAAAGACACTGAGTGCCACATCTCCATCAATCTTCAGCCAACCTAAGGGAAGAAGTCAGTCCGTCTTCCACATGAGTCTCCCATACACCCTGCTCCTCACCAAGCAGAGCCCCCTGGTTTGGGCCCACAATGCAGCCACCTCACCCCAGACCAAATGCATTTACTGTCAGTGGCTCTGCATTTTTCTGCAGTGGAGCCCCAAGAGACATGTGAAATGCCTCCTGCCACAACCACTGCCACCACCAATGTCCCTTCTTCTGCTGCCTCCGAGCTTGGGAAGAAACATAAAGCCTGAGCTTACCCCAGGGCTACGCTGTGTAGCCTGAGAGCGCCAATCCAAAGTCTTCAGCCAGCATTTGAGTGGGAGAGGAGTTCACACTTTCAGAGCATTGGGAGTGAGCATGGCTGCAATCATGAGGAAATACAGAGGAGCCACATGGCTCAGCAAGAGCGTACCTACCAGTCATTATGAGTAACCACCATCTGCTGGATCACAGCCCAAACTTCAACACCAAAAATATTTTGCTAATATTCCCCTCTGTGAAATCAAGGACAAGAACTCAGTGGCAAATAAAGACACTGCACAAAATCCCCATCCCTCTGAAAACATCAAGAAGTCAACTAACTCTACTCAAATAAACCATAGTTAAAGGAACATCTGCCTACACAAATAAGAAAGAACCAGTGCAATAACTCTGCAAATCAAAAAGCTAGAGTGTCTTTTTTCCTTTAAATGACTGCATGAAGTCCCAAGCAAAAGTTCTTAATCAGGCTGAAATGGCTAAAGTGACAGAAATATAATTCAGAATATGGATAAGAACAAAAATAATTGAGATTCAGGAGAAAGTCAAAAACCCAATCCAAGAAATCTAAAGATTACAATGGAACATTACAGGAGCTGATAGAAAAAAAATGGTCATATTAAGAAAGAACCAAATGGGTATGATAGAGCTGAAAAACACACTGTAAGAATTTCATAGTGCAATCACAAGTATTACAAACAGAATACATCAAGCTAAGGAAAGAATCTCAGATCTTCAAGAGTGTTTCTCTGAACTAACTCATGCAACAATAAAAAGAATAACAAAAAGATGAACAAAACCTCTGAGAAATATGGAATTATGTAAAGACACCAAATCTGAGAGTCATTGGTGCCCTTGAAAGAGAGGGAGAGAAAGCAAGCAACTTCAAAAACAAATTTCAGGGTATTATCCATGAAAATTTCCCCAAACTTGGTAGAGTGGACAATATTCAAATTCAGGAAATGCAGAGAATCCCTATGAGATACTACACAAGGTGAACCCCAAGACACATAGTCATCAGATTCTCCAAGATTGAAATGAAAGAAATAATGTTCAAGACAGCTAGAGAGGAAAAGCAGGTCACCTACAAAGGGAACTCCACCATTCTAACAGCAGACATTTCAGCAGAAACCATATAAGCCAGAAGTGATTGGAGGCCAATATTCAGTATTCTCAAAGAAAAGAATTTCCAATCAAGTATTTCATATCCAGTAAAACTAAGCTTCATATGCAAAGGAGAAATAAGATCCTTTTCAGACAAGCAAATACCATGGGACTCCTTTACTACCAGACCTGCTTTACAAGAAGTCCCAAAAGGAATGCTAAATATGGTAGGGACAGACTGTTACCAGACACTACATAAACACACTTAAGTACACAGACCATCGATGCTATAAAGCAACCACACAATCAAATCTGCATAATAACCAGCTAAGAACATAACAGGATCAAATCCACACATATGAATATTAACTTAAAGTGTAAATGGAATGAGTTCCTCAATTAAAATTCACAGAGTGGCAAGATGGATAAAGAAGCAAGACTCAATGGTGTGCTGTCCTCCAGAGACCCATCTCACATGGAATGACAGCAATAGGCTCAAACAAAAAAAGATGGAGAAAAACCTACTAAGCAAATAGAAAACAAGAACAAGCAGATGTTGTTATCCTTATTTCAGACAAAACAGACTTTAAACCAACAAAGATCAAAGAAGACAAAGTTGGGCATTATAAAATGGTAAAGGGTTGATTTCAAGAAGACCTAACTATCCTAAATAAATAAGCACCAAACACAGGAGCACCTAGATTCATAAAGTAAGTTCTTAGAGACCTACAAAGAGACTTAGATTTCCACATAACAGTACTGGGAAACATCAATGCCCCACTGAGGGTACTGGACAGATCACTGAGTCAGAAACCTAACAAAAGTATTCAGGATCTAAACTCGACATTTGACCAAATGGAAATAATAGACATCTACAGAACACTCCATCTAAAATTAACAGAATGTATACTCTTCTCAGCCACATGTGGCACATACTATAGAAGCGACCACAGACATAAAAAAATCTTCACCAAATTCACAAAAACTAAAATTATACCGACCACATTCTTGGACCACAGCACAATGAAAATAGAAATCAATAACAAGAAAAACACTCAAAACCATACAATTACATGAAAATTAAACAACCTTATTCTGAATGACCAGTGAGTAAACTATGAAATTAAGGCAAAACATACTACCCAAAGTAATTTATAGATTCAATGATATTCCCATCAAGCTACCATTGATTTTCTTCACAGAATTAGAAAAAATTATTTTAATTTCATATGGAACCAAAAAAGAGCCAGTATAGCCAAGACAATCCTAAGCAAAAAGAACAAAGCTGGAGGCATCACGCTACCTGACTTCAAACTATATTACAAGTCTACAGTAACCAAAACAGCATGGTACTGGTACCAAAACAGATATATAGACCAATGGAACAGAACAGAGGCCTCAGAAATAACACCACACAGCTACAACCACCTGATCTTTGACAAACATGACAAAAACAAGCAATTGGGAAAGGATTCCCTATTTAATAAATGGTGTTGGGAAAACTGCCTAGCCATATGCAGAAAACTGAAACTGGACCCCTTCCTTACACCTTATACAAAAATTAACTCAAGATGGATTAAAGACCTAAACATAAAACCTAAAACCACAAAAACCCTAGAAGAAAACATAGGCATGGGCAGACTTCATGACTAAAACACCAAAAGCAATTGCAACAAAAGTCAACATTGACAAATGGGATCTAATTAAACTAAAGAGCTTTTGCTCAACAAAAGAAACTATCATCAGAGTGAACAGGCAACCTACAGAAAGGGAGAAAATTTTTGCAATCTGTCCATCTGACAAAGGGCTAATATCCAGACTCTACAAGGAACTTAAACAAATGTACAAGAAAAAAACAACCCAATCAAAAAGTGGGCAAAGGATATGAACAGACACTTCTCAAAAGAAGACATTTACATGGCCAAACAAACATGAACAAAAGTTCATCATCACTGATCATTAGAGAAATGCAAATCAAAACCACAATGAGATACCATCTCACGTCAGTTAGAATGGCGATTATTAAAAAGTCAGGAAACAACAGATGCTGGTGAGGATATGGAGAAATAGGAATGCTTTTACACTGTTGGTGGGATTGTAAATTAGTTCAGCCATTGTAGAAGACAGTGTGGCAATTCCTCAAGGATCTAGAACCAGAAATACCATTTGACCCAGCAATCCCATTGCTGGGTATATACCCAAAGTAATGATTATAAATCATTCTACTATAAAGACACATGCACATGTATGTCTATTGCAGCACTATTTACAATAGCAAAGACTTGGAACCAACCCAAATGCCCATCAATGATAAACTGGATAAAGAAAATGTGGCACAAATACACCATGGAATACTATGCAGCCATAAAAAAGGATGAGTTCATGTCCTTTGCAGGGATATGGATGAAGCTGGAAACCATCATTCTCAGCAAATTAACACAGGAACAGAAAACCAAACACCACATGTTCTCACTCATAATTGGGAGTTGAACAGTGAGAACACATGGACACAGAGACGGGAACATGACACACTGGGGCCTGTCGGGGAGTGGGGGGCAAGGGGAGGAGAGCATTAGGACAAATATCTAATGTATGCGGGGCTAGAAATCTAGATGACAGGTTGATGGGTGCCGCAAACCACCATGGCACATGCATACCTATGTAACAAACCTGCACATTCTGCACATGTATCCCAGAACTTAAAGTAAATTTAAAAAAAAAGAAATTAAGGCAAAAATCGAGAAATTTTTTTAAACTAATGGGATCAAATATACAACATACCAGAATCTCTGGACAAAACTAAAGCAGTATTAAAAGGTTAGTTTATAGTGCTAAACCCTCACCTCAAAAAGTCAGATAGAACTCAACTTAAGAACCTAATATCACACCTAGAAGAATTAGAGAAACAAGGGTAAACCAATAACAGAGTTCGCCAAAGACAAGAAATAAAATCAGAGCCCAGTTGAAGGAAATTCAGATGCGAAAAACCATACAAAGGATCAACAAACCTAGTAGTTGGGTCTCTGAAAGAATAAATAAGATAGATGGACCACTAGCTAGACTAATAAGAAAAAAAGGAGAGAAGATCAAAATAAACACAATCAGAAATGACAACGGAGACATTACCATCAACCCCACAGAAAAACAAAAAAACCTCAGAAAGTACTACAAACACCTCTATACGTACCAGCTAGAAAACCTAGAAGAAACGTATACATTTCTGGAAGCATACAACCTCCAAAGATTGAAACAGGAAGAAATGGAATCCCTGAAAATACCAAGAGTGAATGCCAAAATTGAATCAGTAATAAAAAGCCTAGCAACTAGAAAAAGCCCAGAACCAGATGGATTTACAGGCAACTTCTACCAGATGTATAAAGAAGAGCTGGTACTATTCTTACTGAAACTATACAAAAAAACTGAGGAATAGGTACTAATCCCAAACTCATTCTATGAAGCCAGCATCATCCTGATACTAAAATCTAGCATAGACACAATAAAAAAGAAAAGTTCAGGCCAATATCCTTGATGAAGACAGATGCAAAAATTCTTAACAAAATAGTAGCAAATGGAGTCCAACAGCACATCAAAAGCTCATCCACCACAATCAAGTAGGCATTATCCCTGGGTTGCAAGGTTGGTTCAACATATGCAAATCAATAATTGTGATTCACGACATGAACTGAAATGAAAAACCACATGAGCATATGAATAGTGCAGAAAAAGCTTTCAATTAAATTCAACATCTCTTCATATTAAAAACCCTCAACAAATTAGGCATTGAAGGAACATAATTCAAAATAATGAGAGCTACCTATGACAAACCTACGGTCAATATAATACTGAGAATGTGTAAAAGCTGGAAGCATTCCCCTAGAAAACTGTGGCAAGGCAAGGATGCCCTCTTGCCCTCTCTCACCACTCCTATTCAACATAGTAGTGGAAGACCTGAGCAGGGCAATCAAACAAGAGAAAGAAATAAAAGGCATTCCAACAGGAAGAGAGGAAGTCAAACTCTCCCTGGTTGAGGATGATACAATTCTATATCTAGAAAACCCCAGTCTCACCCCAAAACTCCTTGATCTGATAAACAATTTCGGCAAATTTCAGGATATAAAAGTCAATGTACAAATATCAGCAGGATTCCGATACACCAACAACATTCAAGCTGAGAGCAAAATCAAGTACACAATCCCATTCACAATAGCCACAAAAAGAATAAAATACCTAGAAATACAATAAAGCTAACCAGGGAGGTGAAAGCTCTCTACAATAAGAATTACAAAACACTGCTCAAAGAAATCAGAGATGACACAAACAAATGGAAGCATTCCCTGCTTATGTATAGGAAGCATTAATGTTGTGAAAATGACCATACTGCTCAAAGCAATTTACAGATTCAATGCTATTCCTATCATAGTACCAATGACATTTTCCACAGAACTTTTTTTTTTTTTTGAAATGGAGTCTCACTCTGTTGCCCAGACTAGAGTGCAGTGGCACGATCTCGGCTCACTGCAAGCTCCACCTCCCATGTTCTCGCCATTCTCCTGCCTCAGCCTCCCAAGTAGCTGGGACTACAGGCACCCGCCACCACGCCAGACTAATTTTTTGTATTTTTAGGGGGTTTCACCTTGTTAGCCAGGATGGTCTCGATCTCCCGAACTCATGATCTGCCCACCTCAGCCTCACAAAGTGCTGGGATTACAGACGTGAGCCACCACTCCTGGCCTCCACAGAACTTTTTAAAATTCATATGGAACCAAAAAAAAAAGCTTGAATAGGCAAAGCAATCCAAAGCAAAAAGATCAAAGCTGGAGACATTATGTTATGCAACTTCAAACTACACTACAAAGCTACAGTAACCAAAATAAAACGGTACTGGTACAAAAATAGATACATTAGACCAATGGAACAAAATAGCCCGGAAATAATGCAACACATCTATAACTGTCTGATCTTCGATGAAGTCGGCAAAAACAAGCAGTGGGAAAAGGACTCCTTATTCAATAAATGGTGCTGGGATAACTGGCTAGCCTTATGTAGAAAACTGAAACTTGACACCTTCCTTATACCATATACAAAAATTAACTGAAGATGGATTAAAGACTTAAATGTAAAATCTAAAATTATAAAAACCCTGGAAGATAATGCAGGAAATACCATTCTGGACATAGGCACTGGCAGCAATTTCATGACAAAGACACCAAAAGCAATTTTAACAAAACTGACAATTGACAAATATGACAATTAAACTAAAAAGCTTCTGCACAGCAAAAGAAACTATGAACAGAATAATCAGACTACTTACAGAATCAGAGAAAAGATCTGAAAATTATGCATCCAACAAACGTTTAATATCCAGAATCTACAAGGAAATTAAACAAATCAATCTATAAGGAAATTAAACAAATCAATAAGCAAAAAACAAACAACCCCATTAAAAAGTGGGCAAATAACATGAATGGACACTTTTCAAAAGAAGACATACATATGGCTAACAAGCACATGAAAACAATACTAAACATCACTAATCACTGGAGAAATGCAAATCAAAACCACAGTGAGATACCATCTTATACCTGTCAGAATGGCTATTAAAAAGTCAAAAGATAATAAATGCTGGTGAGGTTTCAGAGAAAAGGTTATGCTTGTACACTGCTAATGGAAATGTAAATTAATTTAGCCATTGTGGAAAGCAGTTTGGCAATTTCCAAAAGAACTCAAAGCAGAATTACCATTTGACCCAGCAATCCCATTATTGGGTATATACCCAAAGGAATATAAATCATTTTACCATAAAGCCACATGCACATGTATGTCCACTGCAGCACTATTCAAAATAGCAAAGACATGAAATCAATCTAAATGACCATCAATAGTAGGCTGAATAAAGATAATGTGATACATATACATCATGGAATACTCTACAACCGTAAAAATGAACAAGATCATGTCCTGTGCAGCAACATGGATGAAACTAAAGGCTATTATCCTAAGTGAACTAACACAGGAGGAGAAAACCCAACACCACATATTTTCACTTATAAGTGGGAGCTAAATATTGAGTACACGTGGACACAAAGAAGGAAACAACAGACACTGGGGCCTACTTGAGGGCGGAGGAAGGGAGAAGGGTGAGGATTGAAAAACTACCGTGTCATGTACTATCATGTATTATGCTTTTATTACCTGGGTGGCAAAATTATCTTTTCACCAAACCCCAATTTACAAACCAAACCAAACATGCAATTTACCTATGTAACAAACCAGCATATGTAATTCTGAACGTAAAATATGTTTTTAAAAAAGAAGACTGAAAGCAAACATGGAAAAGGATTAAAATTAGTAAAATGTGGGTGATGAGAAAAGGAAAAAACAAAAATTAAAATTCAGCAGAATAATTTTAAAAGTTAGCCGAATTGACACAGGTAGGGGAAGAGCTGTAATTTAAACCCACTTTTCTATGACTCCTAAGACCGTGTAATTAATCACTATGCTACACTGCTATATTTAGGTTTATCTTATTCCATGGTAACAAATAGCCACATATGGATCAAATTTAAAGTATTTAGAGATAAGTCTTCCAATATCAGTAAAATAGTAGGTTAGGTATCTTGACTAATGCTTACGCTGAAAACAACTAAAGTGTAAATAATGTACAAAACTTATTCTTATATCATAAAGAGCTGGCAAAATAGTATGTTTTTTTGTTCAGGCCAAAATCTACAAAATGTGGCAGTCCACAAAAATAACAGGAGTATCAAAGCCACTTTTGCACATTGAACCCTTGTTTTCATGGGTTTGGTATTCTAAAGGGATGGAAGACAAAGTCTGGACTCCATGTAAGATGGAAAATCTAACAAGAGACCCTGAATCCATAAATTTGGAACCCTAAAGAGCTATATTTTCAGTGAAAGAATGAAGTAGATGTAAACATACCCAACCCACAGCAACCCCCAGAGAACTACAAAGAAAGTTGCCTGGTTCCTATGCATTGCAGGGGATGAAGCCATCACTGAGATTTTATAACTCGAGCACACCCTTATGAGAATTACTACCCAAATTCCCATAATCTAGGTGGCCCTAAAGGCCTCAAGCTGTTATTTAATGTCATTCTACACTAATAATACCCCAAGAGACCTGAAAGAAGCAAATACCAATTTCCTATGGAAAAAGGTTCCATCATCTAAGCTCTTAAAGAAGTCCTATAAATAAATTTTCAAGAATGGGCTGCTCACCACAAAAAAAAAAAAAAAAAAAAAAAACAGTAACAGAGCGGAATAAGGAGCTATGAGGGAGAACTGTCATAAACAAACTGATAGTAGAGAAAGACCCACAAAAACTTCAGATGTTGGAATTCTCAGACAAAAAACATATAATGACTATGCTTGTTACATTTAAAGAGGTAAAATATAAGCTTAAAACACCTGTAATGAACAGTACACTATAAACAATGATCCCACAGATTTATACAATAACCAAATAGAATTTCTAGAAATTAAAAAAACAAAATAAAACCATAAAACTAAGATTAAAACTCAATAGACATTTAGCATTTCACCAAAATATAGTACTCTTGGGCATTAATCTCAGAGAAACTGATGGAGAACAGAATATCATCCCATTAATTTATTAAAAATTACATAAGGAAAATGTACTTTTACAATGAAGAAATCTGGAAAGTCAGTTAATGCAGTGATCAAATGTGGCATTTCAAATACTGGGATAAATTTACATTATGTACCTCATGATAAGATGAAATGTGAAGTACATAGTATAACTTACGTAGTATTTTAACAAAAATTATTTTATCTGAATGTCATAAGGAAACAATCATAATAATCCAGAATGGGAAATATTCTATAAGACCTGGCTTGCACTCTTAAAAAAAAATTCAGTGTCATGAATAAGCAAACAAAATTCCAAGATACTTCATTTTCATTAAAACACACCAAAGAGATATAACCAAATGTAATGTGTAAAACTTCACAGAATCCTAGGTTGGGAAAAAAAAAAAGATCGAAGGCATTTTAGGGGCAATTAGATAGATTTCAATACAACCTTATAGTAGGTAAAAAAATTATGGAATTATTTTTATTCTCTCAATTATGATAATGCATTTTGGTTATGTAGGAGAATATATTTGTTCTTAAGCAATGCACACAAAAGTATTTATTGGTCGATTGTCATGACCTCTATTCCACTCACTTTCAAATCGTTCAACTAAAAGTTTGTGTGTGTGTATGTGAGTGTGTGTGTGCATGTGGATAGATAAATAGGTAAGAGTCACGTGGCAAAATGATGAGCATTGGTAAATTTGGATGAAGGGTATGTGGGTGTTCATTGCAATATTCTTTCAACTTCTCTATAGGTTTGAAAAATTTCAAAAGAAATTGTAGAATAAATGAAGCAATTATTAACAGCTTTATGCTAGTAAATTTTAAATTGTAGTGAAACCAGCAAATCCCCAGGAGAAATACATTAGGATGAACTCAAGAAAGAATAAAATATCCAAAACATTGAGCTAATAGACTGAATTATTCCCACAATAAAAAGCTCTTGAGGTATTCAAGGAATAAATAATTCCAGTCTTAAACAAACTTATCCAAAAAGTATAGAAAACTCTGGAGCTGTCTCATATTCATTTTATGAGACCAGTAAAACTTTGATCCTCAAACCTGGCAAGGACAATTCATAAAAAAAAATTACAGGCCAATCTTATTCATGTTCTAAATGTTAGCAAACCGAATACAGAAATGGATAGCAATGCATATAAAGGATAATACATTATGATCAAGGTGAGCTCTTTCTATGAATACAAAGTTGATTTAACATTACAAAAATACAATCCACTCAATTAATGGTTTAACTGATACTCATGAAATTTGATACCCACCAGGTATCAAGCCTAATTATAAAGCAATTATAAGTTAAGTGTGTGTAGTATTCGAACAAAAATGGAGGCCCCAAAATTGACACTTGCGTTACTTAATGTAACAGAAATGGTATTGCATAGTGGTGGGGAAAGGGTGGGTGTTTCAATGAATAGTGCTGGGACAACTGGACATCCATGTAGAAAAAAATGATACAAGACCTCTATCACATCACATACTAAAATTAATTACAGGATGAATTAAGATCTAAATTTGAAAGACAGAAATGTAGTGATGTGATTTATTTATTTTTTTTTTTCCGAGACAGAGTCTCACTCTCATGCAGACTGGAGTACAGTGGCACAATCAAAGCTCACTGCAGTGTCCGCCTCCCAGGTTCAGGAGATTCTCCTGCCTCGGCCTCCTAAGTAGCTGGGATTACAGGCACGAGCCACCACACTAGGCTAACTTTTGTATTATTAGTAGAGACGGGGTTTCACCATGTTGGCAAGGCTGATCTTGAACTCCTGACCTCAAGCGATCTGCCTGCCTCTGCCTCCCAAAGTGCTGGGATTACAGGCATGAGCCACTGCACCCGGCCAGAAATGTAGTGATTTTAGAAATAACATAGAAAATGCATTGGGACATGATCTCAGGGTCCCAACCTATGGGGAAGTGGAAGAAGCAGCACAGGACAGAAGGAAAGGAAGAACTGCAATTCAGTCACAGCAAAGACCTCAGACAATCCTATGGGGGTTCTGGAGCTAGAATGGCCCTTCAAAGCCATCCTGAATTGGGATGGAGGTCAGGGCCTTTATATACTCACATCAAACAGCTATTGGATGCAGGCTGACCCTGAGAAAGGTATGTACATTTTGGTCAGCCCTATCTTGGGGAGAAATTCAGCTGAGATGTATCTGTTGCCAACACTCTCAGTAGCTTGACAATGAGTGCTTCTGTCCTGGAGAGGGGTATCTGGGCGGCACATGATAGCATCCACTATAGACTTCAACAGACACTTCAACAGAAAAATCCAAAAGGTCAATAAATACATGAAAAAATTATCTCCTCATTAGTTGACAAGGAAATGCCAAAACCCCATAAAATATACTTATACACCATTAAATTGTAAAAACTTAAAAAAGACTGTACTGTATATTCGCACAGATGTAGAGAAATTAAAATCCTCATACACTGCTGGTGTAAATGCAAGTTTATGCAACTGCATTGAGAAACATTTTGCATAATCTAGCTAACAACAACAACAAAAAAGCAAATGCCTTTGTCTCAGCAGTTTCATCCCTAGATATTTTCCTTAGAGAAATTCTTGCACATGTATACCCTCAGACATTTGAAAGAACATTCATAGAAATATTGTTTCTCTTAACATTGTAACCTCTAAACTTGAAACAACACAAGGGAACTTCAAAGCTCAATGTGATTAATATAGTTGTTTATATAATAGAATACTACAGAGCTATGGAAATAAAAATACTACAGCTACAAATATCTACATGGATTAATTGTACAACCATCTCTGAGAAAAATAAAGCACAAAAGGACACATACAATATGATTCAATCTATTTAAAGTTCAAAAATATGGAAAATTAAGCTATGATTTAAGTTTACATTCATCACTGGCAAAATTTTTTTTTTCACAAAGAAGAGAATAGTTATCACTCAAAATTAGATAGAGGTTACCTTTGAGGAGAGGGAGGAGAATGTGGTAAGCAAGAGGTGCCTGGATGCTTCTGGAGGTCTGGGCAATAAATGTGTTATATCTGAACCTGAGTTGTGCACACATGTGGCTTTATGCTATCATTATTCTTTCAATTGTAGATATGTTTTATTCGTTCCTCTGTTTTTATATTTCATAATGACAAGAACCAAAATAAGAAAAGGAAAATAAGTGCTTAGAGATGATCATCCACTTTTATCAAGGTTCAGCCACATTATACTGAAAATATGATTTAGAGAAAATGCTAAGGGAAGAGAGACAGCCCACAAGTATTACTGTAAAGCAACAGATCCAGAGATCCAGCATGAAGAATGAAGCAAGCAAGCAGGTAGGCTCTCCTTTCACTCCTCAGCTGGTGAGGGGTACAAAGCATGTGTTCTGGGCCTCTCACCCTCAGCTGTTCTGGCTTCATAGGGTGCATTAGCCAAGAGGCAATGATTGTTTACTTTGTTTTTACCAGGATATGTACCTTCCCCTTGCTGACCTATGCTAGTTCCTTTCAAAATGGTACCTGGTACCATTGTCTCCTACCCATGCTCATTCTCTGCCAGGTTACTGTTCCTAACCTCATAGACAAAGCAGGCTAATACACTCGTGGGTGCTCAAACATAAGTTTACATAGTAACTCCTAAGCATTTTCAATAGCAGATTTCAGAGAAGAGGTACCTTTGCATTCACTGTTCTCTTGACCATATCCTCCACCAGCCCTGTGGAGTTCCTTCCTGAACTCTCACAGACTGATTTTAAACCCTCAAACTCAGGCCCTTTACTTCTCTCAATACATAGACATGGTAATCTGGTTCGTATGAATTCTTCCCAAACAATATGATTTGGTTTTTTCCTCAACAATGTGAAGATCATTTCATGTAAGTTAATATAGATCTACCTCATTTTTATACACTGCTGCACTGTATCACACAATATAACATACAATAGTTTAATTAGCCATTCCCCGTTTGGATAGGTATTTAGGTTGTTTATAATTTTGCACAATTATACACAATGCTAAAATTAACATCTTTATGGTATATGGACTAAACTGTATATAGTTGACAGTTGCTCTACTGTAGACACCAAAATGTGAAATTTCAGAGACATAGGGCATATGGCCGTTTTAGTCATAATAAATATGAAAAAAATTCACCTCCAAAATGACTACCATTTTTATCTCCAACCAATAATTTATAATTTCTCCTTCCTAATCATTTGCTAACACTTGGTCTTATAAAACTTGTAAACATTTTCCAGTCAAATGAATGGAAAATAGTTCGATTTCATTTTATTTCCCTAATTACTGATGAGATTGAACATCTTTTTATATGTTCACTGACTACATGTAATCCTTCTCTGAATTATTTGTTAATTTCTTTTTAAATTATTGTATATTGTATTTTTCTTTTTTATTTTTATTTTCATTTTTATTTTTATTTTTTTAATTATATTTTGAGTTTTAGGGTACATGTGCACAACATGCAGGTTTGTTACATATGTATACATGTGCCATGATGGTGTGCTGAACCCATTAACTCGTCATTTAACATTAGTTGTCTCCTAATGCTATCCCTCCCCCCTCCCCCCACCCCACAACAGGCCCCAGTGTGTGATTTTCCCCTTCCTGTGTCCAAGTGTTCTCATTGTTCAATTCCCACCTATGAGTGAGAACATGCAGTGTTTGGTTTTTTGTCCTTGCAATAGTTTGCCGAGAATGATGATTTCCAGCTTCATCCATGTCCCTACAAAGGACATGAACTCATCATATTTTATGGCTGCATAGTATTCCATGGTGTATATGTGCCACATTTTCTTAATCCAGTCTATCATTGTTGGACATCTGGGTTGGTTCCACGTCTTTGCTATTGTGAATGGTGCCGCAATAAACATATGTGTGCATGTGTCTTTAAGGCAGCATGATTTATAATCCTTTGGGTATATACCCAGGATTGAGATGGCTGGGTCAAATGGTATTTCTAGTTCTAGATCCCTGAGGAATCGCCACACTGACTTCCAATAATGGTTGAACTAGTTTCCAGTCCCACCAACAGTGTAAAAGTGTTCCTATTTCTCCACATCCTCTCCAGCACCTGTTGTTTCCTGACTTTTTAATGATCACCATTCTAATTGGTGTGAGATGGTATCTAACTGTAGTTTTGATTTGCATTTCTCTGATGGCCAGTGATGAGGAGCATTTTTTCATGTGTCTTCTGGCTGCATAAATGTCTTCTTTTGAGAAGTGTCTGTTCATATCCTTCGCCCAGTTTTTGATGGGATCGTTTGTTTTTTTCTTGTGAATTTGACTTCATTGTGTATTCTGGATACTAGCCCTTTGTCACATGAGAACATTGCAAAAATTTTCTCCCATTCTGTAGGTTGCCTGTTCACTCTGATGGTAGTTTCTTTTGCTGTGCAGAAGCTATTTAGTTTAATTAGATGTCATTTGTCAATTTTGGCTTTTGCTGCCATTGCTTTTGGTGTTTTAGACATGAAGTCCTTGCCCATGCCTATGTCCTGAATGGTATTGACTAGGTTGTCTTCTACGGTTTTTATGGTTTTAGGTCTAATATTAAGTCTTTCATCCATCTTGAATTAATTTTTGTATAAGGTGTAAGGAAGGGATCCAGTTTCAGCTTTCTACATATGGCTAGCCAGTTTTCCCAGCACCATTTATTAAATAGGGAATCCTTTCCCCATTGCTTGTTTTTGTCAGGTTTGTCAAAGATCAGTTGGTTGTAGATACACAGCATTATTTCTGAGGGCTCTATTCTGTTCCATGGATCTATATCTCTGTTTTCGTACCAGTACCATGCTGTTTTGGTTACTGTAGCCTTGTAGTATAGTTTGAAGTCAGGTAGCATGATGCCTCCAGCTTTGTTCTTTTGGCTTAGAATTGACTTGGCGATGTGGGCTCTTTTTTGGTTCCATATGAACTTTAAAGTAGTTTTTTCCAATTCTGTAAAGAAAGTAATTGGTAGCTTGATGGGGATGGCATTGAATCTATAAATTACCTTGGACAGTATGGCCATTTTCACGATATTGATTCTTCCTACCCATGAGGATACAGTGTTCTTCCATTTGTTTGTGTCCTCTATTATTTCATTGAGCAGTGGTTTGTAGTTCTCCTTGAAGAGGTCCTTCACGTCCCTTGTAAGTTGGATTCCTAGGTATTTTATTCTTTGAAGCAATTGTGAATGGGAGTTCACTCATGATTTGTCTGTTATTGGCGTATAAGAATGCTTGTGATTTTTGCACATTGATTTTGTATCCTGACACTTTGCTGAAGTTGCATATCAGCTTAAGGAGATTTTGGGCTGAGATGATGGGGTTTTCTAGATATACAATCATGTCATCTGCAAAAAGGGACAATTTGACTTCCTCTTTTCCTAATTGAATATCCTTTATTTCCTTCTCCTGCCTTACTGCCCTGGCCAGAACTTCCAACACTATGTTGAATAGGAGTGGTGAGAGAGGGCATCCCTGTCTTGTGCCAGTTTTCAAAGGGAATGCTTCCAGTTTTTGCCCATTCAGTATGATATTGGCTGTGGGTTTATCATAGATAGCTCTTATTATTTTGAGATACATCCCATCAATACTTAATTTATTGAGAGTTTTTAGCATGAAGAGTTGTTGAATTTTGTCAAAGACCTTTTCTGAATCTATTGAGATAATCATATGGTTTTTGTCCTTGGTTCTGTTTATATGATGGATTACATTTATTGATTTGCATATGTTGAACCAGCCTTGCATCCCAGGGATGAAGCCCACTTGATCGTGGTGAATAAGCTTTTTGATGGGCTGCGGGATTCAGTTTGCCAGCATTTTATTGAGGAATTTTGCATCGATGTTCATCAGGGATATTGGTCTAAAATTCTCTTTTTTTGTAGTGTTTCTGCCAGTCTTTGGTATCAGGATGATGCTGGCCTCATAAAATGAGTTAGGGAGGATTCCCTCTTTTTCTATTGATTGGAATAGTTTCAGAAGGAATGGTACCAGGTCCTCCTTGTACCTCTGATAGAATTCGACTGTGAATCCATCTGGTCCTGGACTTTTTTTGGTTGGTAAGCTATTAATTATTGCCTCAATTTCAGAGACTGTTATTGGTCTATTCAGAGATTCAACTTCTTCCTGGTTTAGTCTTGGGAGGGTGTATGTGTCCAGGAATTTATCCATTTTTTCTAGATTTTCTAGTTTATTTGCGTAGAGGTGTTTATAGTATTCTCTCATGGTAGTTTGTATTTCTGTGAGATCCGTGGTGATATCCCCTTTATCATTTTTTATTGCATCTATCTGATTCTTCTCTCCTTTCTTCTTTATTAGTCTTGCTAGTGGTCTATCTATTCTGTTGATCTTTTCAAAAAACCAGCTCCTGGATTCATTGATTTTTTTGAAGGGTTTTTTGTGTCTCTATTTCCTTCACTTCTGCTCTGATCTTAGTTATTTCTTGCCTTCCGCTAGCTTTTGAATGTGTTTGTTCTTGCTTCTCTAGTTCTTTTAATTGTGATGTTAGGGTGTCAATTTTAGATCTGCCCTCCTTTCTCTTGTGGGCATTTAGTGCTATAAATTTCCCTCTACACACTGCTTTGAACGTGTCCCAGAGAGTCTGGTATGTTGTGTATTTGTTCTCAATGGTTTCAAAGAATATCTTTATTTCTGCCTTCATTTCGTTGTGTACTCAGTATACTGTCATTCAGGAGCAGGCTGTTCAGTTTCCATGTAGTTGAGTGGTTTTGAGTGAGTTTCTTAATCCTGAGTTCTAGTTTGAATGCACCGTGGTCTGAGAGACAGTTTGTTATAATTTCTGTTCTTTTACATTTGCTGAGGAGTGCTTTACTTCCAACTATGTGGTCAATTTTGGAATAAGTGCAATGTGGTGCTGAGAAGAATGTATATTCTGTTGATTTGGGGTGGAGAGTTCTGTAGATGTCCATTAGGTCCACTTGGTGCAGAGCTGAGTTTGATTCCTGGATATCCCTGTTAACTTTCTGTCTCATTTATCTGTCTAATGTTGACAGTGGGGTGTTAAAGTCTCCCATTATTATTGTCTAGGAGTCTAAGTCTCTTTCTAGGTCTCTAATAACTTGCTTTATGAATCTGGGTGCTCCTGTATTGGGTGCATATATATTTAGGATAGTTAGCTCTTCTTCTTGAATTGATCCCTTTACCATTATGTAATGGCCTTCTTTGTCTCTTTTGATCTTTGTTGGTTTAAAGTCTGTTTTATCAGAGACTAGGATTGCAACCCCTGCCTTTTTTTGTTTTCCATTTGTTTGGTAGATCTTCCTCCATCCCTTTATTTTGAGCCTATGTGTGTCTCTGCACATGAGATGGGCTTCCTGAATACAGCACACTGATGGGTCTTGACTCTTTATCCAATTTGCCAGTCTTTGTCTTTTAATTGGAGCATTTAGCCCATTTACATTTAAGGTTAGTATTGTTATGTGTGAATTTGATCCTGTCATTATGATGTTAGCTGGTTATTTTGCTCATTAGTTGACGCAGTTTCTTCCTAGCCTCGATGGTCTTTACAATTTGGCATGTTTTTGCAGTGGGTGGTACTGGTTGTTCCTTTCCATGTTTAGTGCTT
This sequence comes from Homo sapiens, assembly GCF_000001405.40. Taxonomy (NCBI): domain Eukaryota; kingdom Metazoa; phylum Chordata; class Mammalia; order Primates; family Hominidae; genus Homo; species Homo sapiens. The sequence continues at coordinate 56,292,942 of NC_000023.11, read as the reverse complement.
CCTTCAGGAGCTCTTTTAGGGCAGGCCTGGTGGTGATAAAATCTCTCAGCATTTGCTTGTCTATAAAGGATTTTATTTCTCCTTCACTTATGAAGCTTAGTTTGGCTTGATATGAAATTCTGGGTTGAAAATTCTTTTCTTTCAGAATGTTGAATATTGGCCCCCACTCTCTTCTTGCTTGTAGAGTTTGTGCCGAGATATCAGCTGTTAGTCTGATGGGCTTCCCTTTGTGGGTAACCTGACCTTTCTCTCTGGCTGCCCTTAACATTTTTTCCTTCATTTCAATTTTGGAGAATCTGACAATTATGTGTCTTGGAGTTGCTCTTCTCGAGGAGTATCTTTGTAGCATTCTCTGTATTTCCTGAATTTGAATGTTGGCCTGCCTTGCTAGATTGGGGAAGTTCTCCTGGATAATATCCTGTATATTGTATTTTTGTTATTGGTTTGTAGGGTTTTAAAAAATACATTCTGGATAGAAATCCTGCATTATATATGCAGCTATGTTTAAATTTTGTTTATGGTATCTTTCATTGTTCACATGTTTTTAGTCTTTGGAAATATTAAACATATCTCCAAGATAACACTTAAAAAACTACTGTGTTTCTTCACATGCTGGTCTCTTCCACTAGGGAGTGAATTTCTTTAGAGCAGGAGCTGGGTTTTATTCATCTCCATAGCAACCAGAAAGGAGACTGGATTATTGGTAGGTTTTTAGTCAATACTGGTAGCATGGAATTGAGAACGCCTATAGCCGAAAGGGATGACATTGGCTCTTAGAATAAAGAAATGATTTTAAAAAATGATGAGATTTCCTATTTTTATCATTTGTAGTGAAAATCTCATTCTGGCAGCCCAGGAACAGTCACTTTTTAATTTGTTCTTCCTGCTCTTGGCCTCAATCTCCAGCACAGAATTTCCCTCTTTCTACTTTTCTCCCAGAGTTTCTCTGAAAGGTCAGGCAACTTCGACATCTTCACTCAGGGCTAGAATTTTTACTGCGGTGGCTTTGAGGTTTAAAGCTGTCCAAACACCCTCCTTTCCCTCCTTACATCTTAGGAAAACACAAACAAAATAGTGAGGAGAACAGAGCTGAGCAACAAAATCTAGCCAACTGAATCTGTATCCAACAAACTCTTATCAAATCCTTTGTAGGAAATACACAAAAGGAGCACAAAGCCTTCATGAAGCTCCATTCAGGGACACGGCTGAATACATTACCCAAAATGGGGAGGACCTTATATGATTAAACAGAGAAACTGTCATGTTTAAGACAACCTGGCTTCATTTTTTATCCCATGATACTACATAGTAGCTTCATCACAACTTTACCCAGCTAGGGGGAAAAAAGTGATCTACTCTTGTCATGCTGAAGAAACAGAGATTGGAGACAAAGTCAAGAAAATGGCCATGATTTCTGAAGTTTAAGACCTTTTTATTAATAAAAAAGTACAATAATTAAACTGAACAAGATTGCTTAGTCCCCAAGCACACACCCTGCATGGATGCCATAGTGGAGGGTCTCTGAAGTAGAACAGAGTAATCTCTAAGTGGCCATGCTAACAGAGGCAAATCTTGAGTATCTCCAGGTGCATAACAGACTTGTTTATGAGAGATTGCTCATGATTCTAGCCTCAAAGCCATGCCTCTGGAGCAAGAACTAGTATAAAATAGAGGAAAAACAAGGTGTTGCTCTAAAGCACTAAAATAATGGGGCACAAACATAAGAGTTACAGAGACTAAAGCTTAATATACTGTCTTATAATTTATTTAAACAAACTAACAATGACAAAAAATCCAACTGATCCTTTCACTGCAGGCTCCTTTCCCCAACACAAAAAAGAGAACCAGTTTCTGGCACTGCTCACCTGTGTGACTGCCTGTCAAAAAACAGGGATGGACACCACTAGGAACTCTCTTCCCCTTTTAATTCTGTGATACAATGAAAACAGCATGGCATACAGCATAGTTATAAAGTAATGTCCAACACAGCTACTTGTAGCGACTCTAGGAAAGGAAGGAGAGCTTTTAACAGTTAACAAAATAGTATCTCTTCCCCTGACCCCACCCCAACACCAGAAAAGGAAATGGAAATTAAAACCAGTGTTTGGAAAACAGAGAAATATCCTGCCACTGGTATAAATCCCATCCTCTTCCAACCCACTCCCACCCCCAACCACCCTACCCAACTTCCCTCCTCCTACCTATACTATTCAGAGTAAAGTAAGTTGGGAAAGAGAAAATATAAGTGGTGAAACTGAACTGGCCAAAGCTTAAAGGGCTCTGGAAAATTGCCTTTGTGCTTCTGAGAATGTGACATGGAATGTGGTCCAAGCAGAGTTACAAAGGGGGAAGAATACAGCTTCTGAAGCAATGAATTTTGCCTACCTCTTCCTTTAGGTCCTAATACATTTCAAGTATGGAAACAGATGATAATCGTATTGTTAGTAACAAAGAAGATATAGGGAAAGTGAAAGTAAGAGAATAAATAATATTGCTTCCAGTGGCCACTCTTTAATTATCCTTCTTACTCAAATTTATCTGTTTATCACCTAGGAAGCCTAATCTTCTCTTTTACATAGGGTAAATATAAGGTACTATAACTATCATTATAACAATGGTTATAATACTTGGTTGTTCACTTAAAGATCTTTCATTTTTGCCAAAATCAATTTATGAGAAGCCTCACAACATTCCTGTGAGGTAGATATTGAGATCCCCATTTTGCAAATGGATTAATTGAGGCACAGAGAGGTGATATGACTTGCCTAAGGTCAACCAAGTGAGATCTGGGAAAATACAGAAGAGAGGTAACTCAGGGTAGCATCACTGTTGTCAGAGAGCCATATTTAACAGTGAGAAAAGATAGTGCTATGTGTTTATTTAAATTTGGCCCACCCAGTTCCTTCTGTATCCATCCCTCTACAGTACCTCATACAAGAATTAGCAAACTGTGGAGCATCAGTAAGTTCCCTTGGCTTATTTAAGGTTAGGTACATTCTTGATGGTTTGGTTCATGAGAAAACTTTTTGGGGGCAGGATAGACCCCAGAATCTTGGAACTCAGATCACAGAAATCCCTAATTCCAGAATTTTGCAGACCACTTTGTTTCAAAGAGCTGTTGGAGTTCTAAAAATATTACTATTTTTATGTACATACACACTGTGCTGTAGTTGATAAAGTTGTTTCCCATGGGTATACAGGTTAACAATTCAGATACTGCTATATGTGCACACTGAATTTGAAAAATTAAGTAAATAGATGACAGAGGTTGAGAGCCAGGTTTCTCAGTATTAGTGTGGGAGGCTTCATGTAACTAACAGGAAGAAGCTAGAATGATTCACGTGGTAACAGGTTAGAGTTGAAAACATCAATATGAACTCATGTTTAGCTAAATAAAAATCTGGGTGATTACATATAGAAATATTTATAGAATGTGCATATACATAGGATAGTATACACACATATGTTTCCTTGCTGTTAGCTGAGACACCCTAGAAGCAACAATAGCCCAGTAACAATGAACATACCTAATGCCCAGATATTGGTTTCTAATACAATTTTCCAGTAAAAGAAACCAGGACTTCTTGAAGAAATGGCTGATTATAGGAGTAGGCCACAAAATATACAAGATGAGCCTGGAAGATCTTGCAGTGGCAGAAAGTAAGGACGTGCTAAAAAAAAATGATGGGGGTGTGTCAAAAGAACTTGAGAATCACCCAAAAGAGCTCCCAATGGCCAAAGCTGGAACAATTCGAGCAATAAAATAAAGTAGTAGTATTAGATTATAACTCGAAGTATAAAATAAATACCCATGAGTCCATGCTGATATAAATAAAGTATTGTATAAATAAATAAATGGGGGAGAAGAGACAATCTCCCTTAGAGAATAATTCCAAATAATTTATGTAAGATACATGCTCTGAAGGGTGTGGCATATAACTTACCACTCCAGAAGCATGGGCTGCACATAGTGATTTCCTTTCAGAGAGTACAGTATGGAGGGGAGGAAAAAAAGAGTACAGGGGAGAAACCTGACAACAACTATTTCAGCCAGGTGATCAAGGTTAAACAACAGTGATGAGTCATGTAAATACAGGCATACCTCGTTTTATTGTGCTTCACTTTATTGCACTTTGCTGATATTGCATTTTTTACAAATTAAAAGTTTGTGGCAACCCTGTGACCAACAAGTCTATTGGCACCATTTTTCCAACAGCATGTGCTCACTTCGTGTTTGTGCCAGTAACATGTTAGCAATAAAGTATTTTAAAATAAGGTATGTACATTGTTTTTTAGACATAATGCTATTGCACATTTACCAGACTACAGGATAGTGTAAACATAAAATTTTATATGCACTGGGAAACCAAAAAATTTGTGTGACTTGCTTTATTGTAATATTTGCTTCATTGCAGTGATCTGGAACCAAATCTGCATTGTCTCCAAAGTATGCCTGTATGATGTGATGAAAATGGCACTTCTTCTCCGTGGTCCTACTTTCAAAAACTCATAACCTCAGTCTAATCATGAGAAAGACAACTGACAAATCCCAGTTGAGGAAAATCTCTCTCAAAAGTGTCAAGGTCACTGAAAACAAGGAAAGTCTGAGAAACTGTCACAATCAAAAGGATCCTAAGGAGATATGACTATTAGATGTAATGTGGAATCCTGAACAAGATGCTGAAACAATTTTTTTTTTTTTGAGATCAAGTGTGTCGCTCTGTCACCCAGGCTGGAGTGAAGTGGCATGATCTCAGCTCACTGCAACCTCCGCCTCCCAGGTTCAAGCAATTCTCTTGCCTCAGCCTCTCAAGTATTGCTGGGATTACAGGCACCCACCACTACGCCTGGCTAATTTTTTGTATTTTTAATAGAGACGTGGTTTCACCATGTTGTCCAGGTTGGTCTCGAACTCCTGACTTCGTGATCCGCCCGTCTTGGCCTCCCAAAGTGCTGGGATTACAGGTGTGAGCCACAGTGCCTGGCCGAAACAATTCTTTAAAAAGGATCTTAGGTAAAAACTAAAGAAACCTGAATAAAGTATGGACTTCAGTTAATAATATTAACATATCAATGTGTTTTATTAATTGTAACAAATATACCACATATTAATGTGAGATGCTAATAACAGGAGAAACTGGGTGTGGGGTAAATGAGACCTCTCTGTACTAGCTTCACATTTTTTCTGTAAAACTGAAACTGTTTGAAAATAAAAAGTTTATTTTAAAAGAAGTTAATATCGAAAACCTTTGTCTTGCCCATAATGCACTCTGCCTAATCTACCCAATCAGTTCATACTCTTCACACTCATAGTTTTTCCTAAATTTTACTATAATTATGAAGTTTATGTTCAACTGCTGATCATCAGATAGAGGAATTCTGCTGCAACAAATCCCAGAATATTATCCAACCCTATCGATGCCATAAGCAACTGTCCAGGCTAACGGTGCTTTGCTGTTGTAAACACAACAAATTCAATTGAACCCCAAATGCTATTCAAGAGAGATACATTTTAGTTCCTTTCCACCTCACTGTCTATCTAGCAAAGTTTTATGTGTTTTTGGTAAACTCTGTACTGTGCTATATTTGAATTACTGTACTCTATAAAATTCTGTTAATGAATCCTGAGACACTTGTTAGAGCATATGTAAGTAATTGGAAAGCTTTTATCATTTTTTGTAGGGGAGAGGGAAATGAGAATAGGCTTAAAATTGCTTCTTTACTATAGGCAATTAACAAACATAAAGGCTGTCATTATGTTACAGAAACATTTTTAGATAAAGGCTCAGATGTCAGGGACCCCAATATTTGGGATCCTAATTTGATCAACCTAATTAGTTCAACAAGATATTTGATAACCTTTATTTATAAATAGATCATATGTCTCAATGCAAAAGATTCTGAGGTCTTAGGGGAGCAGTTCAGTTCTGAACTCTGAAAAAGGAGTATCAGGATCCAAATTTTGAAAAAAATGAGTAAGCTCGGGCTCTACTGTGAAATACTGCATCAACTACTGAATTATTAGCTTAAACTTATGTTAGTTCATCTTTACCAACCTGTCTTATAGCTACATTAGAGGTCCCCTTTAACAGACTGGCCCTAGATATCGCCTAGTGCGTTAGCAATTATTATGCAAGTTTGGAACTTGTATACCCAAAATCAGGAAAAAGCCCTATCGAAATAACAATGATAACAGTAAAAACCCACATGTCATTTTGAAAACTACAGGCAGTTCTTGGATTTATGGAGAGTTCATGAGATAGACAGACATTGCAAGTTAAAATGAGGTAAATAAAATCTAGATATTATAGAAGTGTTAGAAGCGTGTGCCTAATGTTATACGGCAATGACCACAAGTACATTTTACTTGCTATTTAATCAGCTGTAAATGATTTTTGAGTTCTAAAGTTTTCCTGAAGAAAACATATAAAATTAGACAAATATTGCAACCAATCACATAAACTTTAATTTGGTTTAATAATGTGATCCTGGCCAGGTGTGGTGACTCACACCTGTGATCCCAGCACTTTGGGAGGCCGAGGTGGGGGGATCACTTGAGGTCAGGAGTTTGAGACCAGCCTGGCCAACATGGCGAAACCCCATCTCTACTAATAATACAAAACTTAGCTAGGTGTGGTGGCACGCACCTGTAATCCAAGCTATTTGGGAGGCTGAGGCAGGAGAATCACTTGAACCCAGGAGGCGGAGGTTGCAGTGAGCCAAGATTACGCCACTGCACTCCAGCCTGGGTGATGGAGTGAAACCGTCTCTCAAAAAATAAATAAATAAAATTATGTGATCCCCAGGAGAATAAGCGTGCAGGTGTATAAGGGCTCAAAGAAACATCTGGAGAAAAAAATCTGACCCGTATTTGTCTCATCTGTAAAATATGAGGGATGGATAGGACTAGATGGTTAACGGGATCCCTTCTTGGTGCTAGAATTCTACAATATAGTGAGAATGGACAGCCTCAGGAAATAGTAACCTAAAGTATTCAAGCAGGGTTGAAAAGAAAAAGGTGTTCAATATAAAGACAATCTTTTAAAGAGAGGCTGAGTCTAAATTCAAGTGATGCAAAGCCCCCTCCCCTACCCCTGACCCCAGAAAGGAAATATGCCATGTGGAGGTAGATCTGTGGTCCAGGGCCAGGAACAGAGGATTTTGTACCCCAGGTAATATTATAAAACAATCTGATTGGGCAGCTAAATGAGTATATTATGCAATCTGCTATCAGCTAAAATAAATGGCTTAGGTTTTCATAGCAGTTGCAGAACATCAAATTGCTTTTTGTAGGTCAGTTTTCATGAAAAGCATCTATGTTTCATTTGAAACACAGGAATGAATGCCAATAATTCCATGGAGTGAACAACATTCCATTTTTCCAACCCCTTACTTCTGTATAACATGACCCTAGTGTGTGATTTCTCATCATGCAATATACTCAATTGCTTCTTTGTGTAAACGAAAAAATAAACAGTACAGCCAGCCCCTCAAGACACTGTCTCGACAGCCTGCCATTTGAATGAGGTTTGTGATTAACAGCACTTTTGATATCCTATACAAGTAAAGGAACCCCTCTATTTGTTCTCAGGATCATCCTAGGTCTGTTTGTTCCTGTCACTGCCCAACCTACTCTCCTGGAACATTTTTCTCCTTACTTATATGTCTATGTGTGCTTTGAATATTTGTCCAAATTTAACCTAACAAATAACAATTGTGCAGCAAAATCTTTAATCCTGAAGGAGAAAGTGGAAAAGAAAAAAAAGAGGAGGAGAAGGACAAGAACTCCTCATTCCCTTGATGAACTTAAGAAGCAGAAGCACCAGCACTGTCTGAAAACCAAACTTTAAGAAGAAATAGGATTAGATTTATTAAAACCTTTTGAGTGTGGTATGGGACTCAGCTTATTCACTGGGAATGTGCCTCAAACTCAGAAACCAAATCCCTGTAAATCTTACCAATCAACTACATTGTTATGCTCTTTCCATTTAGGAAGTTAAAAAAGTCGTTTAGGACACTATCAAACCACTTTTAGGTACTTATTTTAAAAACATATGGATAAGAGTTCTAGAAAACAAGAGAAAAATTGGAAAGAATAAAGCAGCGTATGTTTGTTCACAGCCTTGAGTTTGATTCCTGTTTTGTTACTGTAGGAAAAATGTCCTATTTCAGAGCAGGGGGGGATGGGAAGGCAGCCATGGGTGCCACACTGGAATTCAACCCATGTGGAGGTTGAAAAAAACGGGTCTGGACAGTGGAGAAGTGAAGGTAGAATATGAAGAGCCCCACGGGAGACCAGCTCTCTTTTCCTCCAGTCTCCTCAACTTGGCTCAGTGGGCTGCTTCAACCCCATATGCAAGCTGAAGTCAAAGAGGAAAAAATTGTCCCAACCTCAGCACACGACCAGGAAAGATACCAGCGCAGCTTCTCTAGTGTGACCTGTGCGGCTCACATGGTGTCATGGCGACGGCGATGCAGGGACAGGTGGTCAGAACGAGAAAAGCTGCGGTTGCAGTCTGTGCACCGAAAAGGCTTGATGCCTGTGTGCTTGCGGAAATGGCGAGTGAGCTCATCTGAGCGAGCAAATTTCCAGGAGCAGCCATCCCAGGTGCATTTATAAGGCTTCTCTCCTAAAAAGGGAATGTGACAAAAAAAAGAGAATCAGAGAGAGGATGATCGGATACTAGAAAGATAATAGAATACATAACTCGTATCAAGGCTTTAGTGAAAAGGCTAGGCAATAACCTTGAAGGCATATGCCTGTAAATCTTTTAAGTTAATTAATTGATTGAGAAGCACTGTATAAATGTACAACATGATGTTTTGAGATGTATATACATTGTGGAATGGCTAAGTCGAGTTAATTAACATACATATTACCTATATACTTATCTTTTTTTGTGGTAAGAACACTTGAAATCTACTCTCTCATTGATTTTCAATAATACAATACATTGTTACCTACAGGAGTTCTAAAGAAAGTCCAAGATGTTAGAGTGGGAAGCACATAGCCTCTTGTTCAAATAGGCCTTTGTGTGATCCGGCTCTACTACAAACTAGCTGTGTGATCTTATATAATCACTTCTCCCTGGCTTGGTCTCTGTTTTCTCATCTCTAAAGGATAAAAATATATCACAAAGTTGTTCAAAACATTTTATTTTTAAAAGATAGCTAGCAACCAATACAACTGGGATCTAAACTCAGGTCTTTGGCACTTTATAATATCCGTTCCTCTAATATCTCCTACCAAACAGTCTAAAATAGAGCCATATGGTCCGGTGCGGTGGCTCACGCCTGTAATCCCAGCACTTTGAGAGGCAGAGGCGGACGGATCATGAGATCAGTATATTGAGAACATCCTGGCTAACACGGTGAAACCCCGTCTCTACTAAAAATGAAAAAAATAAGCTGGGCGTCGTGGAGGGCGCCTGTAGTTCCAGCTACCCAGGAGGCTGAGGCAGGAGAATGGCGTGAACCCGGGAAGCGGAGCTTGCAGTGAGCCGAGATTGCGCCACTGCACTCCAGCCTAGGAGAGAGCGAGACCTGTCTCAAAAAAATAAATAAAATAAAATAAAATAGAGCCATATATACACAGGATGAATGTGTGATTCATTGGAAAGGGCCCTCAGCTAAGGCTACAGGTCTTTTGTGTAAGGTTAGAAACTCAAGGGCATGTAATGGCATGGGGGGCAGTGTCAGGTCAAACTTTTTGAAATAGCTCCATGCCCAGAATCTTTGGGTTGTATTTGAATTATATATAGGATATGTATGCTCAAGATAGAAAGCTAAATGGAAAAAAAGTAGTATAAAAAAATTAACGCAGTATGACCCCATTATGGTATATAGATCACACACCATACATTTGTATACTCATAATAAAGCCAATATCAATACACTTAAATGTACATTATGAGAGAAACTGTTAACAGTGAATGACTTTGTGGAAAGTGAGGACCAGGGATGGTGGGAAGAGAACTTTTCATTTTTACTTTATACCCTTTTGTACTGTTTTAAATGCTTTAAAATCATAATGTTGTATCATATAATAAAAATTTTGAAAAAGGAAATAAGCTATATGAGCAACAATAAATATTAACTGTGGATAAGTCTGGGTTGTAGGATTAGGGTAATGTTTGCTTTCTTCTTAATACATTTTTCTGTTTCCCATCTTCTACAATGAGCATGTATTATTTTACAATCAGAAACAAACAATAATGCAGACACAAAAATGCATTGGTATTCTAACAGTCTCTTTCTCTCGGTCTTTTCCCCTTTACTCCCTGTAAATTACCTAGGGCATTTAATTTTATGCTGTTCTAAATTCTGGTGGCAATCTGGCTTGCATAAACTGTTTTCCAACTTACTACACACCACCTACCAACCCTCCCAAGTGTTTGCTAATTAACTGTATAGTGTTCACATAATGAGCAACAGAATGAAATCCAGTCTGAATCACAGCTTTGGACTATATCAAGGCAAACATTTCAAAGATTAAAGACATCAATTACTGATCATTTCAATATTCAGAAATAGCTGCATTAGCTGCTAAGAAGAATGAGATAAAGCTGGATGTAATGAGACAAAAAAGATGGCAAATGAAATGTTATCAAATTAAAAAAGATACTGAACAACCACACACACACATGCTCACGGAGAGTAGGATCTCATTTATGTTTTCTAAATCTTGTGCCTGTCCTTCTCTGTCTCTCTCTCTCCAAGGAGGAAAGATCTGGAAGGCTATACAACAAATTGTTAACAGAGGGAAGAAGAATAGGATTTCAGGGGATGTTTAGAGTGTGTAAATTAAATTTTCACTTTTTGTTCTATGTGATTTTATAGCATCTCCACATCTCCCAATGGCTGCATTGCTATCTATACATTTTGTTGTGATCTCTCAAGAATGTCTTCTGAGAATTCCTATATACACCTCAACCAATTGAGGAAAATTTGACTTGTAAGGCAGTGACACCCTGTGGTGATCAGAGCTCATTTCTAGAACACACAAATTATTGTAAAGGAATTCAGCAGTGAGGCCCATTTTCCTATTTCAAAAGCATTTACCCTTGTATTATCATTGAACAAGCTCCTGTTTGTGCCAATGAACATCATACAACACAACTTGTAATCTCCATCAACTTATCATTTGAATTAAAGAACAAAGTATATATGCAGAGAAAGAATTCATAATATAAAGCACATATATTAACTATGTGACAAAGATAGTAAGTGTGACATGGCAGGTGCGGTGGCTCATGCCTGTAATCCCAGCACTTTGGGAGGCTGAGGCACATGGATCACTTGAGGTCAGGAGTTCGAGACCAGCCTGGCCAACATAGTGAAACCCCGTCTCTACTAAAAACACAAAAATTAGCCGGGTGTGATGGTGCACACCTGTAGTCCCGCTACTTGGGAGGCTGAGGCATGAGAATTGCTTGAACCCGGGAGGCAGAGGTTGCAGTGAGCTGAGATCACACCACTGCACTCCAGCCTGGGCGACAGAGCAAGACTCTGTTTCAAAAAAATAAGTAAGTGTGATATAAGTTCCAAGGCTAGCTAATAACCTCTGGGTTACTGTGAAGGCACAAATATGGAGGTATGGGCAGGTTTTAGATGAAGAAAGCAACCCAGGCAGCTGGTGGCAAGGTCTTGGCAAGGCAGTGCAGTGAATGGTACATATAGGGTCAGCTGTCTTGGAGCATGGAACATCCTTACAAGAGTATTATGAGATGATCCTTATTATAAAAGACAGATGAAAAACTTGGGATTATTTTTAAAAAGAGAATTTGGACTTAAGCATAAAAGGCAATGATATACCCAAGGGGGTGTGTGTGAGAGCAGTCTGTCCTAGGTGTGAGCAATAATGGGGATGCATTGACAATAGAGAACTTTAAAACAATAATAAAACAGACTAAAAGTTAGTCTAAAAGTTAGTCTGTTTAACTCAAGAATGACTTGGTCAAAGTTGTACATTAAAATTATTTACCCATGCTGTATAAGGTGGACTACAATGACTAGGAGCCTACTGGGGTAATCTATTTGTCTGGCATATAAAGCTCAAATTAATTTTTCATTGAATTGATGAAGGAATCAATAATAAATATAAGAACAAAACCTAAGGAGGTGACAGCGAGATTGGAATTGAAAGAAAAACATTAATAAAACCTAGCATTTATTGAGTATTCACTATATGCTGGATACTATTTTAAGTATTTTACACTATTAAAATTCCAAGATTGGGAAATTTAGGTAAAGAGGGGCGAAGCAACTTTCAGCAGTGAGTAGCTGATTGAGATGTCAAATCAAGACACTAGTTTCACAATACATAGTCTTAGCCATTATGAATAAAAAGGCTATTCAAAATTAGAAAGAAATAATAGAACTTTAAATACAAATAACTCAAGACATAAGAGAATATTAATGGCTCATGCCTATAATCCCAACCACTTTGGGAAGCTGAGGCGGGAGGATCACTTGAGTCCAGAAGTTCGAGACCAACCTGGGCAACATAGTGAGACCTCATTTCTACAAAAAAATAAACAAAATTAGCCAGGTGTGGTGGCATGTGCCTGTAGTCCCAGCTACTCCAGAGGTTAAGGTGGGAGAATTGCTTGAGCCTGGGAGAGCAAGGCTGCAGTGAGTCGAGATTGTGCTACTGCACTCCAGCATTGGAAACAGAGTGAGACTCTGACTTGGGGAAAAAAAAAGATAATGGTAAGAATCAATGATACATTTGGAGCCTGGGAAAATGGGTGATGCCATTGTAAATATACTGGGACTTGACAGTATGAACACAGTATGTTTAACAAGAACTGTTATATCTGTGTTTCCTGCTTTGTATGATTGCAAACTCAGGGGAGATGAAGTGCTGCACTGCATGCCTGGTCTTTGCAGATAAGCAAAGAGTCTTATGGCTCTCTGCTGGAAGAATATCTACCAAAGACAGAGACGGCACTCTCTAGGACCCTTAACAATGAATCACAATCTTTGGAGGGCAATGAATCAGGCATTTCTGTCGCTGCCTCAGTCCCAGGGAACCTGTGGAATACTAGCAATAGAGAAAAGTATACCTAGGTTAGGTACAAATGTCTAATCCTATGGGGCTTTACCCATTTACTACCTGTGTAACTATTGGCAAATTCTCTAGCTCTATAAATGGCACCTCCATTCACCCAGTCACCCAAAACAGAAACCTTAGAGTCACCAACATCCACTTAATCATCAATGTACCTCCTTCTCTCCATCTCCACTGGCAACATACTAGTTGAGCTGTCATCATTTTTTGCCTGGATTGCTTCATTAGCCTCTTAACTGATCTTACCCCTTCCACTCTTGCACCTCAATGCTTTCTCCACCCACTGCTGCGCTCAATATGTCCTAGCTAAGCTGAACTAGTATCAGTTATTAGAACAAGGCAAGCTTATTCCCATCTCACTAGTTTTGTACTCTGACTAGCCAAGAATAGTCTTTTGCCACGCTTTTTACATAGCTTGCTCCTTCTCATATGATCGTTATTCTCCCTACTTTAAAAAACTTCCTTAGTTACACTAAAAGTTCAGACTTCATCACTATGTATCATATCCATGTAACAAAACTGCACTTGTACCCTTTAAACTTATACAATTGAAAAATAAATGGAGAAGAGGGGCAGAGCAAGGGGGCCAAATAGAATGTTCTACCAATCATGCCCCAACAAGAACACCAATTTCACAACTATCTACACAAAAAAGGACCTTCATAAGAATGAAAGTTGTAAACATGTACCCTAAACTTAAAGTATAATAATAAAAAAAAAGAACGAAAAATCAGATGACCACTCACAGTACCTGGTTTTAACTTCATATTGTTAAAAGAAGCACTGAAAGAGGATAGGAAAGAGTCTTGAATCACCAACACCACCCCTCACCCATCCTTCTGCAGTGCCTACATGGTGTGGAGAGAGAATCTGTGTGCTTCAGACAGGGATAGTACAGCACTTGTGAGACACTGCATTAAATTCAGTGCTGCCTTGTCACAGCAGAAAGCAAAACTATGCTGAACTCTGCTGACTCCCACCCATGGAGGGAATATTTAAACCAGTCAGAGCCAGAAGGGAATCGCCCATCCCAGAAGTCAGAACTTGAATTCTGGGAAGACTCACCACTATGAGATAAAGTGCTCTGGGGCCTTGAATTAACTTGAAAGGCAGTATAGGCCACAAGGACTTCAAGTCTTAGGTGAGTCCTAGTGATGAACTGGGCTCAGAGCCAGTGGACTTGCGGGGAGCATATGATATATTAAGATATCAGCTGGATCAGATAAGGCAGTGGTTGCACCACCCCTTCCCCAACCCTAGGATGCACAGCTCACAGCTTCAAAAGAGACCCCTTCCTTCCACTTGAGGAGAGGTGAGGGCAGAGTAAAAAGGACTTTGTTTTGCATCTTGGATACAAGCTTAGCCACAGTAGGATAGGGCATCATTCAGAGTCGTGAGGCTTCTTTTCCAGGACCTAGCTCATGGATGACATTTCTAGACACACCCTGGGCCACAGGGGAAGCTGTTGCCTTGAAGAGAAGAACCCAGTTCTGGCAGGACGCATCACCTACTGACTAAAGAGCCCTTGGTCCCCGAATAACCAGTAGCAAAACTTAGGTAGTACACCATGGGCCTAGGATGAGACTCTGAGACTTGCTGGCTTCAGATGAGACTCAGCACATTCCCAAGCTGTGATGGCTATGGGGAGACACTCCAGCTGAGGAAAGGTGGAAAGAAAAGTAAAGGGGACTTTGTCTTGTGCCTTAGATACCAATTGGCCACAGAAGGATAGAGCACAAGCAGGATATTGGGGTCTCCAGTTCCAGGATTATGCTCTTGCATGGCATTTCTGGATCTGCCCAGGGCCAGAGGGGAGCCCACTGCCCTCAAGCGTGAGTCCCAGGCCAAGCAGCATTCACGATAAGCTGAATAAAGAGGCCTTGGGCCTTATGGGAACATCAGCAGTAGCCTGGAAGTACTCCCTGTAAGCCTATGGTAGTGGTAGCCAAGGGGTGAGGCTCCTCTGGCTGTGGAAAGTGAAGGGAAGACTAGGAAGAACTGTGTCTCATGGTTTGAGTGCCAATTCAGCCACAGTACAATAGATCACCAGGTGGACTTCTAAGTTTTGACTAGAGTTCCTGGCTTCCAGATGGCATCTCTGGACCTACCAAGGGCCTAGGAGAACTCACTGCCCTGAAGGAAAAGACATAAGTACGGCTTGCTTCACCAACAGGTGATTGTAGAGACCCAGGGCCTTGAGTGAACACTGGCAATAGCCAGGTAGTGGTTACAGCGGTTCTTGGCTGAAATCCAGTGCTGTATTAGTTTAAGGCCTGACCTAGCACGTCCGAGTGGTGGTGGCCACAGGGATGCTTGTGTCAACCCACTCTCAGGTCTAGGTGGCTCAGAACAGAGAGAGAGACTGTTTGTCTGGGATAAAGTAAAAGAAAAGAACAAGAGTTTCTGCTTGGTAATCCAGAAAATTCTTCTGGATCTTATTCAAGAACATCAAAGTGGAACCTCTACAAGTCTGCAAGAACCATAGGGCTTCTGGGCTTGGGGTGTCCCCTAATGCAGAGATGGCTTAGATCACAACACCCAATCCCTTTGAATATGTGGAAAGACTTCCTGAGAAGGATGGATACAAACCAACCCAGACTGTGAAGACTACAATAAATACCTAACTCTTCAATGCCCAGACGCTAATGAATATCTACAAGCATCAAGACGATCCAGGAAAACATGACCAAACCAAATGAACCACATAAGGCACCAGGGACCAATCCTGGAGAGATATGTGACCATTCAGAAAGAGAATTCAAAATATGTTTTGAGGAGACTCAAAGAAATTCAAGATAATACAGAGAAGGAATTCAGAATCCCGTAAGTTAACTAAGAGATTGAAACAATTAAATAGAATAAAGCAGAAGAAAAAATTAGTGAGCTTGAAGACAGCCTATTTGAAAATGCATAGAGAGGAGACAAAAGAATAAAAAACAATGAAGCAACAACTATAGGATCTAGAAAATAGCCTCAAAAAGGCAAATCTAAGAGTTATTGGCCTTAAAGAGCAAGTAGATAAAGAGATAGGGGTAGAAATATTCAAAGGGATAATAACACAGAACTTCCCAACCTAGGGAAAGATATCAATATCCAAGTACAAGAAGGTTATAGAACACCAAGCAAATTTAACCCAAAGAAGACCACCTCAAAGCATTTAATAATTAAACTCCCAAAGGTCAAGGATAAAGAAAGGATCCTAAAAGAAGCAAGAGAAAAGAAAGAAATAACATACACTGGAGTTCCAATATCTTTGACGAGACTTTTTAGTAGAAACCTTAAAGGCCAGTAGAGAGTGGCATGACATATTTAAGATGCTGAAGGGAAAAAAACTTTTGCCCTAGAATAGTATATCTGGTGAAAATATCCTTCAAACATGAAGGAGAAATAAAGACTTTCCCAGATGAACAAAAGCTGAGGGATTTCATCAATACCATGCTCATCCTACAAGAAATGCTAAAGGGAGTACTTCAATCAGAAAGAAAAGGACATTAATGAGCAATAAGAAATCATCTGAAGGTACACAACTCACTGGTAATATTAAGGACAAGGAAAAACACAGAATCAGGAAGAAATCCAAAACCTGAACAGACTAACCAACAAGTAATGAGACAAAAGCCATAATTAAAACTCTCCCAGAAGGTGGAGGTTGCAGTGAGCTGAGATCATGCCACTGCACTACAGCCTGGGCAACAGAGTGAGACTTGGTTTCGGGGGCGAGGTGCGGGGGCGGGGGGCAGGTCTCCCAGGAAGGAAAGCCCAGGACCTGATGGCTTCACTGTCGAATTCTAACAAATATTTAAAGATTAGCTCATATCAATTCTACTGAAACTATTTTGAAAAATAGAACAGGAAGAAATACTCCAAACTCATTCTATGAGGCCAGTATTACCCTGATACCAAAACCAGACAAAGACACATCAAAAAATGAAAACCATAGGCCAATATCACTGATGAATATTGATGCAAAAATCCTCAACAAAATACTAGCAACACATTAAAAAGATAATTCATCATGTCCAAATGGGATTTATCCCACAGATGTGGGGATGGTTCAGCATATGCAAATCAATTAATGTGATACATCATATCAACAGAATGAAAGATAAAAACCATTTGGTCACTTCAATTGATGCTGAAAAAGTATTTGATAAAATTCAACATCTTTTCATAATAAAAATCCTCAGAAGACTGGGTGTAGGAGAAACATACTTCAACATAATAAAAGTCATTAATTACTGACCCATAAGTATCATACTAAATGGGGAAAAACTGAAATACTTTCCTCTAAGATTGGGAACATGACAAGGAGGCCCAATTTCACCTTTATTCAACATGGTACAGGAAGTCCTACCTAGAGGAGTCAGATGAGAAAAGAATTAAAGGGCATCCAAATTGGAAAGGAAAAAGACAAATTATCCTTGTTTGCAGAAGACATAATCTTATATTTGGAAAAACCTAAAGCCTCCAGAAAAAGAGCTATTAGAATTGATTAAAAAAAATTAGTAAAGTTATAGGATAAAAAACTGACATACAAAATCCAAAACATTTCTACATGCCAACAGATGAACATTCTGAAAAATAAATCAAGAAATAATCTCATTTACAATGGCTCCAAATAAAATGAAATACCTAGGAATTAACATAAACAAGAAAATAAATGATCTCTACAATATATACTATAAAACATTGATGATAGAAACTGAAGACAGAAACGAAAGGAAAGATATTCCGTGTTCATGGATTGGTGGAATACATTTTGTTAAAATGTTTGTACTACTCAAAGCAATCTACAATATTAATGCAATCTCTATCAAAATATTAACGACAATCCTCTGCATAAATAGAAAAAAAACCCCAAAATTTACATGGAACCACAAAAACCCAGAATAACCAAAGCTATCTTAAGCAAAAATAATAAAACTGAAGGAATCACATTATGTGACTTTACATTATACTACAGAGGTATAGTAATCAAAATAGTGTGCTGCTGGCATATAACAGACACACTGATCAGTGGAACAGAATAGAGAACCCAGAGATAAATCTATGCATTTATAGTGAACTCATTTTAGACACAGGTGCTGAGATCATACATTGGGGAATGGACTGTCTCTTCAATAAAGGGTGCTGGGAAAACTGGATATCACAGGTAAAAGAATAAACTAGAACCCTATATCTCACCATATACAAACATCAAATCAAAATGGATTAAAGGCTTATGTCTAAGATCTGAAACTATTACAAGAAAATATTGGGGAAAGTCTCCAGGACATTGAACTGGGCAAAGATTTGTTGAGCAATACCCCACAAGCATAGGCAATAAAAGCAAAAATGGACAAATGGGGTGCCATAAAGTTAAAAAAATCTTCTGCACAGCAAAGGAAACAATCAACAAAGTGAAGAGACAACTCACAGAATGGGAGAAAATACCTGCAAACTACCCATCAACAAGGGATTCATAATCAGAACATACAAAGAGTTCAAAAAACTCTATAGGAGAAAAATCTAATAATCCAATTTAAAAATGGGCAAAAAAGCTGAAAAGACATTTATCAAAAGAAGATAAACAGGCATATGAAAAGGTGCTCAACATCACTGATAATCGGAGAAACGTAAATCAAAACTACAATGAGATAACATCTCACCTCAGTTAAAATGGCTTTTATCCAAAATACAGGTAATAACAAATGCTGGTGAGAATGTGGAAAAAAAGGAACCCTCATATACTGTTGGTGGGAATATAAATTAGTACAATCACTATAGAGAACAATTTGGAGGTTTCTCAGAAAACAAAGTAGGGCTATCATAAGATCCAGTAATCCCACTGCTGGTTATATATCCAAAAGAAAGGAAATCAGTATATCAATGAGATATCTGCACTCTCATGTTTATTGCAGCAGTATTCACAATAGCCAGAATTTGGAAGTAACTGGTGTCCATCAACAGATGAATGGATAAAGAAAATGTGGTGCATATGGGCAAAAGAGCTAAAAAGACATTTATCACTCACCTGTTCATAGCCTCTGGGCAAAACAACTAGGGCTCTGGGTCCTTCTACACAAATTCTCACACAGCAAATGTAACATAGCAGATGTTTACAAGAAAGGAGGGCTTCCTCTTTGTCTAAGGTGTCTAAGTCCCAATTCTGAGCTTGGAGACCACTAAGGAGGAGTCTCCAAGGCAAAGGTCACACATGGAGAATGAGATCCTATCATTTGCAACAATATGGATAAAACTGGAGGTCATTATGTTAAGTGAAATAAGCCAGGCACAAAATGACAAACTTCACATGTTGTCACTTATTTGTGGTAGCTAAAAATTAAAATAATTGAACTTACATAGATAGAGGTAAAAGGATGGTTACCAGAGGCAGGGAAGGATGGTGGGATGTCAGTGGGTCGGGGGGCAGTGGGGATGGTTAATGGGTACAAAAAATAGAGAGAATGAATAAGGCCTAACATTTGATAGCACAACAGCTTCATTATAGTAAAAAAAAAATCATTTAATTGTACATTTTAAAATAACTAAAAGAGTATAATTAGCTTGTTTGTAACACAAAGGATGCCCCATGCTTGAGGGGACAGATATACCCCTTTACTCTGATTTGACTATTACACATTGCATTCCTGTATCAAAATATCTCATGTAACTCATAAATATATAAACCTACTACGTACCCACAAAATATGAGAATAAAATAAAAATAATTGTTCGTACTGATTAGGTTGTAAAGTGATAGTATTTGTGATACACTGGGTTAAAATATGTATTATTAAAAATTTTAAAAGAAAGAAAAGAAAACTCTATCAAGAAATTAAGTAGGGTTTTCTTATACAGATATTTGAGAGTGGACACTGCTTAAGATAGGTTTAGGGAAGATTTTTCTGGGCAGAAGACATTCAAATTGGGATCAAAAGGATAAGAAATGTCATGAGATAAAATTAATA
This sequence comes from Homo sapiens, assembly GCF_000001405.40. Taxonomy (NCBI): domain Eukaryota; kingdom Metazoa; phylum Chordata; class Mammalia; order Primates; family Hominidae; genus Homo; species Homo sapiens. The sequence continues at coordinate 56,272,920 of NC_000023.11, read as the reverse complement.
AGAGGCAAGATCCTGTAGGGCCTTTTAGGATACTCTATTTGGATTTCATTCAGAGTGTGATGGGAAGTCCTTGGAAGATTTTAAGTAGCAGATGTTATATAATCTTATTTATATTTAAACAAAACAAAACAAAAGCAAACAGATGAAAATCCTCTGGCTACTGTGTGGAGAATGAATTGTAGTGAGGAAAGGCCTATTACAATACTGCAGGAATGAGGGCACTTACAGAAATGCCACGTTATTTCCTAAAGCAACTAAGCCTATTGTAAGTCAAGCAGTTGGGGCAAATTAAATGTTTCTGTGAAATGCCTTCAAGTGAGTATTCCTATGGTCACATACCCATGGCAAAGGTATGGGTCAATCCTAAAAACTGAGTAGAATAAGAACAATTCCGAATCTAAACAAAGTGAGGTTAGGGGCAGTGACTCACGTCTGTAATCCCAACACTCTGGGAGGTCCAGGCAGGCAGATGACTTGAAGTCAGGAGTTTGAAACCAGCCTGGCCAACATGGTGGAACCCCATCTCTACTAAAAATAGAAAAATTAGCTGGGCAAGGTGGCACATGCCTGTAATCCCAGCTACTCGGGTGGCTGAGACATGAGAATCGCTTGAACCCAGGAGGCAGAGGTTGCAGTGATCCGAGATCACGCCAGGCTAAACTCCAGCCTGGGCAACAGAGCAAAACTGTCTCAAAAAAAAAAATGTAGTGAGATTCATGTAGACATCAGTTGTCTCCATTCATCAGTCATCTGGCTGTCATGATCTCTTATCAGGTAAGGCATTCACCTATAACACTCAAAGCTAAGAATTGTGGATATTTTAGGGCCATTTTTTCCCTTCATATGGGAAGCTTACACCACTAGGGAGAAAAACAGTACTGAAATCCGAAAAGTAAATAAAAGTAAATTGTATCTGTTATCTCAGTTTAAGAGTCGAGAGGTGACATAGGAAAGACAGCCAGACTTTTAGTATATCATAAAGTAATTTCCAACCTGCCTACACTTGGGACCTCCTAGAAGGTAGCCGCACAATAGGTTACATTGAAATTCAATCCATAGAGTTCCAGATTAAAATAGTCAAGTGGGATTACCTAGTCCAAACCCCTCATCTTACGGTTGAGGAACCTAAGATCAAAGAGGTAGGAAGACATATCAGATCCCACAGCAGCTTAATTGGAGACTTGGAATATATGGAATATATATATAGTCAGCATCCATCTCCCATGGAAGAGAAGCAAACAAATACATCACTAAATAATAATAGTGTCATGGGAATGTTTGAATAATGCAGCCTGGAAATCACTCACCTGTTCATAGCCTCTAGGCAAAACAACTAGGGCTCTGGGTCCTTCTACACAAATTCTAACACAGCAAAGGTAACATAGCAGATGTTTACAAGAAAGGAGGGCTTCCTCCTTGTCCAAGGTGTCTAAGTCCCAATTCTGAGCTTGGAGACCACTATGGAGAAGGAGTCTCCAAGGCAAAGGGCACACATTGATAAATGACAAGCTGCATCTGGCTTCTAGGCAGGTTTCTTTGAATTCCTGGGGTTATAAAAAATTTTTGAACTAGAAGCCAACATTCAAAATCAAGGACATTTCACATAATAATCTGGATTTTTTTTTTTTGCTTTTCTTTAACAATTAAATTTACTAATACAGTCGTCCCTCAGTATCCATGGGGGATTGATTTCAGAGCCACCTACATTCCCAACCCCACCCATCGGGTGGATAACGAAATTCATGGATGCTTAAGTCCCTGATATAAAATAACATAGCATTTGCATATAATCTATACACATTCTCTCCTATATTTTAAGTCATCTCTAGATGTACTTACGTTACCTAATACCATGTAAATGCTATGTAAGTAGTTGTTATACTGTATTTTAAAATTTGTATTTTTTTATTGTTGTATTGTTATTTTTGTTGTTTAAAAAATATTTTTGATTTGTGGTTGGTTGAATCCACGGATGTGGAACCTAAGAATATTGATGGCTGACTACATGGATTTGAGTGGCAGCTCTCCTTCTTCAGATCAGGTATGTGCTGTTCGGTTTGACAGGATCACTACCAGGTCTGCTTTATTTATTTATGTGCACCTTTTTTTTTTAATGTGAACAAAGACACGTTAATGGTTAGTGGATTACAACCTGCTTTAATTTCACATAGTTTAAATTGTTCTTGTGCTTTTCCATGCTTAGTAAAACTTGTGAGACCCTGGTAGTAAGGAAGGGAGTAATGCCTTAATCTTTGCTTAAGTGTTGACTCCGCAATTAGAAAGACCCACAGGGCTCACTGGGAATGATGACTATTAAGACACCAGATTTAGTTTAGTGTTTTCCTAGGCCAGTTTTATAAAATCTGCCTTAGAGTAGGGACAAGAAATAGGGATAAAAACCATGAATGGAGCCTGTGCCCATGAGTATAAATGCATCAGTCTTTGTTTCAGGACTTCATTCTCTGTCTCTCAGAAATTTTCTCTCTCTCTCTCTGCCCCTCTCTCTCTCTCTCTCTGCCCCTCTCTCTCTCTCTCTCTCGTGTGTGTGTGTGTGTGTGTGTGTGTGTGTGTGTTGGGGGTGAGATGGGAGTGGGCAGACCTGTATGGATTCTGCGGTGAGCTTTCAGGTGAGAGCTTTTGGTGTACACTTTGCTGCATCCTGCAAAGTCACATTGGTGAATCCGTCTTCTCTTCAAGTCAAGCGACTCTTCTCCCTGCATTTGGGCCATTGCTGCTGGTCTGATCAAAGAAATAGAGATAAAGCCAAACAGTGACTTTAAAGTGAAGGCTAAAAAAATGAATTTACATTCATTGGTGCCACATCATATCGGCTTTTAATTTACGTGAATTTAATGCTAGGTCCCCCCAAAAAGAAATAATTGGAATAGTAAAAACAATTCTGTCAACTAGGCCATTCTGCTCAGTAGGTACAGGTCCCTCAGTAGGTGCTCAGAGAAAGCATGGGAGGTGGTAGTGTTTCCTTCAGTGGTTGTGTTCCCAAACAGTGTGAGCATTTCACTTCAATAAGTTTCATTTTCCTGCTTAAAGAAATTTGTTTTTCATACAACAGTTGTTGCTAAACACAAGCCAACTACTTCCAATTAGTTTCAATATTGAAAGACAAAGCTGTTTTAAACTTACAGAGAGAAACAGTACATAACTACACTTTATGGGAAATTTGAAGATTTTTCAAAAGAAAAATTGATGATCTACAGTTAGAACATAGCTCTACTATAGCATGCATGTACATGCACATGTGTGCACACAAACTCATATACTTTCACTGGAAAGGCAGTCTCCCTATATTTCTTGTCCTCAAATTCTTACTCTTGTGTCTGATCATTAGTTCCACCTATACATATGTGCAAATGTACACACACACACACACACACACATACACAAAGACAGACTTGAAGACAAAAAGTACTCACTCTTGCTGTAGTCCCTGCAGACTCTGCAAGGCTGAGGATCCACTCTCAATTGTACTCTCCTCACTGTCACTTGGAATTTCCAGTGGAGACATGGAGGTGGGGTCAACTTTCACTAAAAGCAAAGAAAGGGAGCAGTGTGAGCTGAAGATGTATGTGCCTCTTTAATCATTTTCAGGATTCCCAGTTTGTCCCACCTTAAGAAGTGGCAGCAAGACAGAAAAATAAAGAAATAAAAAACAAGATGAAAGAAGTGTATTTGCATGGAAGGAAGAGAATAACATTTTATTTTTTTTTTTTGCATAGCAGGGAACAGAAATGCCTTTAAAGTAAGAGTAGTATGAAGAGTTCTGATACCACTATGAGTGGTATCAAATGAGAGTGTCTCTAGGATGTGGTCTGGGTATGATTCATCTTTCTATCTCCAGCTACCAGGACAGGGTCAGCTGAAAAGTTAGTTTCAACGTGTGTGTGTGTGTGTGTGTGTTGAATTGAACTCACTGAATAGCTCCTGGCTGTCCTAAAATCAAATTCTAGGATTAGTCCAGATGTGAGAACATCCACCTTGGCCTTTGTGCTCCTAAACAGAAATAAGTCAATGAGATGAAACGTATACCTACCACCTAGTAGGTGCTTGATACAACCTTCCTTTCCACCTATGTTGGGAGAAGCTGTCAAATATTCCTTATTATCAACCCCTGATGTTTCTAATTCCTAAAAACTCAATCAGGTGGTCAACAGTCTCCTAGATCCAGTGAAACCTTCAAAATTTCTATAGAGAAGAAACTTGGGGGTGGTGATAAGGTGGGGAACAAGTATTTGGTTAAAAGAGTTGTCTCTATACTTTGCATATCATTCACTAAAAAGTTTTAAGCATGTATCTTGAGGTGTGCATGTTTGTGCATGTATGTGATATACATGTATCGGTATCCTACAATTTTGTATACATTATAAGAAAACAAACAAAAAGTAGTATGTCATCTCACTTAAGTTAGAGTGACTATTATCGAAAAGACAAAAGACAGTAAGTGCTGGTGAGTATGTGGAGAAAAGGGAACACTTACACACTGTTGATGGGAATGTAAACTAGTTATAGCCTTTATGGAAAATAGTATGGAGGTTCCTCAAAAACTTAAAATTAGAACTACCGTATGATCTGGCAATCTCCCTTCTGGGTATATATCCAAAGGAAATAAAATCACATGCCCAAAAGATAACTGCATCCCTGTTTAGTGCAGCATTATTCACAACAGCCAAGATGTGGAACCAACCTAAAATATCTATCAACAAATGAATGAATAAATGAAATGTGACATATATATATATACAATATAATATTATTCAGTTATAACAAAGAATAAAATCCTGCCATTTGTGAGAGCATAGATGAACCTGGAGGACATTATGTTAAGTGAAATATGCCAGGCACAGAAGGACAAATAGTGCATGATCTCACTCATATGTGGAATCTAAAAAAGTTAATCTCATGCAAGTAGAGTAGAATGGTAGTTACCAGAGGCTGGGGTGGCTAGTGGGGAGGGGGATGGGGAGATATTGGTCAAAGGATACGTAATTATAGCTAGATAGGAGGAATACATTTCAAGAGATCTATTGTATAGCAAGGCAAGTATAGTTAATGATGATACATTTTATTTATTAAAATTGTAAAGAGAATGGACATTAAGTGCTCTCACCACAAAAATGATAATGAGGTAATGCATTTATTATTTAGCTAGATTTAACCATTCCACAATGCATATGTACTTCAAAACATCATGCTATAGATGATTAAAACATACAATATTACCTGTCAATTTTTAAGGGTAAGAAAATACAAATTTTGATACTTTCTTCTTGCACTCCAATTGTTTTATATGTGCCCCCTAAGGTTTAGTAAGCCCCCCATTTTGGATACTGATGTGGTTTGGCTGTGCCCCCACCCAAATCTCAACTTGAATTGTATCTCTCAGAATTTCCACATGTTGTGGGAGGGACCCAGGAGGAGTTAATTGAATCATGGTGGCCAGTTTTCCCCTGCTATTCTCATGATAGTGAATAAGTCTCATGAGATCTGATGGGTTTATCAGGGCTTTCCGCTATTCTTTCTTCCTTTTCTCTTGCTGCCACCATGTAAGAAGTGCCTTTTGCCTCCCACCATGATTCTGAGGCCTCCCCAGCTATGTGGAACTGTAAGTCCAATTAAACCTCTTTTTCTTCCCAGTCTCGAGTATGTCTTTATCAGCAGCATGAAAACGAACTAATACAGACACCATTGGGCCAATGCCCTTAGCTTGGAACCACATTGAGCACATTTAAAATTTATCCTGTTTATTTAGAGTGGCTCTGATGGACTGATGATATTATGGGGACTATTCAAAGCTCCTTCAAACCATCCTTTGATGTTACCACTGCCTTTATCTCAGCATAAACTGTCACACGAGGAATTTTATTTCCTTTTTTGTTTGTTTCCTTTTTTTGGTTTGTTTGTTTGGCTCTCCCTTCATATATGGAATGGATATCACATCTCAAAATAAGATTATGAACACTTATCATTACCACAATTAACCACTAGTCAATAATAATATTTGTATTCAGAAGACCAGTGCAGAGTCTCAGCAACTTGATGCTTAGTAGTATGTTGTTTTTCAGCCTCCTACATTTAGTACAGGGCATCAAATTTCAAGGGTAGATACTCTTTTACAGTAAGCTGAAATCTGCTTCCTAGTCATTTCCACCCCTTGGCCTTTCCGATTTATGCAAAACATTATCAGCCTGCTTTAGAGGCCACATAATTTTCCTTGATCATTCCTGATTACAAACTAAAACAGATATACCTCTGGGAGGAAAACTAGTGGTTGGGGGATAGTGGTGGAAGAGAGACTTAATTTATACCTTTCTGAATTCTGAACTTATTTTAAAAATAAAATAAAATGGAAGATTATAGCATTTGAATTCTCTCTTGGACAAATTTTCAAGTTTGTTTGTTCATCAAATTATCTGTTGCAAGACAACTCCTAGCACTGTGTTAAGTTCTCTGGAGGCATACATAAAAAAATTAAGATAGAGTATTATTTTTCAGGAATTTACAATTCAGTTGTGAATAATGCCCAAACTCTTGTGATACAGGCAAATAAATAAGTAAAATGGAAAGTGATAGATGCCAAATGAGGAAGAACACAGGGAAGATGACAATATTTCAATTACTTCTTTTGTAGGGAAGAGAAAAGGGAAAGTATTGGTAGAGGCAGGAGCTAATACTGGCTAAGTATGTTTGAGATAGAAATATTGTTCTCAACTTTCCCACCAAAGCATTCTGAATGGCATAAAATAAACACATTCTCCTGAAAAGTCCGAGGGTGGATGCCTTTAGTAAGCTTCAACTATTTTTGAAGCATGTGGTTTATCTTAACAGGTTTTTAAATTTTGCATTTTGTAATACAAGATAATCATATTTTAAATATAAAATGCTTAAATTATTTAATATCAAATAATGTGGAAGTTCCAGGAAGTTGTTTGATATGTCACTGATAGATATGCATACTTGTACTTGTTTGAGAAGCATGGTCTAATCAAGACTCATTGTACATTCTTAAGCATTAAAAAGACATAAAAAACAGTACTTTTGAAAGATTACTCTTGAAGCAGTGTGCAAGAATAATTGGAGGAAGTGAAAAGAGACAGGAGATAGGATGACTCTAAAAGGGAATAGATTCAGGAAGGCCAGGAAAGAGGCAATATTGTTACTTACCTGATCCAGCATTTTTACCATCTCCTCCAATGAGTGGGACTGTAATGGCTGCAGGGCCCCCATCTGCAGGCAAAGTAGTATACACCATGGGCAGAGACTGCACTACCACTGGGATGGTCTTCAGGCCACCCATCTTATTTGGCAGACTGACTGAGGGGATAGTGTGAATGACATGTAAGATCTGCTGGCTACCAGTGCTCTGAGAGGAGGTCAGGACAGAGCCTGGGGTCAGAACAGTAGGAATGTTTGCTGAAGTGCTCATGTCAGATGTTGACGTGGACACCACAAGGGTCTGGGGAGAAGACTGTGGCTTGGGGGGACGTATTGGAGCTTGTAGCATGCTAGCAGGCTGGAGAGGAGCCTTGGGCTTGTGAAAGGAGAGGTCAACTGGTTCCACTTGGGGCAGGCTGAAATCACTAGCCAAAAGTTCTTCTGGGGGCTCAATCTTGATGTCATTAAACAGTGCTGGGTTCTCCATGGGGTTGGCATCCAGGAGTGTTGGAGAAGTCATATTACTTCTGTATTCTATCTCAGGGGGATCTCTGTTCCGAACAGAAGCAGTGACCTTAAATAAATAAACAAATGAGAGATGCATAAGTCAGTGTTAGTACCCTGAAGAGACATGCAAGCAATGTAAAAAAGAAATCTCTATTCATTTCACATGGAAGGAATACATGGTGCTGGGAGAAATAAGGCAGGAGTAAACTAAAGAGAAAAACAGACGGGAAACTTTACTATCTGTAAGTACCAGGTACTGTATCCGGCAATTGTTAAAAATTATTTCATTTAACGTTCACAATAATCTTGCAAAATTATTTAAAGTCAACACTTTCTGAGCATCTACTATAAGCTCAGTGGCAGCACACATCAATAAAGTACAGCCAATAAGTACATACCAACATATTAAATATAATGATAGAATAATGTGAATAGTTTATAAATCATACCATAATAAATAATGTAACAGGCATACAAGCAAGGCGTTTTAGAAAAACAAAAGGGAATGACTCATTCTGACTAGAAAGGGAAGGCTTCAAGGAGGAGGTGATATTTCAGCTGAGTCATAGAAAATTAATAGAAATTTTCTAGGCAGATAAGAGATAAGAAAGATATTCCTGTCTATAGAGCCATAACAACAGACAGTATAATTATAGAATAAACTATGAAATAAACTTGCAATACAGTTAGTTGTATTATATGCAAAATTGAACTCTGCAACTTTTTAATTCTGGGATTTTTAAAAAAAACTAATAAATGATCTAAATGATCATAAATGATTTAAACTAATAAATAAATTTATTAGTTTAAAAAACCAATTTATTAGTTTAAAAAACCAATAAATACATTTATTAGTTTAAAAAACCAATAAATACATTTATTAGTTTAAAAAACCAATAAATACATTAGTTTAAAAAACTAATAAATACATTTATTAGTTTAAAAAACTAATAGTTTTTAATAAAAAACTAATACTTTTTTTAAAAAACTAATAAATGATCATTTATATGTAATATATGAAATAAAGCCTCAACCTAATTAAAAACTTTCTAAGAATTCCATGAATTCAAAGGTCAAGGATATAATGAACTGTGTATGCCACTGCCAAGCAACACTCTGGATCTTGAAGATGATTTTGGAGATGGTGGTACCACCTCTTTAGCCAGTAAACAAACAAGCTTCCATTATCTATCAGCATGATACTTGAATTATGGGAGTTTTAAATTATGAAAAATGTTAAGGAATACATCCTTTATATAAAACATAACCACTTTTAGTTTTGTATATTTGGAAGATGAGGAAAGGTAGAGTTCAATGAAAGGTTGGGTGATAGAAGATAATTGTTTGGAAGAGAGGAGTAACAAGGGAAGAACTATTTCTGTGAGATTTAACTAGCTTCTTAATGAAGATTGATTGAAAGAGGAATAAAACTAGATTCAAAGACATTCAAAAGAAAGCAAGTGGAAAAATCTCGATGAGACATGTAAAAATATTTGAGTATTGACTGGATATTGGACAATATTAATGAATTAGTTAATTTTAAGGTGTGATAATTATGTTATGCTTATGATTTTTTAAAATTTAGGTGAGAGATAATAAGGGTCTGAATTCAGAGAGCAATAAGTGGCAGGGGAGGCAGTGTCTTCTTGCTCTGACTTTATTTTAAAAACCCTCAGAGCGCTGCAGTGATCTATAATCACACCACTGCACTCCAGTCTGGGTGACAGAGCAAGACTCTGCGTCAAAAACACATGACAACAATGCTCAGAGCAGGCTGGGAATGAGTAACGGCACCAAAAACCCATCCGTGCTTTGTCTCCAGAATTTGGCCAGACTGCCATCTTCTTTTCCCTTCTTTTATGCTACAACACTCTTGGTTTCTTGATTTGCCAGCACCTATCCCAACTCAGCCCTTGTTTGTGGTCCAAACATTGCTTCAATCTGCTCCTCCAGGACATGATTTCTGTGATTTGTCCCACTGTTTCACATACTGCAAATGTAACCCATCCCTCATGGGTGGATTTGACCCATCCAGATAAGGGGGGAGTAGAATCCTGTTGACAGGGAGAGGAAGTTGTCAAGATTGGCTCTGCTGAACATAAAACTCCCCTGTTCTCAGAATCCCCCAAATCAACTTAAGCTCTTATTTTTCCTACATTTCCCACATAACTCTTCACTTGAGTAGCTCCATTCCCAGATTAAAAAGATAGAATCCAAGGAATCTTCAAAAGAAAAAATGTTATCTCTTTCCATAGTCTATCATTGCTGTCAATAACAGTGAGAAATAGAGTTACAATAGAAAGCATAAGAAGAGGTTCAGTGTAGGGCGGGCGCGGTGGCTCATGCCTGTAATCCCAGCACTTTGGGAGGCCAAGGCAGGTGGATCACTTGAGGTCAGGAGTTCGAGACCAGCCTGGCCAACATGGTAAAACCCCATCTCTACTAAAAATGCAAAAATTAGCCAGGTATGGTAGCATGCACCTGTAGTCCCAGTTACTCTGGAGGTTGAGGCAGGAGGATTGTCACTGCCCTCCAGCCTGGGCAACAGAATGAGACTCTGTCACACAAAAATAATAATAATAATAATAATAATTCACTGTAATATCATTTTCTGTAAGAATATAGTTGTGGGTGCAGGTGTATAAATAAACACAACTTGCCACTGAAATTAAGAAAAGATTTAGCTAAATTTTAGGGACTTTTTGGACTAAGAAACCTGAAAAAGCTGAAGCTTTGAATCCTAACTATAAAATAAACACGACTTTGGCAACTTTTACTCTCTTTTGCCAAAGAAAGGCCATTTCAGTGAGATGAGTGCTGCCTACAACAATGTTACTAGCTCAAGGCCTTGTGTTTAGCTGATACTTGATCTGCAGGTATGCATTTTATTGAAAAACATTACGTAGGAACATCTAAAATGGAAACTGATTGATGAAAGTCAAGAAACTGAAGAACTGATAGCCTATTCTTATTGCCTTGATGAGATACAGTGTTACAGGGTCCTGCTCCAACAGGCCATCATTAGTTGTCCTTTCATAGACTAAACCTATTTTGTGGTTTGCCAATTCTTAACCAAACCCTGTCTGCAGCAGGGCTTCAATCATTACTTCTCTCCTGCCATCAAAAGGCTTTGAGAGAAGTGTTGGAAGGGGAGTTGTTTGGGTTTTAGTATCTTAATAGTAACTTCCTCAAAGCATAGTGTCACATACTTTTTTCTGTACATATCACTCCCAAGTATGCCTCTTATGTCTAAGTGAATCTATCTTGTAGCAAGTATTTTCTGGGTGTAAATATTGTCTTCTGAATGCAAGCTTTCTTAAGAAAACAGACTGTTCTCAAAAGTAGGTCTCAAGGTTGACCTTACTGTTCCTTCCTTTGTGGCTTAAAGACAAGCATTCCATATCTACACACTATCAGGGTGAATAAGTTTTGTTTGTGTGCACTGAGGATTCTTTTTTCAATATGATCAAAATAATTTTAATAAAAATATTGTTATACAGTCTAACTTATTCCATAGTTTGAATATAACCCTCCCTATGGTTAAAAAAAACCCCAACACCCTATTTGCTTTACCTTATCTTTATAGATAGCATATTATGCTTGAAGGTTCTGAAGAAGACCTTCAAGTCTTGATTGAGTGAGTTTTTGTCCCTAGAATTTTGGTGATTTTAAGAATCCTCACTAAGATGACTCAGGATGGCTACCTATTTCATGCTTCATTGAATATAATCACTTCAGCTTTGAAACTCATCTGAGGATTGTTCTGTCATCAGATTTTTCTTTTAAAGTAATCTTTCTTCATTTTTAGTGTGGTGTGATGGCTTCAGTTTTTAAGTGTTCTCTAGTCAATCACTATCAAAGAGAATAGCTACTTTCCCCATTTGCTATTTTAAGACTTTATCCTGAATTTCCGGATTTCTGAATCTATGAAGAAGGTTGTGCATGAAAGAAAACAAAGAAACTTAGGGGTGGTTTGAAGACAAGCTTTAATTTCCACAGTGCTACTCCTCAAATACCCAGAATCCTTATCAGGTTTCCTTAAGCCAATTTGAGTGGACAAAAAAATATAAAAAGAGTTATTTATTCATATATTACTAAAGATGAGACCCTTTCGGTTCTTAGGAAACACCCCTCTCAATTCTAGAAATAAACTCTGAGAAAAGTTGGTTAATTTCACAAATATTTAAGCATTTGATTAAGATAGGTAGAGAGGCCCTGAGAATCAGTGGAATCAACTGTTACAAAGTTTCCATTTTTCATGTATTTGAAACAGCTCTGATGTGGAGCTTGAAAGTGGTAATGCAAGATTAGAAATGAAGAACAAAATACTATATACAGCACAGTAGGTGGAAGGAGAGGAAGGGATGTTATAGAAACACGATAAAGCCTAGGCTCCTCCCAAACAGAAAGAGGAAACCTGTTTTTGTAAACAGGTACCTTCCAGCTTTGCTCTGGGTTAAACCAATTAGTTTTATGCCTGGATACATATGCACACATGTATTGTACACATTCATGTTTAGGTCAAAAAGTCTGTTTAACCTTCTAAAACTCAATTCTTTTTCCAATAAGAGCATTATCTGTTTGGGTATTAGAAAATGGAGCGGTGGATGGAGATGGGTATTATTAGAAACCTAGACTTAATCTAACAAACCCGGCAATTTTAAGAGATTGGGATGGTAGTAGCCACAATCAGGCAAAATGAGATCATAAATGTACAAATGTATGTACATATGTATATGTATGCATATATTTGTTCACTAGGTATTTGCTTAGTACCTAGCACAAAACTATAGAAAATGTGAAAAATACTAAATCAGTTTTTGTTTCTCAAAGAATCTAAGGTTGTTTTTGGGTAATACATGGATGAAGTTATTTTATTTTAATATTTATGCTTACTCTATTGTACTGTACATTGGAAAATATATATAACACATTGTAGTGGGCTGAATGGTGACCCTCAAAAACACTCGTCTACACCTCAATTCCCAGAGTCTTTTTGGAAAAAGTATCTTTGCAGATGTAATTAAAGATCTTGAAGAGATCCTGCTGGATTATCTGGGTGGGCCCTAAATTCAATGACTAGTGTCCTTATAAGAGACATACAGAGGAATAACGCACAGAGCCACAGAGGAGAAGGTAATGTGAAGATGCAGGCTGACAGTGGGGTGATGGGGCTACAAGCCAAAGAATACCTATATGTACCAGAAGCTGGAAGAGGTAAGGAAAAGTTTCTTCACTAAAGCCTTCAGAGGCAGCATGACCCTGACAATAACTTGATTTCAGATTTCTGGCCTCCAGAACAGTGAGAGAACACATTTCTCTTGTTTTAACCCACCTAGTTTGTGGTAGTTTGTTTCAGCAATTCTAGGAAAGTAATACTTCACATCAAACCGAGAATTCTCCAGATAGCTTAGGACAAAACTAATATAGATTTATTTATTTATTTATTTAAATAATTTTAAAGTATGTAAATAATATTGATGGCAAGGATGTGGCAAAAATCGTGAAAGTGGTAAGTAAATAATTGAAGTTTGGGAGACAAAAAATATTACTGGGGAGACAAGAGATATTTACATAAAGCAGTTGACAATAGAGAACAGGTACCACATTAGTGACTAATACAGATAATTTAGTGTTCCAGGAGCATGATTTCACTAGAGATTCGAGACAGTTGGGGTTTTCTATGTATGTTTCATGGAAGAGGTAGAATTGGAATTTGAACCCTAAGAAAAGTAAAGAGTTTGGTGAGCTATACTAGCTCACTGAGGCACAATCCATGTAGAAAAAACAGTGTGGGGAAAAGTGGCACAGAAATGTATGAACCCTGAGAAAGCAGCCCAGCTTTAAAAAAAGAGAGGAAAAAAAAGAAAGGTATGAGCCAGTTAGATAGTATCATGGAAATATTGTTCATTTTCTTGGGCGTGACAGTGCTGATGTAGTTATGTAGGACAATGTCATTATTTGTAGGTGATGCATGCAGAATAATTTAGGGGTAAAGTTTCTTGATGCAACTTACAATAGTAATAAAATGGGGGGAGAGAGAGAGAGAGAATTAGGCTGTGTGAAAATATGTGCCAAATATTAACAATATTAAATTAGGGTAAAGGAGAGACATGTATGATAAAATTTAACCCTAACACTGCTCATACATTTTGACCAAGACATCCCACTTGTAGGAAGTAATCAGAAACGAAAAATAAAGGGCAGGTGACAACCAAATGCTCTTTCACTGCATGGTATGTTGATACAGAAATTTAGAGAAGGGAGAGCAGCATGTGTGCCCTGAGCTACACACCCACCCACTAGTCCTAACTTTTGAAATAAACAAATCCTATAATGAATCAAACCAGGAGGCTTCTCCACACTAGAATGATGCCAGCATTGCGTAGTTATAGAACACAAACTCCTGGTCCTTGTCACCTGAGACATGGCCAGTGTGCTGTGGCCATGTATCACAAGCACTCAGGCTTTTCTAAAAATAAGATATCCTGGAAATGCCAAGAAACAAACAAAAAAAGTGCTTAGATCCCTTACTATCCAGACTTTTCTACACATTGAACCAATTTCAAAGTGCCTCCAAATTCTGGAAGTTCAGTATACCTAAAGAATGCATAGAAAAACATTTCTAGAATTATACTTAGGTACACTGAGATCTCAAAATAAGGTAGCTTTGGCCAGGTGCGGTGGCTCACGCCTGTAATCCCAGCACTTTGGGAGGCCGAGGCTGGCAGATCACGAGGTCAGGAGATCAAGACCATCCTGGCTAACATGGTGAAACCCTGTCTCTACTAACAGTACAAAACAAAATTAGCGAGGTGTGGTGGCAGGCGCCTGTGGTCCCAGCTACTTGGGAGGCTGAGGCAGGAGAATGGCGTGAACGCAGGAGGCGGAGCTTGCGGTGAACCGAGATCACACCACTGCACTCAAGCCTGGGTGACAGAGCAAGACTCCATCTCAAAACAACAACAACAACAACAAAGGTAGCTATGCACGCTCAATGACATTTCATAGAGTATTTTTTATTACAAGTACAATAGATTTTTATCTAATACTACTTATACTCAGCTTCCTCTTGGTATTAACTATGAGTAAGCTCTAGCAACAGGCAGAAGTTTTCCAACAATTAGCAAGTTTTGATGTGCTAATAATTCCTAAATGCAAAAGCTACGATTAAGGTAAATGGGACATCAAATAGGGCTAAATATCATTAAAACAGTACAAAGGATTCTCATCCATATGCATATGCAACTTAAGCAAATTCATTTATACACCATGGGCCAAACAATGATTGAGAACAATTTTTAAAACTGACTCCTAGATTTCTCAAGGAACTTAATACAGAACTACCATTTGACCCAGCAATCCTATTACTCGGTATATATACAAAAGAAAATAAATCATTCTACCAAAAATATACCTGCACTTATATGTTCATCACAGCATTATTCACAATAGCAAAGACATGAAATCAACGTAAGCGCCCATCGATGGCGGAATGGATCAAGAAAATGTGGTAAAGATATACCATGGAATACTATGTAGACATAAATAAGAACAAAATCATGTCTTTTGCAGCAATATGGATACAGCTAGAGGCTATTCTCCTAAGGGAATTAATGCAGGAACAGGAAACCAAATACTGCATGTTCTTATTTATGAGAGCTAAACGTTGGGTACTCATGGACATAAAGATGGCAAAAATAGACACTGGGTACTACTAGAAGAAGGAGGGAGAGAGGAGAACAAGGGTTGAAAAACCATTGAATACTATGCTTACTACCATGGTGACAAGATCATCCATATCCCAAACCTCGGCATCACACAATACACCCATGTAACAAACCTGCACATGTATCCCCTGAATCTAAAATAAAAGTTGAAGACACTCAACAAAGAAACATCAGACTTAATCTGCACTATAGACCAAATGGATCCAATATATATTTACAGAACATTTCATCCAATGGCCGAAGAATACACATTGTTTTCCCCAGCACAAGGATCATTCTCAGTGACAGACTATACGTTAGGTGACAAAACACACCTTAAGACACTCAGAAAACCTGAAATAACATCAAGCATCTTCTCTGACCACAATAGAATAAAACTAGAAATTAATAACAAGAGGAATTTAGGAAACTATACAAACACCATACACCAGTAGTATTATAAAACATTAATTTATTAATGTTTAATAATATTATTAAACTTTAACTTAATTAGGGAAATTAAAAAATATGCTCCTGCCAGGCAAGGTGGCTCACGCCTGTAATCCCAGCACTTTGGGAGGCCGAGGCAGACAGATCACCTGAGGTTGGGAGTTCGAGACCAGCCTGACCAACATGGAGAAACCCCGTCTCTACTAAAAATACAAAATTAGCCAGGTGTGGTGGCACATGCCTGTAATCCCAGCTATTTGGGAGCCTGAGGCAGGAAAATCACTTGAACTCAGGGGACAGAAGTTGCAGTGAGCTGAGATCACACCATTTCACTCCAGACTGGGCAACAACAGTGA
This sequence comes from Homo sapiens, assembly GCF_000001405.40. Classification (NCBI taxonomy): domain Eukaryota; kingdom Metazoa; phylum Chordata; class Mammalia; order Primates; family Hominidae; genus Homo; species Homo sapiens. The sequence goes on along the minus strand of NC_000023.11, from coordinate 56,256,731 downwards.
AACTCTGTCACAAACAAACAAAAAAACCAACTACAACAAAAATTGCTCCTGAATGACCAGTGAGTCAATGAAGAAATTAAGAAGAAAATTGAAAAATTTCTTGAAACAAGTGATAATGGAAAACAACATATCAAAACCTATGGAATATAGCAAAAACAGTCATAAGAGGGAAGTTTTATAGCTGTAAGTGCCTACATCAGAAGACAGAAAAAACTTCAAACAGACAATCTAATAATTCATCTTAAAGACCTAGAAAAGCAATGATACCTGCATATTCTTTTGGAAAAAAAAATAGAAAAACAAGAGCAAACCAACCCCAAAATTAGTAGAAGAAATAACAAAGATGAGAGGAGAATTAAAAGAATTTGAAATAAAATACAAAAGATCAGTGAAACAAAAAGTTGTTTTTTGAAAAGTTAAACAAAATTGACATACCTTTAGCCAGGCTAATGAGAAAAAAAGAGAGAAGATCCAAATAAATAATATCAGAAATGAAAAAGGAGACATTACAACTGATATTGCAGAAATTCAAAGGATCATTAGTAGCCACTATGAGCAATTACATGTCAATGAATTGAAAAATCTAGAAAAAAATGGACAAATTCCTAGACACATATAACCTACCAAGATTGAACCATGAAATCCAAAACATGAACAGACCAATAACAAGTAATGAGATTGAAGCCATAATAAAAAGTCTCCTAGTAAAGAAAAGCCCAGGACCTGATGGCTTCACAGCTGAATTCTACCAAACATTTAAAGAAGAGCTCATACCAATTCTACTGAAACTATTCTGAAAAATAGAGGAGGAACTATTTCCAAACTCATTCTACAAGGCCAGTATTACCCTGATACCAAAACCAGACAAAGACACTTCAAAAAAAGAAAATTACAGGCCAATATCTCTGATGAATACTGATGCAAAAATCCTCAACAAGCTACTGGCAAACCAAATTCAACAATATATTAGAAAGATCCTTCATCCTGACCAAGTGGGATCCCTGGGTGCAAAGACAGTTCAACACACAAATCAATCAATGTGATACATAATATCAACAGAATGAAGGATTAAAGACCATGATTATTTCAATTGATGCTGAAAAAGCATTTGATAAAATTCAACATCCCTTCAAAAAACTGGGGATACAAGTAACACCTCAGCATAATAAAAGCCATATAAAACAGACCCACAGCTAGTATCATATCGAATGGGGAAAAACTGAAAGCCTTTCCTCTAAGACCTGGCACATGTCAAGGATGCCCATTGTCAACACTGTTATTCCACATAGTATTGGAAGTCCTGGCTAGAGCCATCAGAAAAGAGAAAGATATAAAGGGCATTCAAATTGGAAAAAAAGAAGTCAAATTATTTTTGTTTGCAGATGATATGATCCTATATTTGGAAAAACCTAAAAACTCCACAAAAAACTATTAGAACCCATAAACAAATTCAGTAAAGCTGCAGTATAGAAAATCAAACTAATCAAATCAGTAGCATCTTTATGTCAACAGTGAACAATCTGAAAAAGAAATAAAAAAGTAAACCTGTTTACAATAGCCACACATAAAATTAAATACCTACAAATTAACCAAAGAAGTGGGAGATGTCTACAATGAAAACTATAAAACACTGAAGAAAGAAATTGAAGAGGACATCAAAAAATGGAAAAATATTCTATGTTCATGGATTGGAAGAATCAATATTGTTGAAATGTCCATACTGACAGGGACAGGAGGCAGGGAAATTCTAGGCAGAAGTGGGCAGGTCCCTGGTGAGGGCCCCACCCTGAAGCCTGGAACCACAGTCCAAAGTGAGAACTTATATTTCCGTTTTCCTGCTTGAATGTTGCCTTTTCCAAAACCACCCATGGTTGACCCTGCCCCCTATCCTGTGCCCATAAAAACCCAGGCTCAGCTGGCAGAAAGAGGAGAAGCAGCTAAACGTTGGAGATTATAGTTGGATGTTGGAGAGAAGTGGCTTGACTTCAGAGGGACAGCTTGATGGCATAGCTTTGGAGAGGAGTCCAGATGGGGACAGCTGGAATCCAGGGGAAGATTACCTTCCCACTCCATCCCCTTTTCAGCTCCCCCTCCCACTGATAGCCACTTTGATCAGCAATAAAATCTCCCACATTAACCACCTTTGATTCATTGTGTAACCTCATTCCTCCTGGATGCCAGACAAGAACTTCAGTGTGGGTGCAGAAGGCTGTCACACTGACCCTCTGGTGAGCTGTTAATGCTTAAGCCATCTGCAAACAGCAAAGCTAAAAGGGTACTGTAACACTCCTTCTGGGGCTTCAAGGGTCGCAGGCACCCCGCCCCCCGGACTCTGCTGTGGGGTGCGCATAGAGTTTTGCTCCTGCCGGTGCCCAAAGGCACTCACCCCAGCTCCTGCACCCACTGACCTGTGATTCCCCTCCCACAAGGGGTAGAACACAGCAGGTTTAAGTGAGTGGAATTCGCCCCTGCTAGTGCCAAAGCGCCAGCTAGGTCCAGCACCAGTGCACTCCAGTTCCCACCCACGAAGGGGTCAAGGAAATATCCTGCTTCAATGCTACCTAAAACACAATACAGATTCAATAAAATCCCTATCAAAATACCAATGACATTCTTGTCTGGGCGCAGTGGCTCATGTCTGTAATCTCAACACTTTGGGAAGCAAAGTGTTGCTTTGTCAGATTGTTCACTGTTGACACACTTTGGGAACACAAAGAGGTGGGTGGATCACTTCAGGTTAGGAGTTCAGGACCAGTCTGGTTAACATGGTGAAACCCCGTCTCTGCCAAAAAAAAAAAAAAAAATTAGCTGGGCATGGTGGCACATGCCCATAGTCCCTGCTACTTGGGAGGCTGAGGCACAAGAATTGCTGGAAGCCAGGAGGTGAAGGTTGCAATGAGCCAAGATTGTGCCACTGCACTCCGGCCTGGGCAACAGAGTGAGACAACATCTCAAAAAAAAAAAAAAGAAAAAGAAAAAAAGACATTATGTACAAAAATAGAAAAACGAAATCCGAAAATTTATATCAAACCACAAATACCGAGAATAGCCTGTTATCCTAAGCAAAAAGAACAAAACTGAAGGAATCACATTACCTGACTTCAAGTTATACTATAGAGCTATAGTAACCAAAATGGCATTGTATTGGCATGAAAACAAACATACAGTGCAATGGAACAAAATAGAGAACCCAGAAATAAAGCCATACATCTACAAAGAATTCATTTTTTACAAAGGTGCCAGGAACATACATTGGGGAATGCGTGGTCTCTTCAATAAATGGTGCTGGGAAACCTGGATATCCATATGCAGAAAAATGAAACCAGAACCCTATCTCTAACCATATACAAAAATTAAATTAAAATGGATTAAAGAGTTAAATCTAAGACCTCAAACTATGAAACTGCTGCAGAAAATATTTGGGAAAATCTCCAGGACATTGGTCTGGGCAAAAATTTCTTGAGCAATACCCCACAAACACAGGCAACCAAAGCAAACAGGAACAAATGGGATCACATCAATTAAAAAGCTTCTGCAAAGCAAAGGATTCAATCAACAAAGTGAAGAGACAACCCATAGATTGGGAGAAAATATTTGTAAACTACCCATCTGACAACAGATTAATCACCAGAATATATAATGAGCTCAAACAACTCAATAGAAAAAAGTCTAATAATTCAATTTAAAAATGGGTAAAACATTTGAATAGACATTTCTCAGAAGAAGACATACAAATGGCAAACAGGTATATGAAAAGGTGCTCAACATCAGTGATCATCAGAGAAATGTAAATCAAAACTACAATGAGATATTTAAAATGGCTTTTATCCAAGAGTTAGGCAATAATAAATGCTGGTGAGGATGTGGAGAAAAGAAAACACTTGTGCACTGTTGGTGGGAATGTAAATTAGTACAGCCACTATGGAGAACAATTTGGAGGTTCCTCAAAAAAATTGAAAATTGAGCTACTATATGATCCAGCAATCCCACTGCTGGGTATATACCAAAAAGAAAGGAAATCAGTATATCAAAGAGATATCTGCACTTCCATGTTTGTTGCAGCACTATTCACAATAGCTAAGATTTGGAAGCAACCTAAGTATTCATCAACAGATGAATGGATAAAGAAAATGTGTTACAGATACACAATGGAGTACTATTCAGCCATAAAAAGAATGAGATCCTGTCATTTGCAATAACATGGGTGGAACTGGAGATTATTATGTTCAGTGAAATAAGTCAGGTATAGAAAGACAAATATCACATGTTCTTATTTATTTGTGGGATCTAAAAATCGAAACCATTGAACTCATGGACATAGAGAGTAGAAGGATGGTTACCAGAGGCTGGGAAGGGCAGTGGGGTGTTGAGGAGGAGGTGGTCATGGTGAATGTGTACGAAAAAATAGTTAGAAATTGTCTGGGTGCAGTGGCTCTCTCCTGTAATCCCCAGCACTTTGGGAGGCCGACATGGGCAGATCACCTGAGGTCAGGATTTTGAGACCAGCCTGGCCAACATGGTGAAACCCTGTCTCTACTAAAAATACAAACAATTAGCTGGGCGTGGTGGCATGTGCCTGTAGTCCTAGCTACTCAGGAGGCTGAGGCAAGATAATTGCTTGAATCTGGGAGGCGGAGGTTGCAGTGAGCTGAGAAGCCACCACTGTACTCCAGCCTGGGCAACAGAGAGAGACTCCATCTCAAAAACAAAAAAAAGTTGGAAATAACAAATAAGACCTACTATTTGATAGCATGATAGGGTGACTAGAGTCAATAATAACTTAATTGTACACTTAAAAAATATCTAAAAGAGTGTAATTGCATTGTTTGTAACACAAAGGATAAATGCTGCAGGGATGGATACCCCATTCTCCATAATGTGATTATTTCACATTGCATGCCTGTATGAAAACATCTCAATGTATCCCATAAATATATACGCCTACTATGTACCTACAAAAATTAAAAATAAGGCCAGGTACGGTGGCTCACACCTATAAACCCAGCACTTTGGGAGGCCGAGGTGGGCGGATCATGAGGTCAGGAGTTCGAGACCAGCCTAGCCAATATGGTGAAACCCTGTCCCTACTAAAAATACAAAAATTAGCCGGGCATGGTGGTGCGTGCCTGTAGTCCCAGCTACTCAGGAGGCTGAGGCAGAAGAATAGCTTGAACCTGGAAGGCAGAGGATGCAGTGAGCCAAGATTGTGCCACTGCACTCCATCCTGGGTGACAAAGCGAGACTCCGTCTCAAATAAATAAATAAATAAATAAATAAATATATAAAAATTCAAAAAATAAAATAAAAGTTGAAATTATAACAAAAAGATTCCTAAATGTAACCAACTTTATCTGATGAATTAAATAAAGAAACAGACAAGTATTGTATATACAACACTGTATACTCAAGTCTATAGGTGATTTAAGGATTTTCAAGGTTAATTTTGACTGTATTTGAGTTTCACTCATGCAGTGAATTTGCAACCCCAAGAAAGACGGGACTTCAACATCTAGCACAGAGCCCTGGGACATAAAATCCAGATAACCTGTTTCGAATCCTAATTCTTGGAGTGTTCAAGGCCAGTTTTATTTTCCATCAAATGGGGAAACTAAGAATAATGATGGTTAATTTTATGTGACAACTTGGCTGGGCTACAGTGCCCAGATATTTGGTCAAACATTATTCTAGATGTTTCTGTGAAGGTATTTTTTTGGATGAGACCAACATTTAAAACATTGTACTTTAAATAGGGCACATTACTCTCTATAATGTGAGTGGTCCTCAACCAATCAGTTGAAGACCTTAGTTTTTAAAACAAAGACTGTCCTCCATAGAGCAAGAAAGAATTCTTCTCACAATCTGCTTTTGGACTCAAACTGTAACTCCTTCTGAATCTCCAGCCTGCCGGCCTACCCCTGATGGGGTTTTGGACTTGCCATGCCTCCACAATCTAATGAGCCAATTTCTTGAAATCTCTCTCTCTCTCTCTCTCCATGTACATATATGCATACACACACACATACACCATACACACATATCCTGTTGGTTCTGTTTCTCTGGAGAATACTAATTAATACACTGTTCAACAGGATTATGGTGAAGATTAAATAAGACAATGCATTTAATCTTCATCCTATCTGAAATATGAAATAGTGCTATATAAATAGTTGCTATTGTCTACTAAAGGTCTACTCTTGTCTTTATAGCCTTGATTCCAGAGGCTATGTTTCTTTTAGGCCAGATCTACTCCCCAGCTGACTATGAAACCAAGGCATTCATATACTTTCTAGAAATATGTCTTCCTTCACCTCTTCTCAATCCCCAAACATGTTATAGAAAGAAAAATGAGTTTAAATTCTGTAATCACTACCAGGTATTCAATACTATTATGGCCCAATATTAGCACCCTATTTTCCTGATAACTGACCTGCTTGAATACCTGCATTGAGCCACCTTCTGAATTAAGTTGGACCTCCAAGTTGTTTATGAGTTTATCCATATCTGGAAAAGAGAAAAGGAAAAGACAACTTTCAGAATAAAATCTAACCCACTATATGCATAAATATGCCATTAATGTTATGTGTGTTCTATGACCTTTATCTTTCAGTGCTTACCAGATACTGATAAGTCATTGAAACCTTCTGATTTATTTTACTCATCAAGATGGACCTAACTTTTCCCCAATAATATTAGCTGCTCCCCTCCACCAAACTGCATGCAGGTAATCTGTTTCTTCCTATTTCTCCAACATGCTCTGCCTTCAGAGGAACATCAGTATAGCTACAGTTTTCAGTATTCTACCTTCCTGGTCTAGTTCTTGCTTGAAGGAGTTCCAAGCTCCTATATATATATTTACCCGAGTGAACTTATTTACACATCAAGGCCAAATCTCTCTAGAGACGTATTTTATCTGTCTACGTCTCTTAAATCTGCAAGCCAGGTGGGGTAATAAAAACAGTTTTCTCTTTCTTCTTTAGTTTTTCCTCTTAAAAAAAGGAATTAGTGTCTTAATTCAGCTGCCTTAAACCATCAGTCATTCATACTAGAAGCACCTACTAGCTTTCTTCCTCAACCAGATTTTCTGGGAGTTAGATGTGCAGCACTCACATCCCATAATCTTTGGCAAGGCCTTTTTTTTCCTAAGCCACAACTTGTCCATCTATGATTAAAAGATTTCAGACTATCCTCTGCAGAACCCTAAGGCTTCCATGGAACTTGGGGGTGGGGTTTGTTAAATTAAGGTTAGCTTAAAGCTTCCTCCTTACATATTTCAAGTTCAGCCTAAAGGTTTCCCCATCCATAATGAACCATAACCTAACTGGATGTGTAGACAGTGTAATCTACTGTTGCGCCAATCACAGAGTTTCAGCCAATTACAGGCAGTCAACAACTCAAAGTGTTTGAATAAGGCAAATACTGAGATATAACCAATCCAGCTGTTTCTGTACCTCACTTCCATTTTCTGTCCATAAATATTATCTGACTACATGGCAGCCCCAGAGTTGCTCTGAATCTATTATTTCTTCTGGGGGCTGCCTGATTCATGAATCATTCTTTGCTCGATTAAACTGTTAAGTGTAATTTGTCTAAAGTTTCTCTTTTAACAGGTTAATGGAGGAACTGTAGTAAGTAATAAGAATAGTAGAAGCCAGAATTAAGAAAACTGACTTCCAATAGAATCTGAGCTCCTTGCAGGCAGATACTTTCATCTTTGTTTTTTTCACTAATGTATTCCAAGGCCCTAGAACATTGCCTGGTACATGGTAGGTGTTTAATCACATTTTCGAAGGTTTTTGATGACAGTGACAGAAAAGGAGAGTGAGGGAATGTGTTTTCTCAAGTACAGAAATTGGAAAAGGGTGGAAAAGAACGAAAGAAAATTAGAGAATTTATGCATGAAAGATGCCTGAGGTGTAATTAACTATGAAGTGAGAGGTGGTAGAGAGGGTAGCTAAGCTTTTTCTGATTTCTAAGACAGGAAAAGGAGGTGTGATGGTGGAAAAAGAATGTGAGGTCAGGTAACTCTCATACAGCCCACAGGGGGGCACCAAAACGCCAGGAGAGCTTTCTTTGTTGCTGCCAGAACCATGCGTAGGAGTGGAGAAGATTCGATTCTCCCTCTGCATTCACACAACACCTTCAACAGGCTTCATTATTTCTAGCAAGTACAACTTAAGACAGCCAACTCCAATCTGTTCTTCGATTCCTATGGATTAAGAGACAGCAGAGTTGAGGAAGCAGAGTGATTCTGAGAGGCTATATTAGCTTCTATGAACCTCAGTTTCTTCACCTGCCAAAAGAGGGGGTAACACGGTATTGCCTTAACAGAGTTAATGTGAACATTCCATGTTAATACATTCATATGCCATGTAATGACGTTTCAGTCAACGATGACCCACAGATACGACACTGTTCTTTTTTTTTTCATACTTTAAGTTCTAGGGTACACGTGCACAACGTGCAGGTTTGTTACATATGTATCCATGTGCCATGTTGGTGTGCTGCACCCATTAACTCGTCATTTACATTAAGTATATCTCCTAATGCTATCCCTCCGCTCTCCCCCCACCCCATGACAGGCCCCAGTGTGTGATGTTCCCCTTCCTGTGTCCAAGTGTTCTCATAGATACGACAATGATTCTATACAATTATAACAGAGCTAAAAAATTCCTATCACCTAGTGATATCATACCCGCTGTAATGTCACAGTGCAAAGCATTACTCATGTATTTGTGGTGATGCTGGTGTAAACAAATCGACTGTGCTGTCAGTCAATATAATTATATACAGTATGTAATACTTAACAATGATAACAAATGACTATGTTATTGTTTTCTGTATTTACTACACTATACATTCTATCATCATTTTAGAGTGTACTCCTTCTACTTACTAAAAAAAAGTTAATTATAAAACATTCTCAGGCAGGTCTTTCAGGAGGTATCCCAGAAGAAGGTATTGTTGTCATACCAGACGGCAGCTCCATGCATGTTATTACCCCTGAAGATCTTCCAGTGGGACAAGATATAAGGTAGAAGACAGTGATATTGATGATCCTGACCCTCATAGGCCTAGGCTGATGTGTCTTTGTGTCTTAGTTTTTAACAAAAACTTGTAAAAAGCAAAAAAAAAATAATTAACAATAGAAAAAAGCTTATAAAATAAGAATACAAAGAAATAAAATATTTTTGTACAGCTGTACAGGATTTGTGTTTTAAGCTAAAAAAGTTATAGTAAGCTAAGGTTAATTTATAAGAAAAAATTGTTTATAAATTTAGTGTAGCCTAGTGTACACTGTTTAAAAAGTCTAAAGTAAGGTACAGTAATGTCCTAGGCCTTAACATTCACTCGCTACTCACTAAGTGACTTACTCAGAGCAACTTCTAGTTCTGCAAGTTTCCTTCATGTTAAGTGGTGTTCAGGTACACCATTTTAAAATCTTTTATGCCATATTTTAACTGTGCCTTTTCTATGTTTAGATACACAAATATACACCATTATGCTACAACTGCCTACAGTGTCCAGTACAGTAACATGCTATAGAAGTTTGTAGCCTAGGAGCAATAAGCTATACCATATAGCCTAGGTTGTAGTAGATTATACCATCTAGGTTTATGTTAGTACATTCTATGATATTCACACAATGTAAAAATTGTCTAAGGATGTATTTTGCAGAACATATCCCCTTCATTAAGGGATGAATAACTGTACATGTAAATACACTTAAAACAAATCCTGGCATATAGAACACTCTCAGTTAGCTATTATCACCACCATTATTATTGTTGATTATCAGAATCTTGAACTCTGGCCCAAAGAATCTGTCCTGTGTATCAAATAGGACTTTTATACCCCATGAGTTCACAAACCTGCTCCACCTCTTATATTTCTAATCTTAATTTCTAGCACCACCATAAACCCAGTCTATCAGTCTAAAAACCTAGGGGTCAGCCACCTTTGACTCCTCTCTCCCTATCTTCAGCCAGTTGGTTATCAGCTATAATAATTCTCCTGCAGATATATCTCTTAAATCTAGCCCTTCATCATTTCATAGTCACTTCCTTCCCCTTCTGGTCAATACTCCACATTGCTCTCAAAGTGTAGTAAAACATGTGGGCTCTGGAGTGAGTGCCTAGAATCACATTCTGATTCTGTGACTTCTTAACAGTAAGAAGTTGGGCAAAGTTTTTCCAGCCTCCTGTGTCTGTTTTCTCATCTGTAAAATGGGAATAATTATAGTACCAGGTCACAGAATTACTATGAGGATGTATCAAGTTGATATATGTTCAAGTATTTACAACAGTACCTGGCACAAAGAGGAACTGTCCGTTTCCTTCACCACCAGGTGAGCCCTTCAATAGTTACCTAGTCTTGTTCCTTTTTTTGTATCCCTATCTTTTAGCAGAGCATCTCCTATACACTATGTACTAATGTCCAGTGAATAAAGGAATGAATGATCAGGGAAATGAGGAAAGATAGAGCCATATCCAGAACTATAACTGCCCATCTTCAAAAGCTTTAATAGCAACAATCAAGGAGCCTGAAAAATACTTCTTGGCCCTCCTATATCACAAATATTTTAGTAAAATAGTATAAGAGGGAGAGCTGACAATTAATAATGTCTCAGCCATTTCTGGCTAGTGCCCTCACCCAGAAAACAGCCAAATGGAATAGCCATTAGGTAATCCTGGTCAACCTTCTAAATATTGGTAGGAATGACTATAAGGAAAGATACTGGGAAGGTATATAACCTCCTTTTTTAAATTTAATTTTAAAAAATATTTACCCAGGCAAAATTGAAAACTGAAGAAAATTAAGGCCCACAGAAGGTCTTAAAGAAGGCTCTGTTTTTTTTTGAAGAGGGATTTATGAGCCTCTTGCTCTTCTCTAGAGTTGGAATTTCTGCTCTAAGTGCCTAAGAGAGACCAGACAGCTGCACAAAAGCTGTCAGGGAAGTGGTAAGGAAATATACAAAAGGGGGTTATAGTATATATGGCCTGGGCCATTGAGATGTGAATCACTCAGGCAGGAGGACACCAGAAATGCAAATTACCAACTTGAGGTAATAACCATTATTCTGCTTGGATTGGCTCTTCAAGCCTTTGTGTCTACAAGCTGGACTTTCTGGTCCTTCTCCTAAGGGCATGGGTCCTATAGAAGGAAACAGAGGAGGAAGAAATAGGGAAGAAGATTGAGTCCCATCGCCAGTGGGTCAATGTCTCATATATGCAGGACATCACAAACCACATTCCAGGTACTGTGACTACAGGAGTTTGATAAAATTATGTAACTTTTGTCATGTCCCCAAGTTTATATTATACAAAAGTGGCATTTCCTATAATGATCAGCTTGTCTTACAAAAGTGAACAGTGCCTCCAAGGAACTGGAGCAGGTGCTGGCTAAGAAGAAAACATCCCATCCTTTGGCCAACCCTGAAAGGGAAAAATGCCTAGAGATAAAGTGACAAGGGGTGCAAAGCAGAGTCATTAGAACCTACAACTAAAAAGAAAGCAGAGCACTGGAAACCCTGACCCGGGCCTAAGAAAGACCTTGTGCTTTGACAGGATACAGCATTTGGACAATTCAAATAATGTCTTATATACATCAACATAGCTTTACAGTAAGGAAATACACAGCTTTCATATAATTTCCATTTCACACATAATAAATTTGGAGGCCTGACATCACATAGTTTAGAAGTGCTAGAATCAGAACTGAAACTTTAGTCCTCTGACTCAAATTATAGTGCTCCCCAACCATTTTCTAATACCTCAAATCTGGTGAGCACCTTCTTTCTGAAAAACTGTCTGCTAAAAGAAGAACACATTTAAGGACAACACAACTAATCACTTAGGAAGATCTTAAGCAGATATCATTCATCTTTGGCCTCTAACCTATAAGAAGTACTGGAACTATTTAAAAATAAAAATCAATGCTTAAGGGTTTTGAGAAAGACTACAGTACACATTTATTTTCAGACAATTTTATTGCACATCTTCCAGAGGAATTAAGAGTAGTGTTGCAATGGGCCTTTGGGAAAGCCTTCAGGATATCTCTGCAGCATGACATTAATAATGGAATGGTGATAAAAAGAACTATAACAGCCGACATTCATTGAGTGCTTACTTTGTGTCAGACACTGTTCTGTTTATATCTATTTATCTATCTATAGATATCTTCATTTAATCCTTACAACCCTAGTAGTAGGCACCATTATTTCCTCATTTTAAAAAGGAAGAAAGAGGGCCTGGCACAGTGGCTCATGCTTGTAGTTCCAGCACTTTGGGAGGCCAAGGCGGGAGGATAACTTGAGCTCAGGAGTTTGAGAATAGCCTGGGCAACATAGTGAGACCCCATCTCTACCAAAAATTTAAAAATTAGCCAGGCATGTTGTTGTGTGAGGCTGAGGCAAGAGGATCACATGAGACCAGAAGGTAGAGGCTACAGTGAGCTATGATTGTGCCACCGCAGTCTAGCCTGGGTGCAGAGAGACCCTGTTTCAAAAACAGAAAATAAAAATTAAATTGAATTGAATGAAATTTAAAAATGAGGAAACTAAGGCACAGAGAGATGAAGTTGCTTACCACCAAATCACCAAGTTAGTAAACAGCAGAGAGGAGATTTAAACCTCAGTAGTCTGGAGACATAAAGCAGCTATAATGAAATTACCTGGGTACCAGTAGGATCTTCCAGCTTCTGTTTTAAGCAGATTCCATAGCAGAGAATAAATGGTTGCTATAAACCAACTACTTAATAAAGGGAGATTGCAAAAGCCTCCAATTTATCTCATTTCCCCCAAACAGGCTCACACCTGTCACCATTGGAAAACTCAACCTCACCTTCCAGTTGTAGCACCTCAGCAGGCAGCTCTGTATGACTTTTCTATTCAAGAGTTTTGGGCCGGGCGTGGTGGCTCATGCCTGTTATCCTAGCACTTTTGGAGGCCGTGGCAGGTGGATCATGAGGTCAGGAGATCGAGACCATCCTGGCCAACATGGTGAAACCCTGTCTCTACTGAAAATATAAAAATTAGCTGGGAGTGGTGGTGCATGCCTGCAATCCCAGCTACTTGGGAGGCTGAGGCAAGAGAATCGCTTCACAGGAGATGGGGAGGTTGCAGTGAGCTGAGGTCGCACCATTGCACTCTAGTCTGGGAGACAGAGTGAGACTCCGTCTCAAAAAAAAAAAAAAAAAAAAAAAAAAGCAAGAGTTTCAACATACACAAAAGCTGGAGAGTGACTTGAGGTACCCAGTCTAAATTATAAGAACCACCACCACAGCAGGTACTCAGAAGTAGCTGTAAAACAGAAAACCCCGATAAGATGGCGCGGAAAGGGAAGAAGGAAGCTCCTGCCCCTCCTAAAGTCAAAGCCAAAGCAAAGGCTTTGAAGGCCAAGAAGACAGTGTTGAAAGGTGTCCACAACCACACACACAAAAAAGAAGATCCACACACCCCTCACCTTCCAGCGGCCCAAGTCACTGCGACTCTGTAGGCAGCCCAAATATCCTCGGAGGAGTGCCCCCAGGAGAAACAAGCTTGACTACTATGCTATCACCAAGTTTCCGCTGACCACTGTGTCGGCCATGAAGAAGATAGGAGACAACAGCACACTTGTGTTCATTGTGGATGTTAAAGCCAACAAGCACCAGATCAAACAGGCTGTGAAGAAGCTCTATGATACTGATGTGGCAAATCAACACCCTGATTTGACCTGATGGAGAGAAGAAGGCATACGTTCGACTGGCTCCTGATTACAATGCTTTGGATGTTGCCAACAAAATTGGGATCATCTAAACTGAGTCCAGCTGACTAATTCTAAATTTACGTGTATCTTTCCAGCAGAAAGAAAAAACAAACAAACCAGAAAACCCCTGTAGTTTTCCTGCTTAGCTTACCTGGAATGAGAGAAAAGGAAGTGGGGGCAAACTAGGATGTTAAAAAGAACAGAATTTAAGAGGAGAAAACATATTGCCACAAAAATAAATGAAGGCTGGCAGCACATAACATGTATGAACGACAGTGACAGAAAGACTGAAATCTAGTATTACATGATTACTACAACAGCCAGCTAAACTTGAAGTAGTGAAGTCATATAAGGTATTGAAAATATAAGGTGATAAGAAATACCAGAAAAGGGATTTATAACTTTGGGCAAGTCATTTGACCTTTCTATGTCTGTTTTCTCCTTTGAAAAATGGGAATACACCAGTGTAGCCCTCCCCACTCATGGCTGTTAGGAAGACCAATCATGATAACACATGTAAAAATATCTTATAAGATGTAAAGATAAAATAGCCATATAAGTTTTTAGGATTACTTCTGTCAGAAAAATTTTAAAAGTACATAAATACGGTCACATACTTAAGATGTAAACCATTTCCAGTAACAAACTTATGTATGATTTTTGATATCTTTATCTCCATTCTCCTATGAGTTCATGTTCTACAATATCACCTGCATAGCCTCCAGTGCTTTCAGCCAGTTGCGCTTCTCTCAGACGCTGATGTTAAGCTACATTTTCTTTTCCACAAAAAGAAAATAAATACGCCAGAATGAAAAATTACCTTGGAATGTGCTAGAGATTAAGATTCCTCATTCTGGAAAAAGATGAAAGCTAAGAGGAATTATGATAAAAGTCTAAAACTGGAAATACAAGTGGAGATGAAGCTCAATAAACTCCAGGCCTGCATTTTAGTTCTAGTTTAATCAGTAAATTGTTGTGTGACCTTGAGCAAGTCTCGTCACTTTATGTAGAAAGTGGAAATAACTCCTCATTCACCTCACAAGATACTTGTAAGAATCAATTGACAAAACAGATTTAAAGGTATTATAGAAACATAATCTCAGATGCCTAGAACCAGTCCCCTTGCCTTGAATCTCCATTGAACAAATATATTTATGTTTAGACAATAATTAATCTTATATGCAATAAGCAGATAAAACTCTTACTATTAAAGAAGGCCATGTGAAACAATGGGAAAATCATTTAACTAGGATCTGGGAGACTTGTATTCTAGATCAGGCTTCACTGTTGTCTAGCAGTGTCATTTTGAGTAAACTACTTAGTCCTTTTCAGATCCCTTCCAGTTTATAACATTCTATGATATATGATTTTATTACAAGGACATAGATGGAAAATCCATAATAATCATCTCAGGTTTCTGCTTAACCTGTGAGATTGATGTCAAGAAGGATTAAGTTTTCTACAAACCATCAGGTAAACTTGAGTCTCATTCCAATGGCATTTAAAAAATTACTATGAATGACTGGGTGCGGTGGCTCATGCCTGTAGTCCTAGCACTTTGGGAGGCCAAGGCGGGTGGATCACTTGAAGTCAGGAGTTTGAGACCAGCCTGACCAACATGGTGAAATGCCATCTCTACTAAAAAATACAAAAATTAGCCAGGTGTGGTGGCACATGCCTGTAGTCCCAGCCACTTGGTAGGCTGAGGCACGAGTCACTTTAACTCAGGAGGTGGAAGTTGCAGTGAACTGAGATCATGCCATTGCACTCCACTCTGCATGAAAGAGCGAGGCTCCATCTCAAAAAAAAATTATGGGTGATTTTAAATGCATACAAAAGTAGACAAAAACCCCATGCGCCTACTCTCAGATTCAATGATTTTCAGCTAATGGTAAACCTTGTTTCATCTGTACCTCAACCCACTCCCCCTACCTCAATGTATATTTTTATGCAAATCCCAGATATATCATTTCATGGCATTTCTTTTTTTAATTTTAAAGTTTGAGGTACATGTGCAGGACGTGCAGGTTTGTTACATAGGTAAACGTGTGCCACACTTCATGGCATTTCTAATGGGACATATTTAATTTTCACAATTGCCCTGTGAGGTAGGTATTACTGTTGATCCCACTATACACATGAAGAAATAGAGTCAATGGGATTAAATAATCCCAAGGTCACATAAACTGGTAAATTATTGAGCTGGGATTGGAATCCAGGTATGATGTTTGATACCAAAGCTCTTTTTTTTTCCTTAAAGTACTTGCTACTACCCTGTACTTTGAAATAGTTTGTTAGAGTTGAAAATAATAATAATGAAGGTGTTTTTATATCTTTGCAGCAAACTCTAATATTGAATATATGTACAGAGTATTAAAAGATTCCCACTAATTATTATGTTAATTATAAAACAAAACCTCTAGGAATTACAACTCCAGCATGGCACTAAGGGACAAAGAGCCACAGCAGCAAAAACTCATTGCTCTGAATCATTATGTAACATCTCATGTGATCCTCTTCATTACTTCATACCTTTATTTCATGCAACAATCTCCTCCAATAAATTAAACATGGTGGTAGTGTGGCAACCACAAATAATTTGTAACAATACAATTGGTCCTCATCCATGTTTTGTGCAACAGGTACTTAAGGGAAGAGACCTTGGCTCTTGAATAACTTTTCTACTCACTGCCTGAGCAGTGGCTCAGGAGCACCAAGACAAGGCATCCTAGAAGAGTCTTGGACCATTTCAGTTTGTAGAGCTCCAGAAAGTGAGGTTAATGCAGTAGCCAATTCAACGCTACACATCTATTCTAGGATCTAGCTACAAAATTAAGGAATAAGTATGTTATTATTCTTTTAGCACCAACTGTTATGTATATTTATCAGAACTAGTTTAACAAACAAGAAATAAATATATTCACATCACATCCCCGCCCATTCTAACTGAAGATGAAACAACCGCATCATTGAACGTATAGGAAGAAACAAGAGATGGAATAATTAGCTCCAAATAATCAAACTTAAATATATGCTCAGCATCATGTAGACCTTTCTGAAGATACTGTACTTTATTTGTGATGTACAATATTTCAAGAAAAATGGCAAATAGAAGAGAAATGCAGAAAAAAATGAAAGAAACTAGAGAAATAACCAATTTTTTTAAAAGAAAACAAAATGGAGCTAGATCAAGAAATGTAGATGATTACATCTGGCAAAAAGGGGGACAGGGAAAAAGAAAGCTGGCCTGATAATTGTCTTCAAAGGCACATTTAGGTATTTGGAGAAAGTAGAACTACTATGTCATTTACAGGACATCATGGTTAACTTAAAGGGGAACTTTCTGATGATAATCAAGTCTTTACCAAGACCCTACTAAATAGTCAACACTGTAGTAGATATTATGTGGGAAGGAGGGAGGAGGTAATACCAGAAGGAAGAAAACTTCATGGTCTCTGGCCTCTATCCTCAGTAAATTTGCAGTCTAGGTCAGATAGAGAAAACTGGCAGCCCACTGCAGATGTTGGCCTGGTTCTCATAGTGATGTTAAAGATTAAAACAGAAACATCTAACAACCTTTCAAATGCAGATTTCATGTTTTAAGAAAAAAATCCTATTTCTTGCTTTTCTAAAAAAGCTGAGAGATTTTATAATACAGAGTGTACATTGGCACAAGGGAAAAATTAGCTGGAGATGATCAACAGCTGTCCCCTTTAGACAGGGCATGCTTTTCTCATTTTACTGGGCCCTGGAGATTTAAGTTTGAGATCCCAGGTCCGTGTGATGAGAAACAATTATGCATAAAATAATAGCAATCAAATATTACAAGATAATAGATGCTGCATTGCTGGATTATGATTTGAGGCTATGAGCAATAATTGGGAGAGGAGGAGATTACTGAGAATGGAATAGTCAGAGAAAATTTCAAATAAATGGTTTGCTTTGAGGTGGGCTTTGAAGAACTACGACAGTCAAGAAGAAACAGAAAGGAAATCCAGACGAGAGGAAAAGTAAACTGCATACTCCATGAAGGCAAGGGTCCCACCTAAACTGATAGTTTACCTAACCTAAAGTGGTAAGTTTACCACTATCACCTCAGCTTCTAGCATGATGCTTCCAACTTTGTAGACACCCAGTAAATGACTGTGGAGTGAAGGAGAGTAACATAATTTTTAAAAGTGTTTTAAGGAATATATCCTTGCAGTGGTCCTCAGAGTAGAGAGGGCAGAAAGAATCAAAGTAGAACTAGAAGCTATTGGAATATTCTATGAGTACTGCGGTAAGAGCTTACATAGGTGCCATAATCTCAATATCTAGACTAGGGGTCAGACAGGTTAAGGCCACCTAGGCCAGATGAGTAATGTGGTGAACAAAAAATACAAGTACTGTTTTAAAGGGGAGGGAGGGAGAGGCTCATCAACTCTAGGCAATTATTGCCAAGAGAGAATGCTGGTTCAGTATCTTCTGATTAGTCAAAAGAAACTGGAATTGAAGAATTTTTGTTTTCTTTTGAGACGGAGTTTCACTCTTGTTGCCCAAGCTGGAGTGCAATGGTGTGATCTCGGCTCACTGCAACCTCCGCCTCCCAGGTCCAATCGATTCTCCTGTCTCAGGTTCCTGAGTAGCTGGGATTACAGGCATGCACCACCACACCCGGCTAATTTTGTATTTTTAATATAGATGGGGTTTTACCATGTTGGTCAAGCTGGTTTCGAACTGCTGACAGGTGATCCTCCTGCTTTGGCCTCCCAAAGTCCTGGGATTACAGGCATGAGCCACTGCGCCCGGCCTAGAATTCTAGAATTTTAAGGGAAATCTGATTTTGAAATATTGGCAATCAACCAACTTTTAAAAGTGTGGGACTAGGCAATTTGACACACTGCTATGAACTGACTTGTGTTGTGTCCACTCTCCAAAAAAAAATTAATAGGTAGAAGACCTAACCTAGTGACTATATTTGAAGATAGGGCCTTTAGGAAAGAAATTAAGGTTAAATGAGCTCATAAAGGTGAGGTTCTGATCTGATAGGATTAGTGTCTTTCTAAGAAGACACACCAGAGAGAATTCACTCTTTCTCCTCCCATTTGTACAAAGATCACATGAGTACAAAGTGAAAAGGTGGCCTTCTACAGGTCAGAAAGAGAGTCCTCATGAAAATCTGACCATGTTGGCACCCTGATCATGGACTCCCAGCCTCCAGAACTGTGAGAAAATACATTTCTGTTGTTTAAGCCACTCAGTCAATGGTATTTTGTTATGGCAGCCTGAGCTCTCTAATGCACTGCTTACAAAAGTTTTTATTGTTATTACAAATAACACTGCAAAAGTTTGGAAATAACTTAAAGATCAATCAACAGAAAACTGTTTAAAAATTTGTGGCTCATGCATATAGTAAAAACCTATGCAGTCATAAAAAAGAATGAGGCATTTAAAAAATGTGCATATATGAAAATATCTCCAAAGTATATTTTTAAGTAGACAAGCAAGTTGTAGAGAACAATATGCAGAATGTGTTACTATCTGTGTATAAAAGGTGAAGGGGATATATATATACACACACACACACAAACACACACACACACACACATATATATATAATAGAAACTACCTCATAAGGTTGCAGTGAAGAATAAGTGTGTTAATTTTGTAAACACTTAGAAGAAGGCATGAAAGTGAAGTAAGCAGTGAGAAAATATAGTTGTTGTGGTACTTACATATATACTAATATTATATATGTATTATATATAATATGAGCTCATCTAACCTTAATTTCTTTCCTAAAGGCCCTATCTCCAAATACAGTCACAAGCTTAGGTATTAGGTCTTCAATGTATGAATTTTTTTGGGGGGGATGGGGGGGTCACAATTCAGTTCATGTCAGTATGTCAAGTTGCCTAGTCCCACACTTTTAAAAGTTGATTGATAACCAGTATTTCAAAATCAGATTTCACTTAAATTCCTAGAATTCCAGTTTCTTTTGAATAATCAGAAGATACTGAACCATATATATATATATATATATATCCATCTATCTATCTATAGAAAACCAAACATGATTTCACATTATCTTTGAGTAAACAAATGAGCCCAATACTACAATGTTATTCACACACACACACACACACACACACACACACAAACATACTCATTGCTTGATATACACTAAATATCCCTGGAGAGATTCCTAATAAATAGATAACATTAGTTGCCTCCAGCGAGGCAAAATGGGTGGCTAGAGAACAGGAATAGGAGGGAGACTTTTTTCACCATGCACCCTTTAGTAAATACTGAATTTTGAGCCAGGCGGAATGCATTACCAATTGAAAATGCATGTTTTAGTTGAAAGTTTTTAAATTTTAGGGAAAACAAAACACGTGTGAGCTTTAGTTGGTCTGTAGGCTAATTGTTTGCACGTCTCGCCTAAATTAAGGTGGTGGCAGTTAGAATAATAATAAAGAAACAGATACCAGATACAAAGGGGAAAAAATACAACAGCCATTGGCATCTAATTAAATGAGAAAATGAGGAAGAGGGGAAAGGGACATGAGTACCACAACAGCTACATTTTCCCACTGCTTCACTTTCATGCCGCCTTCTAAGTGTTTACAAAATTAACACACTTATTCCTCACAGCAACCTTATGAGGTAGTGTCTATTATTATCCCCAATGCACAGATATGACAACTAAAGTACAGAGTTTAAATAAGTTCACCATTACTATGGTCATAGTAAGTTGCAGAACCAGGGAAGTGAAAGGAAGAGTCTTGAATGAGGAATGAGTGAAGAGTCCAGAGGTGATGATGGGCTGTATATTAGAAATGGTGAGTGTGAGGTTACAACAAAATGTCAAATTGCTAGTGATTTGAAATATCTGGATTGGGCTCTTGAGTTAGGTTATTGCTCCTTAATAATCCTAGAGCTTAGTTTGCCCACATCACATCTATTTTGTCTAAATACACAAATAACATCTTTTAGTATATTATACAGAACATCTAGCACCTTTCATATATTTAAATCCAGCTTCCTGTCCACTAATCTACATTCCACTTCTGCAAACACACAGCAGCATTTAAATAAAACAAATTTTTTTAAATAACAAAAATGATGAGACCGCAACTTATGAAACATATTAGATATCAGGCACTGAGTTCAATGCTTTCCTTACATTATTTATAATCACAAATTATCATGTCATTTTAGAGATGAGGAAACAGGCTAAATGATGAAACTCAGTTGAGGATAGTAAACATTAGCATATAAAAATCAGGAAGAGGTTGGGCACGTGGCTCATGCCTGTAATCCCAGCACTTTGGGAGGCTGAGGTGGATGGATCACCTGAGGTTGGGAGTTCGAGACCAGCCTGACCAACATGGAGAAACCCCGTCTCCACTAAA
This sequence comes from Homo sapiens, assembly GCF_000001405.40. Classification (NCBI taxonomy): domain Eukaryota; kingdom Metazoa; phylum Chordata; class Mammalia; order Primates; family Hominidae; genus Homo; species Homo sapiens. The sequence continues at coordinate 56,235,592 of NC_000023.11, read as the reverse complement.
AATACAAAATTAGCCAGGTATGGTGGTGCATGCCTGTAATCCCAGCTACTCAGGAGGCTGAGGCAGGAGAATCACTTGAACCTGGGAGGCGAAGGTTGCGGCAAGCCGAGATCACGCCATTGCACTCCAGCCTGGGCAACAAGGGCGAAACACCGTGTCAAAAAAAAAAAAAAAAATCAGGAAGAATACCAAACATGATCTCACACTGTCTTTGAATAAACAAATGAGCCCAATACTACAATGTTATTCCCTTATTCATACTCTACTTAACAATAAGATGGTAATCATACTAGATGATCATCTATGTCAATCATCCTAATTAAGTTTTCCTTCATTCACAAAATCATGGCATTGTAAAGCTAGATCTTAGAAGATCATATACTGCCCCCACCGCACCAGGCACAGACAATCTGGCAAGATCAAAAATGACTAGGCTCTGTTTGCTACTTTGGTTATTGGAATTCACTTAGCCAATGAGAACCCCACCTCAGAAATGCATGTATTAGAACAATGAGAGTGGTGATGGTAGTCTGCTACATGGTTATTTTTTTCCCAATTTCCAATGTGCCCTGAAAAGTCTAAACAAGAGGGATGTATAGCTCCTGAGGGCTCTGAAGGTACAGCCATTAAGTAAGTTGGTCTTGAGGGTGGACTACATAGATGCACCTGTCATTTTTACTTTTGAGGTTATTATTTCTACTCTTCCTATGTTTTCTGCCTGTCTGCCCTCCAGGCTTACCTGAAGACATTGCTCCCCACCCATTCTCTGTGTCCCCAGCAGTCACCAAAGGTCAACAACTCTCAAGGGCTTCCCCATAACTCTGAAGAATGGGATGAGGTCATTTACCTATCACTTGTTTCTGTTGTCCAAAAGTCCTGTTGGTTATATCATTCTGGTTAAGTTGCCCAAAGAATGAGAGAAAAGGCAGGCTAGTAGCCCTTTCTTTCAGAAGTGATGAAGTCTGGTGGAAACAATGTTAAATCAGAAGCAAATAAAACCTGTGTTCTAGCCTCAGCCTTTGGACAAACTAATTCAGTCTTCCTAAGTTTCGTTTTACCACATCTGGAAGGTGTTTTAAGGACAGAAAAACACTAATTTTATCAGCAGTGGTCCAGAAAAATAGTTCCAAACTGAGTAGAAAAGGGAAGTTGAACTAAGATACAAGTGGCAGCCTCTGCCACATACACAAGATATTTCATCCACCCGAGTATCTACTGAGATAGAATTATTAATCTGCATTCTATGGAAGAGAAAAGCAAGGCCCAGGGTGATGCAGCTAATAAGTGGTGATACTAGGGTTTCAAAGCAGATTACCCCAAACCATGGCAATCTCCATCAGTTTCAAATCCAAATTTAAAGATTATTCTTTTTGCTCAATTATTACCACACTGGGTGACAGGTGCTTAATAAATGCGTTTCTTCACGATGAATATAATACCAAAAGAAATAAGACATGGTGCCTTTGGCCACCTGTTTGGATGTGATTTATTTTTTCCCAAATTCTTAGGGTTAAAAAAAAAAGCCCACAAAAAGACAGCTCCGCCAAGTGGCTAAACAAATGGATTCACTTCAGCAATCACAGCAACTCGGCCCAGTCAGTCTTCCACCTACACAGACGAACCAACTGCCTTGGCCACGTCTTAAAGGGCCGGAGCAGAGCCTAGGCTCTGGCTTCCTTCTCCAACCAAGCTCAGCCCCTCCTTAAAGAGCTGGCACGCCCAAAGCAGCTCCTCCCCCGCAGCTGCTTCCAGGCCTCACTCTGTGCCTCCAATAGCCTAACTTTGCACCTTAAACCACTGTCCCCTCCTCCTTCTTTTCAGAAGCTTCTCTAGGTACCCGCTATGGCTTCAGGGGGTTACCTGGGAGCTTTGGCCTTGTGAATCCTGTTCTCTCTGGTTGTGACTTTGGCTGTGTGGGGTTAAGTCAAAGACAATCCTTACCGCTTAAGGAGTATTGGGAGTGCCGAGCCAGGGGAGACTAGACTAGACAAATCCATCCATTCTTGCCCCCTTTCACTTCTTCCACCAAGCTCTCTCCTCTCCTTCTTGGCCTTTCTTTGCCCAGCCCTTTAGCAAAGTCATTTTCCCTTGAGTTTCATTTGATTCCACATAGTGTTCTTAACCTTCCGCTCCCGCCCCCACTGCTGAAACCCCAAGTGGGGTGTGTGGGGGGAGCAGGGGGACTGGGAGGGGGATAGAATCTAGACGAAAGAGGTGGGAGTGGGTGGGTATTAGTCCCAGAGTCACTTACCGACCATGTCACTAGCTGAGGACTCCTGAAGTGTCCAGAACTCATGCCGTCCTCCGGGAGGCTCATACTCCTGAGCTGATCGCAAGAGAGCTGTTCCCCTCACACCCGCCCCATTCTGACATAGCGCAGGGCGACGCGTTCTCGTCTTCTCGTTCTTGGGCCCCCACTCCCCTATTTCTCCGGGCTGGAAAATGAGGAGGGGGTCGAAAGGGGAGGGAGTCGATTCAGACCCAGCTGGGCCACTCTCGGAACAAGGGAAACAAAGCTCTCAAGCATCCAACCCAAAAATCAGGGGCCGGCAGAGTAGACTTCCTAAAAAGAATCCTCCCCCCTGCAGCTTTTCCTTGGACAAAAATAAAGTGGGTTCGCTGGGCCGAAGTGGCCAGAGCTTAAGGTCCTCCGTTCCCCTTTTACCTCTACCAATTCAGTTCCGGCCAAGCCCGCTCTCCACCCATCCTCTGAACTCCACACACCCTTTAAAAGGAGAGGGCCGGGGGTGGGGGCTATGAAAACCAACCCAACCCCCAAAGCGCTACTTGAACATAAAGTTGAGGCGGAGAAGAAATCCTTCAAGACAGGAACCCACGAGGAGATACCACAAGAGGATCCCTTCACCGCCGCCGTTGCCGCCGCACACCCCAGCGCCTTCCTAAAAAGAAAGAAGGGAGGAAAAAAATGCCGACGATTGGTAGAATCATAGAGAAGAACACCAGCCCCAGGGCAGGGGCTTCAGCGAAAAATGGCAGCAACTCGTGCGGGTCCTCTGGGGCGGGGTTTCTTGGAGGCACCTAGCTGCCCCACGGGGTACCTCGCGCCCCACGCGAGTCAGAACCTAAAGTGCTCTCTGGGCAACCTGAGTGGGTAGAGTGATTCCGTCTTTCTCTGGCCCTGCTAGGCCCAAAGGAGAGGTGTGACTATCGTGAGGACTCCACCTAGGGTGGAGTTCCTTAAAAAGGACAGGCGGCCGCTAGAGGAGAGTGCAAAGTGGGAGGAGGTGGAGAAGGGTGGGGCTGAGAAGGAGGAGGGAGGAAGGAGGGGGTGGGGCGGGGCCCTGGGCCGACAGAGCTGGCCTCGCCTCCGGCGGCCGCCTCCCTCAGCCTCCAGCAGCGGCAGGTATAATTCCAATCAATTTCACTTCCTTATCTGTCCCAAAATTAAGGCTTGCAAGCACACTGCTTGATTACCTATTTACTCCGGTTATGCTAATTCTCCAGGGGAGGGTGGTGAAACGGGTACTGGGATTGGGGCTGGGGGCTGTCTAAGAGGGAAAGGAGAAAACAAAAAAGCTGACAACTGGAAGCGATATTTATCCTCCTACCTCTCCATGGTAACACGAACAAGGACAGCGAGGTCACAGTGTCTTCTCAGGGAGGAAGCTAAAAGGAACGGAGATTGGAGCTTGGTGCATTTTCTAGCAAGAGATAAGCCAAGGAGGTGAGGGCGAAGGAGTAGGTGGGGAAGAAGAAGGAGTTGAAGATGATCTGTGAATACAGCGTGGCCCAGCAGGGAGACTTAAGAAAGGCTTTCTCAGTCTCCCAGATACCAGACCTCTAAGAATAGAGTTCTCAACCCCCTGAGACCGCCTCTCAGCCAGGCATTGGCGAAGATCCCCGTAAAGCTGAATCCACAGGATAGGAGCCATGTTTCCAGGATTTCTTTACGCTTGCCTGAAAGTCTCTCTCTAGCTCATTTTAATGGGAGGCCAGGAAGTCACAAGCAACCACAGCCCATTTTCAGTGCCTCTTCCCTACCACAATTCTTTTAAAGAGGAGGAAAAAGAAGAGAGACAAGAAACAAAGCAGAGGGAGGAAGAGCAAAGAGACAGGAGAAATAATAATATCTGCCATGTATTCAGCACCTAATATGGGCAAGTCCCTGAGCCAGGTGCTTTTACATTCAACATTTCCCCATTTAGTCCCAATAACAACCCTGGGAACTAGGTACTGTTATATTCTCTGTGCCCTTTATTTAAAAAAATAAGGAAACGGAAGGCCTCAGCCCAGTACTTTCGAACACATAGGTCTACTTACTTAGTTGATATTTCTGCCTGAATGTCTTCTGTGCATCTCATCTACCTTCCTTTCCCCAAAACACTCTGTTCTTCCTCCTGTAGTTCACCAACTACCTGAATGGCACCACCATACATCCAAGGCAGCACCCTGGAACTCATCCTTTAACCTGCTGTGATCTGGCCTTTGTCTGCCTCTCAAGCAGCAGAGATTTTGCTGTTCTCCTGGGCTTTACCTGGATTACAAATCCCTGGGAATTCCAAGCTGTTTCCAATCTCTATGCCTTGGGTTGCTTTACTTTCTCTGACTGAAATAGACTAAGCTCTCTGTCCACCTTTTTTTTTCTTGCATGTCCTTCCAATGAATCTGTCCACTTTCTTGAAAGGACTAACTCAAGGTCATCTCCCCTCCTTACTTAATTTCTTCAGGCAAAACTGACCATTGCTTCCTCTGTGCCCTTCTCTACCTCGGGGCACATATTTGTTGGTATAATTGCCTCCCCCTACTAAACTATAAAGTCCTTGAGCTGAAGCACCAGGCGATCTCATTTCTGTAACTTGGATGCCAAGTTATATTATTATTAACAATAATAATAGTTATTGAGCATTAACTATGTACTAAACTCTGTTGTAAGCCTCTTATGTATATTAACTCATTGAATCCTTCTGACAATCCTATGGGTAGACATTGCTATCCCCATTTTACAGATGTGGAAACTTAGTGACAGGTTAAATAAATACACATGCATATGTATTTGTTTCATAAAAGAATGTCCCTGTAGTAGGGGTTTCATAAATAACTCTCTATCTCACTATATCTCTTCACCACGACCTGCACCCCTGCCAAGCTTACAAGGTAAGATATATTGAGATGGAATCATACAGAGAAGTGTACAACTCTCTATGCCTTCATTTAAAAAATTTACTTTATTCCTTGGAGGCTTTGTTTCTCAATGTATAAAATTTGGGGAGTATTATCCAATATAGGATTCTTACCACTACAGCACTGTTTTGAGCAATGCTGAAAAGTTTTCTCTTAGATTCAAGTGTGTGAAAGACATTAAGCAGTTTATATCAATAATAAATGCATTTTTGTGATGTGCAGATGAAAATGAGTAGATTGCTGAAGTAACATTTTGAAAAGAGTAGCCACTACTAGCCCTGAATACAGTGGGTGTGCCTTAAGGTCATCGAGTTACTTTTTCAGTCTGAAATAGCTTTTCAAGAAGGTCGATCCATACACAGATAGCTTAACAGTTTATATTTTATTAAAAGTCTTTATTGTTGACAAATTTATTTTAAGCTCTAGCTTTTTGTTTGTTTTAGAAATACTGCCTCAACTTTATTTGTGGGGAAAACTTAGACCTTAGATGGCAAATTCAGTTTTTGGAAAACTTGAAGTTATTGAAACTTGGAAAAACAAACCCAAGATCCTTTCCCATCTGTTCTTTCATCTATTCAGTCAATAAAATGTATTGAGCACCTGTGCTTTATCAAGAACAATGCTAGGTGTTGGGGGGCGGTGGAATGAGAACATCCATTCTAAGAGGCTCCAGTGGATGAACCCTCAATTTCACTGTACGCACACAGCCTATTAGTCCACATTTCCCCTTCAAGTCCTTTAGAGATGGCCTCTGTCTCACTCAAATTAGGACCCAAAGATGGTTCACAGGGAACTATGAAACCCATGACCACAGTTAATGTCAAAGGCAGGAGTTTGCCTTTATATTCTTTTACTCTTGACACATAGAAATAATCAGCATGTGGTTGGTGTTGTCTATGTCACACGAAAGGGTGTGAGGGAGCAGGTATGGGGAACTAGAAGTTTTGATAAATTTCCCTGTCCGTCTAGGAAACACCTCAGGCTCTCCTTTCTTTAGCTGGCTAGAATAAACATGAACCAAATAGCAACCTGCGATATTTTCAACTCCTTCCATCCCACCTTATGCGTGAGGGAGACTGCTTGAAGAAGCAGCCTGTGCTTTCCTCTATATATCCAAGTAATCAGATGAGGAGTGTTAAATTAAGTGTGGAACCTAATGAAAAGCAGCTGAGAAATATGCAGACACGATTCTGGGCCCACATATGCTGTTCTTCCCTTCTTCTCTTTCTCCTCTTCATCATCCCGCTTCTCCTCCTCCTGAAAGCCAGCTGACAAACTACCAGGGTGGAGCCCAGTCTGAGGGCTGGAGGGAAGGGAGGAGGAAAAGCCTCAGTAAGAGGACTCCACCCTCTCTGCTCCCAGTAGAACAACAACAATAAAAAAAAGAAGGCTTGAGAAGCTGGGCCTGACAGGAAGGTGGGGCAGAATAGGGCAAAGTGAGGAAGGGTGGGTAGATGGGAGGGGAGTTAGGACCTCAGCTGGGTAAAGCTGGGCTGGGGAATGAAAGGGAAGTCAAGCAATATACAAACAGAAAAATCTGCATTCATTAAATCACTGTTGTTTGTGGAACAACAAAAATGTAGCTAAAACCAGGGCATAGTTCAGACCTAGTGGGAACAAAATTGTCCTCCTCACCCACTTTTCTTCTTATTCCACAGTTCCCCAGAGAGCATATTCCTTCTGCGAGCTCAGCTAGAAGGAGACCTTTTGCCCCTCCGCTAATGTTGAACCAGTGTTAAGTTCCTCACATGTCCCAGAGGACAGCACTAAGGTTACTGCCAGCAAAGGATAAAGATATTTTGGAGAAGGAAATCTAGTTAGCTGAGAGAAGAAAGCCTGGAAGGAGATTGCGGGGATAAAACAATGATTTAGATTGCAAACTGTGCAACCCTGGGCAAGTGCCTTCACATCTCTAAACATTTCCTCACCTATTTCTTTTAAAGATATTACTTCACAGAATTGTCAAAAAGATTAAATAAGATGCAGAGGTGGCTTTACAGTAAAATTAATGAAGCTTAAGCTTTACGCCCCTTTCCAAGACTCCAGAAGGGATCAAACATTGTGTTTTTCTTAAAGATGGTCCCCAAAGTGGTATAAGCTTCCAGCCCCACAAAACCTAGATTGGCCGCCAATGAGATTATAGCCTACAAAGCACAGTGTCTGGCACAAAGAAAGCTCTCAATAAAGGTTAACTAATATTCATAGCAATGGCAACTGTGAAAACTACCAGCTTTAGGTTGAGTCTCTTTCTGGTCATAGATATTGAGAACATGCTCCTGTGTTCCCCATAACCCTTGCCACTGTATGTATAAATAAACCAGTTTATAAAAATCAGCAACTAAACTGCTTGCTTGAGACATTCAGAGGCATGATTAAATTTGGTTTAGGAATGGCCAATGGGCCAGAAACATGTGGCCAGGGTTTGAAATTCTGGCACCGCACCATCCCAGACAAGCTCTAGCAGGCCTGCTGAGTCCTATAAATTTAGTTGTGCCTCAGGCTGCTATCTTTATGAGCAAGGAGCTTGACTAGGTGTGTGTGTGTGTGTGTGTGTGTGTGTGTGTGTGTGTGTGTGTTGGGGCTAGGGGGTTGAGTATGTATGGGTTTTTAACTCCATTTTAGACCCTAGATACCACCACACCCATAAATTGGAGGAGGGAAGAGGGAAGAGACTTTATAATCAACAATCAAGTCAAACCAGAAAAACTGCACCTGCAGAAAAGGGATAACATCCTTGGCCTTGTCCCCAAAGTGTATATTCCTGAGTCAGGGCAAGAGTCTATTGTGTATACAAGAAAAAGACTTGCAGGCTGGGCACCGTGGCTCACGCCTGTAATCCCAGCACTTTGTGAGGCCAAGGCGGATTCATCACGAGGTCAGGAGTTCGAGACCAGCCTGGCCAATATGGTGAAACCTGGTCTCTACTAAAAATACAAAAATTAGCCAGGCATGGTGGTGCACACCTGTAGTCCCAGCTACTCAGGAGGCAAAAGAATTGCTTGAACCCGGGAGGCGGAGGTTGCAGTGAGCTGAGGTCGCACCACTGCACTCCAGCCTGGGCCACAGAGTGAGACTCTGTCCAAAAAAAAAAAAAGAAAAAGACTTGAATTACTGCTTTAATATTAAACAAATAAATATATGAGATTGTCTAAGGAAATGCATAAATAGAACAGGAACTTTTTTATCACTGAGCTAATCCAGAGAGGCGCCAGGGCTCTGAAGGCCCCCAAAGGCAAGCTCATGCTTATCATCCTTGTGTTACTTACCACAAGCAGCTCTCACTTCCCCAACAGAGGGGTGGTATCCATCTTTCACTGTCCCCTAAGCCAACAGGAGATTGGCCTTCACCCTTCTTCCCATTGCAGTCTTATCACTTCCCTCAGAAAGTAAAAGGGAGAGAATAAAGAGGGTGGGGAGGATGTCTTTGGTGCTTTCTTAAAACCTTTCTGCCAATACACCTATTGAAGTACTGCAGCCTCATTTTTCATTTCCTCTGTCCTTTGTTTGCCCAAATGGCCTTGCATTGTGGTAGTCCTTTTCTCTCAAGTCAATACCACAAATATAGTTGGAGCAGTTTACCCTGGAGCCACAATAACAGGATATTCCCTTCTCAAGTCAGGCCAGCAGGGTATTTAAAAGAGTAAGCCAGGCAGATTAGCAGTAGTGATTTACTTCCTAAGGTGAAATAAATTATTTGATCCAAGATAAGAGTCTAATTAGTATGTTATGGGGATATAAGCAACGATACCTGTTTACATGATATAAACACACAACTAAATGGCCAGGAGTATGTGAACAAGTGGGGAGAATATACACAAATATACTGAAAATAAAACAATGCATACATACATACTAGCAAGATTTAGTCACCCAATCACAGAATGTTGGTGTAGGAAGGACTCAAAGAGGTTATTTCATCCAGTGGCATTCATACCAGGTGATTTAGGTGGTACATAGATAAATATTTTCTAATAGTATATATTTATCTGTATGGTTACCTTCTATTTATGGAGAGTAAAACTAGCTTTCCATTTATGGTAATGCTATTTTTGATGAAATTTACTTAAGTAAAACATGTCAGTGTATTTAAAGAAGCATATTAAGTAAATAATGATATAGGTAGTACTCAGATATGGTCTAAATCATGAAGTTAAAACATAAATAATTGAACTTTAGCAAACCATGATTGAATTAAATTCTACTCCCAATTCAGGAGTTCCCTTATTTAGACACCTAGATCTAGAGGAGAGTCTAACCCCGAAATCAATAAATATGAAGCAACCTTGCCCCCTCCTCCTGTGCCCATGGCAGAATTGTGAACAGAACATGGCATTTTTCCACTGAGCCTAGGTGAAGCCTTCTACTCTTCTTCCTTGAACCTCCAGTTTGGGCTAATGGGCCCTCTTCTGACTCTTACAGCACTCTGACATATTTCTCTCAGAGGGCTCACTGCAATGTAGTATACCTCTCTTTTTATGTGGCAGTCTTATCCATTTGACTGTCAGCTCCTTGAGGCCAGGAGTCTAATAGTAGTTCAATCATCTTTATGCTTTCAACTCTGAACACACTGCCTGTCATATGACAAGTAATAAAAGTTTGTAGAATGGAATAATTTAGAGCTGCAAATGCCTGGATGTGAATACTGACTTCGCCACTTACTAACTGTGTGACCTAGGACAAGTTACTTAACCTATCTGGGCCTCGGCTTCCTCCTTTGTAAAGTGAGCATAATGATAGTACTTACCACACAGGATATTGAGAGAATTAACTTAATACATGTACATAAACATGCTTAGAGGAGTACTTGCCACAGACTAAGCACTGTATAAATTTTTGCTATTATTTTGTTGAACTGAAATATGCCTCTTTGATATTTCCACCTATTGGTCCTGTGACTCATCCCTGGAGAAACATAGAACAAGTCTATTCCTTCTATGTCATGATCCCTCAAAGGTCTCACCTTCTGTCCTCTCCCATAAATTTGCCTGATTGCATAATCTATCTCTTGCATAACATAGTTGTCATACCCCCTTACCACCTATTAGTTGGTTGATCAGAGAAAAATAATAAAGACCCCTAGGCCAGGGATGCCATCTCACAGAGACCAAGGTGCTTTACCATATAGTTTACCAGGTAAACAAGTGCAAGGGTGAGAATAAATGTCTCTATTACCAGAAAGCCAGAGATGGAAACAAAGGACGGTCACCCCAGATTTAAATATAATAATGAAAAAATTGAAAAGATCTAAATGTTTAATAATAAGATATTGGGTAACTAAATTATAGTACACCCATATGATTGATGCACTGCTAGGGTCTAAGTATATGTGTGCCCTTCAAATTCATATGTTGAAATCTTAACTCCCAATGTGATGGTATTAAGAGGTAGGGCCTTTTGGAAGGTGATTAGGTTATGAGGGCTCCACCTGCAAAGATGAGAATAGTGTCCTTATAAAAGGGCTTCAGGGAACGAGTTCACCCCTTTTTACCCATCTGTCCCTTCCTACATGTGAGGAGGCAGTGTTCATCCCCTCTGGAGGATGCAGCAACAAGGCACCATCTTGGAAGCAGTGAGCCCTCACCAGACACCAAATCTGCTGGCACATTGATTTTGGACCTTCCAATCTCCAGAACTGTGGTAAATAAATTTATTTTATGTATAAATTACCAGGTCTGGGGTATTTTGTTATAAGAGCAGGAACAGAGTAAGAGATAGACATTATATAGCCATTAAAATTTAAGTTTTTCAAGAATTCTCAATCACTACAGAAAATATTTGTATAATAATATTAAGTGTAAAAACAGGACATAGTATAGTTACACTATCATTTACATTTTATTAGACCGACACACATGCCATTCAACTTTGCCACAGAAACAAACACAGTTTAGCATTAAAACAAAGGATAGCTAGTAGGATTATAAGAAAATTTTATCTTACTTAAAAATTTTTCTATAAAGATCATGTATTGCTTTTATAATAAAAAAATCAAGTTGGACATAGTACTGTAGTTGTAGGTAGCTGAAGGATTATGGTGGTTTTTATTTCCTTTATTATACTTCTTTGTTTTTCAAATTTTCTATGACAAATTTGTAGTTTTGATATAATTAGATAAAACAAGATGAACTGTTTTTAAAGCAACATCTTATCATACTGTTCATTTACCTAGGTCATATCAGCTTCAGGAAAGAATACTCAAGGAGCACAAGTATGTAATACTAGTAACAAGACCCACCATAACATTTCTTACCTGCACTATCTAAATGACCTCCTAATTGGTCTCCCTAACCGTTTCTGCCCTCATGCACTGCAGCTAAAATTTACCATTCCAAAATCAGAAATTTCTCAAAGGTGTCTCATTGCCCTCAAGATAAAAACTAAGCCAGACGCCATGGCTTACTCCTGTAATCCCAGCACTTAGGGAGGCAGAGGCAGGAGGATAGCTTGAGCCCAGGAGTTCAAGACCTGCCTGGACAATATAGTGAGACCCCATTCTCCACAAAAAGAAAAAAAAAGACAAAAAAATAACAAACAGGTGTAAGATAAAAACTAAAATCTCTTAATGTGATCTACAAAAAACAACAACAAAAAAGCCTTCAGAAATAGCTTGTGCTTTTCTCCCTAGAGATGAGTCTCCCCAGCCAGGATTTGCCACTTGCTCAAGACAATGCTTTGCAAGGCAAAGTACACAAATCCTGGCTACATCTTTCTCTCTGCTTAGAAATTTGGCTTAGTAATAATAATCACATTTTGTAATTAGGTATGTTATGTATTTGTGTGATTATTTTTTCTATGCCTATCTCTCCCACTAGAATCCTTACTGTGAAGGCAGAATCTAGGTGAACTTTACCCACAAATGTGATCCATTGTTTGAAAGAGAGTAGTTGCTCAATAAATATTTGCTAAATTCACCGACTGGCTAACTAAATGATATCCTCATTTGCTTTTTATTGCAGTGTTCATGTCTGATTTCTCTGATCTACAAAGCTCTGAATGTGCTGGGATGGCAAGGGGCCATAGTATTGGGGGTAGGTTAGATTGTAGTAAGTTATTTATTCCTATTAATGATAATTGGAGTAAGAGTTTGAGGCTGAAATTAGTCTACATTTCTGTAATAATAACTAACGTGAATAGTGTGCTTGCTGTGTGCCAGTCATTGTTCTAGGTGCTTCACATGTAGTAAGCTATTTAATTCCTATGAGTACCATTATCCCCATTTTACAGAGGAGAAAATTGAGGCAGAGAGAAGTTAAGTGAGTTTGCCAAGATCACATAACATATCACTCCTTTCAGTTGTTTTGATTGTAGCGGGGTTCAAAGAACATGGACCATAGTGAGAGGTGACAGCCTGCTGGCAGCCCTCGCAGCCCTGGCTCGCTCTTGGCGCCTCCCTGGCCTCCGTGCCCACTCTGGCCGCACTTGAGGAGCCCTTCAGCCTGCTGCTGCACTGTGGGAGCCCCTTCCTGGGATGGCTGAGGCCAGAGCCAGCTCCCTCAGCCTGCCGGGAGGTGTGGAGGGAGAGGCACAGGCGGGAACCGGGACTGCACACGGCGCTTGCGGGCCAGCTAGAATTCCGGGTGGGCGTGGGCTGGGCTGGCCCCGCACTCGGAGCCGCCGGCCAGCCCCGCTAGCCCCGGGCAGTGAGGGGCTTAGCACCTGGGCCAATAGCTGCTGTGCTCGATTTCTCGCCCGGCCTTAGCTGCCTCCCCGGGGGCAGGGTTCTGGACCTGCAGCCCGCCATGCCCTGCCCCCACGGTGGGCTCCTGCGCGGCCCAAGCCTCCCCAACGAGCGCCGCCCCCTGCTCCACCGTGCCCAGTCCCATCGACCGCCCAAGGGCTGAGGAGTGCAGGCCCACCATGTGGGACTGGCAGGCAGCTTCACCTGCACCCTGCTGCTAGATCCACTGGGTGAAGCCAGCTGGGCTCCTGAGTCTAGTGGGAGCTTGGAGAACCTTTATGTCTAGCTGGGGGATTGTAAATGCACCAATCAGCACTCTGTGTCTAGCTCAGGGTTTGTGGACACACCAATCAGCGCCCTGTGTCTAGCTCAGGGTTTGTGGATGCATCAATGGGCACTCTGTATCTAGCGAATCTGGTGGGGACTTGGAGAATCTTTATGTCTAGATAAGGGATTGTGAATACACCAATCGGCACTCTCTATCGAGCTCAAGGTTTGTAAATGCACCAATCAGCACTCTGTGTCTAGCTCAAGGTTTGTAAATGCACCAATCTGCGCTCTGTGTCTAGCTATCTAGTGGGGACTTGGAGAATCTTTATGTCTAGCTAAGGGATTGTAAATACACCAATCAGCACTCTGTATCTAGCTCAAGGTTTGTAATCACACCAATCGGCACCCTGTGTCTAGCTCAGGGTTTGTAAATACACCAGTGGACACACTGTATCTAGCTAATCTAGTGGGGAGGTGGAGAACTTTTGTGTCTAGCTCAGGGATTGTAAACGCACCAATCAGCACCCTGTCAAAACGGACCAATCGGCTCCCTGTAAAACAGACCAATCGGATCTCTGTAAAATGGACCAATCAGCAGGATGTGGGTGGGGCCAGATAAGAGAATAAAGGCAGGCTGCCCGAGCCAGCAGTGGCAACCCCCTCCGGTCCCCTTCCAAACTGTGGAAGGTTTGTTCTTTTGCTCTTTGCAATAAATCTTGCTGCTGCTCACTCTTTGGGTCCACACTGCCTTTATGAGCTGTGACACTCGTGAAGGTCTGCAGCTTCACTACGGAAGCCAGCGAGACCACGAACCCACCGGGGAGGAACGAACAACTCCAGATGTGTCACATTAAGAGCTGTAACACTCACTGCGAAGGTCTACAGCTTCACTCCTGGGCCAGCGAGACCGTGAACCCACCAGAAGGAAGAAACTCCGAACACATTCGAACATCAGAAGGAACAAACTCCTGACACGCTGCCTTTAAGAAGTGTAACACTCACCGCGAGGGTCCGCAGCTTCATTCTTGAAGTCAGTGAGACCAAGAACCCACCAATTCCTGACACAATAGGACATGACATGGATCCTCAGAAATGAACCCTAGAGGTCTGGATAAGGAACTATTATAAACAAGTTTTGCCAAATGAAAATCCTTTTTGCATGTTCATATTTGTCCTTGGCCACTCTGTGTTGGAATAAGGCCAGGGGAGGCGCCTCTAATCATGACCGAAGTAGGAATAAAACAGGAGGCACTTTTCCAAGGTGACCAAAAAAAGCCATTTGCTGTAGAACTATTTTTTAATTTAAAGTTTACTTCAGAACTAGTTCTGATGATTCCAGCCAGTATTATTTTTTCCCATTTTAGAGCTCCAGAAATGCACAGATTTATTTTTTCCATGAAATAATCAATATGGCTTATTATGCTTATGTGCAAGTAAGGAAGTATAATTTAACTTAAATTATTTTGCCGAGAATATAAATTAGTATATTAAAAATGGAAACCCAAAATGTCAGATTCTTTATTCAGATAACTATATAAACTATGACAAAGCACAGAATAAAAACATGAGAATTGTATAATACACATTTGTGAGAGAAACATGAACACATTTGATAAAATAAAAGGCTTATGTGAATAATAGCACTTTTTTTGTGAAAAAGAAGTGCCTCTCAAAGAATTAAGAGTCTATGACAGCACTTAAAACTTCAGTATCTGGGCTGGGCACAGTGGCTCATGCCAGTAATCCCAGCACTTGGGGAGGCTGAGGCGGGCGGATCACTTGAGGTCAGGAGTTCGAGATCAGCCTGGCCAACATGGTGAAACCGGTCTCTACTAAAAATACAAACAGAATTAGCTGGGTGTGGTGGCGCATGCCTGTAGTCCCAACTACTCGGGAGGCTGAGGCAGGAGAATCGCTTGAACCTGGGAGGCGGAGGTTGCAGTGAGCCGAGATAAAGCCATTGCACTCCATCCTGGGCGACAGAGTGAGACTTTTTCTCAAAAAAAAAGAAAAGGAAAGAAAAAAGAAAGAAAAAAACCCACGAAAAACAAAAGCAAACCAACTTCAGTATCTTATGGTTCTCACACTTTAGCATGCATAAGAATTCCTGGGAGTTCTTGATAAAACACAGATTGCAGGGTCCCACCTCCAGAGTTTCTGATAGAGTAGGTCAGGGGTGGAACCCAATAATTTGCATTTGTAACAAATTCCCAGGTGATGCTGATGTTGCTATTCTGAGGACTAATAGCAATGATTGCAATTCTTGGAGTACTAATGGCCTAGGTCTTGCTCTTTAGGGAATAGGAATATATATTCTGTTATTCTATTATTGCTCTACAGGTGTTATAAACCGACAAGTGATCCACAGGAAGTACATTTTGTAGATCTTTAGCGCAAGGAATATTTTCTATCTTTAATTTTTTACATCTCCATTTTATGAAAGCATCTAATAATAATAGCTATCAAATTAGCACTATACATGCATTACTTCATTTACTCCTCAGTACAACGTTGAGATTCCTATTTTACCCTGAATAGGAACTGAGTTATTATCCCTGTTTTATAGCCAAGTACATACCAGATTGTAATCTCTACTGCCCCCCAATGTTCAGAGTTAGTCTCAACCTTTTACCAGTTTTTCTTTTCTTTTTTTGAGACAGTCTGGCTGTGTTGCCCAGGCTGGAGTGCAGTGGCACAATCTCAGCTCACTGCAACCTCTGCCTCCTGGGTTCAAGCGAGTCTCCTGTCTCGGCCTTCCCAGTAGCTGGGATTACAGGCACGTGCCACCATGCCCAGCTAATTTTTGTATTCTTTCAACAGTTCTGAATTGAAGTAGGGGGGCAAGGATGGGAAAAAGTGGGAGAAGGTGAGGACATTGGGGAGAGGATAGGGGTCAGCAGGCATCTTCAGCACTGGTCCCTATCTGAATATTTCTGGACACTAGCCTCGTGATAGCTAAGAAGCACTTTTATTTTCATTTTTTCCATTTATGGAAGTTATTTTTAGTATAGGTCAAGAAACAAGCCTGGCGCTTTAGCAATGGCCCATTCCCAGTTGCTAATATTTAGGGCTCAGAACCTCTTGATTTTAATAGTCTCTATGCCCGCACAGACCCCTCCTGCTGGAGAAACTGTCATAATTGGCCACTAATCATCTGTGTTTAATGATACTCTACTCCTCAGAGAGGCCTCAAAAGAGGTTTCTTTCATGGACTATCACAGATGGGTCCTGAAAAATCACTTGGTCAAGGCCTCAAATTCCCAAAAGTTACTAAATTTAAACTTCGCCTTTATTGCCAAATCACAACATTGAAATAATATTTCTTTTTTTCTGAAAGAATATTTCATCATACAAATTCAAACGTGGAGCCTATGATTGGACTACACGTACTTCTACAGCACATTATGACATTTATATTTATATATAAGAATATTTTTATCATCTTGTAAATAGAATTCTATTATGTGTGCTTGTTAAAAAAATGTTGTTTTGTTTAGTGTGAAAATTTAAAATATGCCACAATTTTGAAGACACTATTTTTGATAATTCATTTAAAAAATATTATGAGAATCTCAACAAAAAGAAGTAACACAAATTCCTTTGACCACTGTGAGGTCTTGGCCTCATGCTGTTAACCTCTTCCCTAAACCAAATGGATTTTTTAATCTCACATCTCTACTTTCTCAAGGTGAGAGCCTAATCTAATCCTCAAAAAGCCTTTTACAGCTATACAAATCTGAGTGGATAGTTTCTGAGAAGGAGATTTGCCCCTTTGGGACCTAGTGTAAAATTAAAAAGTTGAATTTTTCATTGGTTTTTAAACCTTCCTTACTATTTATGACTAGTTACTGTAAAGCAAGATAGCAATTGTATGTATCAGTAAACATGTGTTAGGTTAACTTTTATGTTCTAAGTTTGACTATATCACTAGTACATGATGGGTTCCTTTGACTGTCATAATATATTGCTCAGATGGAATGATGATCTGCTTATAATAAAAGAGAGGAGTTACTGGTTTTAAGAGGAGACTGGTGATATGTTTATTGCCAGTTTTGTACACAGGAAACAGTCAATTTATTTAGGAGTTCCTATCACAGAACATGTTTTGAACCAGCGAAAGGACTGTTTTTATCATACCCCAAGATATATCTGTTACTGAGCAGGACTGTGCTCTCCATCACTCTAACCCGGACCTCTTGGCTCAGCTCCCAGAACTCTAGCCTAAGTATATTACCTCACTATCTCCTGCTTGTAGTAGGGGTGAGTTTACATACTTTATCTGATATTTCAGACATTTATAGAGTTCTAAAATAATTTAATCAAAAACATCAAAGTTCTTTTATCCCTGCCCCTTGGAACAGGTTATCTTTGGATCCTCTTTACACAGATGCAGGCACAGGTACAGGTTTTCCTTTCTGCTGTTGGTATGTAAAACAAGTCAAATGATTCTGCCTCACACTAGTGCTACTGATGCAATGGCTGCTCAGTAGTCGCATCTCTGACCTGACTAGTTTCTGAGATTCTGCAAATTCCATCCCCAGTAGTGATTCCACTCTCACCTGGTCTGCAGCAAGTGACCCCAGCTATCACCAAGGGCCTGAAGCTTGGACCTCTACCCACCACTCGTCCTTCTTCAGGGTAGTGCCCTTACTTTTTGCTATCTATCCACATTCCCAATCCTAATTTACTTCTCCATTTCAGCGTTCTGCCTGTCAAAATATCTGCTTCTGCTCTAACTCTTGAGTTCAACCAATATCTTTAGCCTTTTAAAAGGTACAATTGACAGCCGGGTGCGGTGGCTCACACCTGTAATCCCAGCACTTTGGGAAGCCAAGGCAGGTGGATCACAAGGTCAAGAGATTGAGACCATCCTAACCAACATGGTGAAACCCCGTCTCTACTAAAAATATTTTTTAAAAAATTAGCTGGGTGTTGTGGCATGAGCTTGTAGTCCTAGCTACTCGGGAGGCTGAGGTAGGAGAATCGCTTGAACCCAGGAGGCAGAGGTTGTAGTGACCCAAGATCGCACCACCGCACTCCAGCCTGGTGACAGAGCAAGACTCTGTCTCAGAATAAAATAAATGAATAAATAAATAAATAAATAGTACAATTCAGAATGGCATGGAAGAATCCTGGATTCTACAAATCCAATTAGATGGAACCTGAAGCAATCAGCCTCTAATTTGGTTCTATCAGGAAAACACTACCAATAATGAGCCCTTTTACCATATTGCTGGTTTCTAGTGCATGCTACATATGAAGCATTACCAAGATGTGGCTCACTATTCTTGAGTATGCCTCCAAGATAGGAAGTCAATGAGTACTAATTTTTTCTTAGTTATGCTCTCCAAGTAGGCAGCACATATTTTCACTAACTCTGTAAAACAGTCATGCACATATTCACATTCCTGGCTACCATGGGCCAGGAGAACCAGATTCTGAGCAACATTAAGGCCTTTCCCTCTTAAAATCCAGCTATTTATTA
Organism: Homo sapiens; assembly: GCF_000001405.40. Classification (NCBI taxonomy): domain Eukaryota; kingdom Metazoa; phylum Chordata; class Mammalia; order Primates; family Hominidae; genus Homo; species Homo sapiens. The sequence continues at coordinate 56,217,017 of NC_000023.11, read as the reverse complement.
AACAGACAGACATCTGTTTGGCACATACTATATGCTATGAGAGAGATGTGAGCTAGCAGGGGAGATCAAGGAAGGCTTACCTGAGGTTGAATAAAAGCTAGCAAGGGAGATCAAGGAAGGTTTACCTGAGGATGAGTAAAAGCTAACAGGGAGGGAACAGGAAGATGGAACCTCATAAGCAAAGTCCCTGTGGCAGGAGGGACCATACATGTTCAAAAACAGGAGAGGCCAGAAAAATTGGAGGAAAGTGAGCAAGAGGACATGTAGTATAAGTAGCTGGCTGGAGATAAAGGAAGGGGCCACACTATACAGGAGTTTATAGTGATCCTAAAGAGTTTTGTTGGCTTGATGTGGTGGCTCATGCCTGTAATACCAAAACTTTGGGAGGTCAAGGTTGGAGGATCACTTGAAGACAGGAGTTCAAGACCAGTCTGGGCAGCATAACAAGACGATGTTGCTAAAATAAATAAATAAATAAATAAATAAATAAATAAATAAATAAATCAGCAGCCAGATATGGTGGTATGCTCTACTGGAAAAGCTAAGGCAGGAGGATCACTTGAGCACAGGAGTTCAAGGTTACTGTGAGCTATGATCATGCAGCACTCCAAGCTGGGTGACAGAAAGAGACCTCTAAAATAAATAAATTAATTAAAACAAAGAGCTTTGTTGAGGAGCCACTTAACATTTTAAGCAGAGAAGCAACATGATAAGACATGCATTTTGAAAACATATTTTTGGTTGCATCATAGAGAACTGATTGGAAGGGGATGTGGCAAATTAGGGGAGACCAATTAGGAGGCTGGTGCAGGACTTCAGCAATAAAGGATTACAACTTACACTAGGTAGGGGAAGTGAAGATGAAGAGAAGTAGGCTGATTTTAGATAAGTATAGGAGGTCCAATCCACAAAGTTAGGGAACAGATTGAATACTGAAGGTGAGGGAGAGGGAAGTGTCTAAGATGATTCTTAGAATTCTAACTTGAGCAACTGGATGAATAGTGGTGTCGTTCACCGAGAAACAATTAAAAAAAACATGTTTGGGGAGGGAATATTATAAATTTGGTTTTGGATGACTTGAGTTTAAGGTGCCTTATAGGCAAGGCCAAGTAAACAATTGGATATGTGGATTTCTTTCTTTTTCTTTTCTTTTCTTTTTTTTTTTTTTTTTTTTTTTTTTTTTTTTTTTTTTTTTGAGACAGAGTCTCACCCTGTCTCCTAGGCTGGAGTGCAGTGGCATGATCTTAGCTCACTGGAACCTCCACCTCCTGGGTTCAAGCAATTATCCTGCCTCAGCCTCCTGAGTAGCTTGGATTAAAGCTGCTGGCCATCACACCTGGCTAATTTTTGTATTTTTAGTAGATACAGGGTTTCACCATGTTGGCCAGGCTGGTCTTGAACTCCTGACCTCAAGTGATCCACCTGCCTCGGCCTCCCAAAGTGTTGGGATTACAGACATGAGCCACCGCACCCAGCCAGCAATTGGATATGTGAATTTCTGAGAAGCTGTATGCTCACTATGGAGGACCTAAACCTCATAGAGCACCAATTGCTTCTGGAGACCTCAAGTCTTGTTTTACTCTATATAAACACACTTTTCTGAGCCTCGACTTGGGCCTCTCTTCCAAAAGTATTTTAGAATGAAATGAGACTTATTTAGTTTGGAGCCAAGCATTGTTTTATCTTTTGTCCAAGAAACTCTCCTGAATCCTCCATCTAATTCTTATTGAATTAATTAGCCATCTCTACAATAGTGATGACTGGCTCATTTAATATACAGATCACCAATGCAACAGTGGTAGTTTCAAGCTGTCACTTACATTCCCTTAATAACAACAAGGGCAGCACTTAATATGAGATGCTTAATTGAGCACTTAATTGAGCACTTAATATGAGATGCGTCTTATTTGGTAAGCTCTAGGAGATTCCAAATAAATTAAGACCTGGCCACTGTCTGCAAAAGACTCATAGTCTACTGATCAACTTGGCCGCTTACCTCTGTCTCATAGTACATAATTTAGCAATAGTTTTCTAAATTGGAAGGATAATGACATGTGCTGAGCATAACACCTGTTATGTGTCAAATATAAAATGGGTTATAAGGTTCAAGATATGTTTATGCAAGGAAGGCAGTATGAGGTAGTGGTTAATAGTTTAGACTTTGGAGTTGGACTGCCTGGATTCCAATCCTGGCTCTGTGATGCTGAGTAAATTTTTTAACCACTCTGTGTTTTGGTCTTTTCCCTTGTAAAGTGAGGCTACTTGCAGTACTTATGTGTATTAGTTTGCTAGGGCTAACATAACAAAGTACCACAACTGATTGGCTTAAACAACAGACATTTATTGTCTCATGTTTGAAAGGTTATTGGCCATCTTCTTCTTATATTTATTCGCATCATCTCTTTAAGCATGTATCTGTGTCCAAACTTCCCCTTTTCATAAGGATACCAGTCATGTTGGATTGACTGAGGTCATTCATCCACCCTCATCACCTTGTTTTAACTTAATTACATCTGTGATAGCCCTATTTCAAAATAAGGTCACATTCTGAAATACTGGGCATTAGGACTTTATCATATGAATTTGAGGCAGGGGTGTGACACAAATCAGTTCATAACATTATGTCATATAATTGCTGTGAAGTTTTAAAGAGATAATCCACAAAGTACTTAAAACAGTGATAGGGACAGGAGGCAGAGAAATTCTAGGCAGAAAAAGCTGGGGTCCCTGGCAAGGGCCCCACCCTCAAGCCTGGAAGATCAGCCCAAACTGAGAACTTTATTATCCCCATTTTCCCACTCAAATGTTGCCTTTTCCAAAACCACATCTGGCCCCCCTCACCCCCCATCCTATACCCATAAAAACTCCAGGCTTCACTGGCAAAGAGCAGAGAAGGGGAGAAGAGAAGAAGCAACTGAACATCAAGGAGAAGCAGTTTGACTTCAGAGGGACGGCTTTATGGCAGGACTTCAGAGAAGAGTCCAGCTGGAGATGGCTGAACTTCAGGGGAAGCATACCTTCCTGCTCCATCCCCTTTCTAGCTCCCCTTCCTGCCAAGAGCCACTTCCATCAGCAATAAAATCCCCTGAATTTACTATCCTTCAATTCGTTTGTGTGACCTGATTTTTCCTGGATGCCAGGCAAAAGTTTAGGATACAGAAGCCTGTCACACTGATCCTGTGCCCTTGTGAAAAGGCAGAGGGTCCACTGAGCCATTAAACATTTAAGCCATCTGCAGATGGCAAAGCTAAAAGAGTGCTGACTGTAACACTCCTTCTGGGGCTTCTGGGGTGACAAGTACCCCCCACCAGATGTTGTCTTAATATTAACTACTAAGCTGTATGTTACCTAATTTAATGCTTACATCTATGACCCATATGAAATAGGTCATTTTAGGCCAGTTGTGGTGGCTCATGCCTGTTATCCCAGCACTTTGAGAGGCCAAGGCGGGTGGATTACCTGAGGTCAGGAGTTAGAGACCAGCCTGGTCAACATGGTGAAACCCTGTCTCTACTAAATATACAAAAAATTAGTCAGACGTGGTGGTGGGTGCCTGTAATCCCAGCTATTCAGGAGCCTGAGGCAGGAGAATTGCTTGAACCTGGGAGGCAGAGGTTGCAGTGAGCTGAGATGACACCATTGCACTCCAACCTGGGCAACAAGAGTGAAACTGTCTCAAAAAAAAAAAAAAAAAAAAAAAAAAGAAAAGAAAAGAAAAGAAAAGAAAAGAAAAGAAAACAAAAGAAAAAGAAATAGGTCATTTTAAAAGATGAGAACAGGAGACTCAAAGTCACACAACTAGTAATGGTAGAGTTACTATTCCAATATAGCTCTGATTAATCCCAGAGCTGATGCATGTTTCACTATACCATAAAGCATCACCAGGTGACATAAACCATCACCAGGTGATTAGTAACTAGGTCACTGTCTATTTGAAACTGACTGCCAAATAAATATTTTCAGATATGGTCAATTATTTCATGCATCAGTGCCAGGATCTTACTGTCTTCAGGACTCTGATTAGCAAAAGCATTGGCCACATATATCCTTTACCAATCTAATATAACACCACCTCCAGGCTGCCTAGGCTAACAACAATGTCTTTAAGAACAAAAGACCTACTCATGCTGAGAGGTGGAGCAAGATGGCAGAATAGAAAAATCCACTAATCGTCTCTCCTCTCCCTGCAAGGACACCAAGTTAACTATCTACACACAAAAAAACACCATCATATGGAGCAAAAATCAAGTGAGCACTCATAGTACCTGGTTTTAACTTCATATCCTTGAAAGAAACACTGAAGAGATAGAAAAAACAGCCCTGAGTTGCCAGTGCCACACCTCCCTGAATACACAGCAGTGGTGGCCTCTGGGCATTGGGAGAAGGGAAACAGCAATTTGAGGCATTGAACTCAGTGGGATCCTGTTAGAGCAGAAATAAAAACCAGACCAAACTCAGCTGACACCCATACACAGGAGGAGCATTTAAACCAGCCCTAGCCAGAGAATTGCGAATCACAGCAGTTCAAACATGAGTTCCCACAAACCTCATCACTGAGGGCCAAAGTGCTCTAGGTTTCTAAGTAAACTTGAAAGGCCATCCAGGCCATAAGGACTGCAACACTTACGTGAATCCTAGAGTTAAACTAAGCCTAGAGACAGTGGATTGTGGGGGCACAAGACATATTGAAACATCAGCTGGGACAGCCAAGGGAGTGTAAGCATCACCCTACCTGAAACACCAGGCTACACAGTTCTGAGCTACAAAAGAAACCCCTTCCTTTCAATTGAGGAGAGGAGAGAGAAGAGTGGAGTGGACTTTGTCTTGCATCTAGGGTACCAGCTTAGCCACAGCAAGATAGGACTCTGGTCAGAGTTGTGACACCCCCATTCCAGGCCCTAGACCCCAGACAACATTTGTAGACACATCGTGGGCCAGAAGACAACCCATTGCCTTGAAGAAAAGGACCCAGGCCTAGCAGCATTTATCACTTGCTAAATGAAGTACCCTTGGGCCCTGAATGACCAGCAGCAATACCCAGGTACTACACTGAAGGCCTTGGGTGAGCCGCTGAGATTTGCTAGATTCAGGTGAGATTCAGCACATTACCAGCTGTGGTGGCCTCAGGGCAAAACTCCTTCTGCTTGAGAAAAGCAAAGGGGACCTTGTCTTGTACCTCAGGTACCAGCATGGCCACAGACAGACAGAGCACCAGGTGGGCTCTAGGATCTTTTGCCTTTGGAAAGGGAAGGAAAGACTGGGAAGGACTGCATCTTGTGGTTTGAGTGCAAGCTTAGCCGGAAACCAAAAGAACACAAGGTAGAATTCAAAGGTTTTTTACTCTAGCCCCTGACTCCTTAACGGAACTTCTGGATCAACCCGGGGCCTGGGGACCTCATTGCCCTGCAGGAAAGGACACAGGCCTGGCTGGCTTTGCAACCTGCTAACTGTAGAGCCCTAGGGCCTTGAGCAAACTTAGACAGTAGCCACGGAGTGGTTACAGCAGGCCTTGGGCAAGACCCAGTGCTGTAGTAGCTTGAGGTGTGACCCAGTATATTCATAGTGGTGGTAGTCACAGAGGTTCTTGTGTCACTCCACTCCCAGCTTTAGATGGCTCAGAAGAGACAGAGAGACTCTGTATGTTTGGGAGAAAGTAAGGGAAGAGAATAAGAGTCTTTGCCTGGTAACCCATAGAATTCTTCTGGATCTTGTCCAAGACCATAAAGGCTTACCTCTACAAGTCTACAAGATTCACAGTGTTACTGGGCCTGGGGTGCCCCCTAAAGCAGACAGAGCTTAGATTACAACATCCAAGTCTTTTCAAATATATGGAAAGCCTTCCCAAATAGGACGGCGACAAATAAGTACAGACAGTGGAGACTACAATAAATACCTAACTCTTCAATGCACAGACAATGAAGAACATCTACTAGCATCTACACCAGATAGGAAAACATAACTTCTCCAAATGAACTAAATGGCCAATCCTGGAGAAACAGAGATATGCGACCTTTCAGACAGAGAATTCAAAATAGCTGTGTTGAGGAAACTCAAGGAAATTCAAGATACCACAGAGAAGGATTTCATAATTCTGTCAGAAAAATTTACCAAACAGATGGAAATAATTAAAAATAATCAAGCAGAAATTCTGGAGCTGAAAAATGCAATTGGCATGCTGAAGAATGCATCAGAGTCTTTTAATTGCAAAATTCATCAAGCAGAAGAAAGAATTAGTGAACTTGAAGTCAGACTATTTGAAAATATACAGAGGAGATAAAAGTAAAAAAAAAATTTAAAAATGAAACATGCCTCAGGATCTAAAAAATAGTGTCAAAAGGGCAAATCTAAGAGTAACTGGCCTTAAAGAAGAGGTAGAGAAAGAGATAGGGGTAGAAAGTTTATTCAAAGGGATAACAGAGAACTTCCTAAACCTAGAGAAAGATCTCAATATCCAAGTATAAGTAGGTTATAGAACACCAAGCAGATTTAACTCAAAGAAGACTACCTCAAGGCATTTAAAAATCAAACTCCCAAAAGTTAAGGATAACGAAAGAATCATAAAAGCAGCAAGGTAAGATAAACAAACGACATATAATAGAGCTCCAATTCCTCTGGCAGAAGACTTTTCAGTGGAAACCTTAAAGGCCAGGAGAGAGTGGCATGAAATATTTAAGGTGCTAAAGAAAAATAAACTTATCCCAGAATAGCATATCTAGTGAAAGTATCTTTCAGACACGAAGAAAAAATAAATACTTTCCTAGAAACAGCTGAAAAATTTCATGAATACCAGACCTGTCCTGCAAGAAATGCTAGAAAGCATTTCAATCAAAAAGGAAAGGACATTAATGAGCAATAAATAATCACTTGAAGGTACAAAACTCACTGGTAATAGTAGATACACAGAAAAACATAGAGTATTATAACACTGTAAGTGTGGTGTGCAAACTACTTTTACCTTAAGTAGAAAGAATAAACAATGAACCAATAAAAAATAAAAACTACAACAACTTTTCAAGACATAGTCATTGAATAAGTTACAAATAGAAACTATAAAAAATTAAAAAGCAGGAGGACAAACTTAAAAAGTACAGTTTTTGTTAGTTTTATTTATGCTTGTTTGTTTGTTTATGGAAACAGTGTTAAACTGTTATTGGGTTAAAATAATAGATTATAAGATAGTATTTGCAAGCCTCATGGTAACCACAAACCAAACAATATACAATGAATCACAAAAAAGCAATAAACAAAATCATATAACCAGAGAAAATCACATTCACTAGATAAAGACAGAAAGGAAAGAAAGAAGGTAGAGAAGACAACAAAAACAAAAACAAAACAGAAAACACATAATAAAATAGCAAAGTAAGTCCTTATTTACTTATTTATGTTTTTCTTTTTGGAGATGGAATCTCCCTCTGTCACCCAGGCTGGAGTGCAGCTGACTCATCACAACCTCTGCCTCATGGGTTCAAGCAATTATCCTGCCTCAGTCTCCCGAGGAGCTGGGATTACAGGCACTCACCACCATGACTGGCTAAAGTCCTTATTTGTGAATAATGACATTGAATGTAAATGGACTAAACTCTCCAATCAAAAGACACACTGGCTCAATGAATGAAAAAACGAGACCCATGGATCTCTTGACTACAAGAAACACACATCATCTGTAAAGACACACAGAGACTGAAAATGAAAAAATACCAAAAGATATTCCATGTCAATGGAAACCAAAAAAAGAGCAGGAGTAACTATATTAATATCAGACAAAATAGATTTCAAGACAAAAACTATAAGAAGAGATAAAGAATGTAAGTATATAATGATAAAGGGGTCAATTCAGCAAGAAGATATAACAATTTTAAATACATTTGCACCCAACACGACAGCAAACAGATATATAAAGGAAATATTAGAGCTAAAGAGAAAGACCCCAATGCAATCATAGCTGGAGACTTCAACACTCCCCTTTCAGGATTGGCCAGATCTTCTAGACGGAAAATCAACAAGGAAACAGCAGACTTAATCTGCACTGTAGACCACATGGATTTAATAGATATTTACAGAATATTTTATTCAAGAGCTGCAGAATAAACATTTTTATTCTTTAGCACGTGGAAAATTCTCAAGGATAGACCATATGTTAGATCACATGCAAGTCTTAAAAATTTTTTTAAAAATTAAAATAATATCAAGTATTTTCTCTGAACACAATGGAATGAATGTAGAAATTATTGAAAAGAGGAAGTTTGGAACTGTGCAACTACATGGAAATTAAAAAATATGCTCTTCAATGATCAGTGAATCAATGAAAAATTTAAAATTGAAAAATTTCTTAGAACAAATGATAATGGAAACACAACATACCAAAACCTATGGGATACAGCAAAAGCAGTATAATAGGGAAGTTTACAGCTATAAGTGCTCACATGAAAAAACAAGAAAATCTTCAAATAAACAATCTAATAATGGATCTTAAATAACTAGAAAAGCAAGAGCAAACCAAACCAGAACTTAGTAGAAAAAAAATAAGGATTAGAGCAGAAATAAATCAAATTAAAATTAAAGCATAAAAAAGCAGTGAAACAAAAAGTTAGCTTTTTAAAAAGTTAAACAAAATTGACAAACCTTTAGCCAGATGAGGAAAAAAAGAAATAAGACCCAAATAAATAAAATCAGAAATGAAAAAGGAGACATTAGAACTGATACTGCAGAAATTCTAAGGATCATTAGTGGCTATTATGAGCAAATATATGCCAATAAATTGGAGAGTCTGGAAGAAATGGACAAATTCCTAGACACATACAAACTACCAAGATTGAACCATAAATAAATCTGATATGGTTTAGCTGTGTCTTCACTCAAATCTCACTTTGAATTGTAATAATCCCCATGTGTCAAGGGCAGGACTATGTGGATATAATTGAATCATGGGGCCAGTTTCCCCCATACTGTTCTTGTGATAGTGAATAATACGCCTAAGATCTGATGGTTTTATAAATGGGAGTTCCACTGTACAAGCTCTCTTGCCTACCACGATGTAAGACGTGACTTTGCTCCTCATTCACCTTCTGCCATGATTGTGAGGCTTCCCCAGCCATGTGGAACTGTGAGTCAATTAAACTTCTTTTCTTTATAAATTACCCAGTCTTGGGTATGTCTTTGTAAGCAGCATGAGAACAGACTAATACAGTAAACTGGTATTGGTAGAGTGGGGTGTGGCTGTAAAGATACCCAAAAATGTGGAAGCAACTTTCGAACTGGGTAACAAGCAGAGGTGGCAACAGCTTGGAGGAATCAGAAGAAGACAGCAAAATGTGGGAAAGTTTGAAACTTCCTAGAGACTTGTTAAATGGCTTTGACCAAAATGCTGATAGTGATATGGGCAATAAAGTCCAAGCCCAGTTGGTCTCAGATGGATATGAGAACTAGAGCAAAGGTGACTCTTGTTATGCTTTAGCAAAGAGACTGGTGGCATTTTCCCCCTGTCCTAGAGATCTGTGGAACTTTGAAATTGAGAAAGATGATATAGGGCATCTGGTAGTAGAAATTTCTAAGCAGCAAAGTGTTCAAGATGCGACTTCAGTACTGTTAAAAGCATTAAGTTTTATGTATTCACAAAGATATGGTTTGCAATTGGAACTTATGTTTAAAAGGGAAGCAGAGCATAAAATTTTGAAAAATTTGCAGCCTGATGATGCAATAAAAAAGAAAAACCCATTTTCTGAGGAGAAATTCAAGCCAGCTGCAGAAATTTGCACAAGTAACAAGAAACCAAATGTTAATTGCCAATACAATGGGGAAAATGTCTCCAGGGCATGTCAGAGGTCTTCACAGCAGCCCCTCCCATCACAGGCCTGGAGGCCTAAAAGGAAAAAAATAATATCATGGGCTGGGCCCAGGGCCTTGCTGCTTTGTGCAGTCTCGGGACTTGATGCATTGTGTCCCAGCCATGGCTAGAAGGGGCCAACATCTATGTTGAGCTCTAGCTCAGGATGTTGCCTCAGAGGGTTCAAGCCCCAAGCCTTGGCAGCTTCCATGTGGTTTTGGGCCGGTGGGTGCACAGAAATCAAGAACTGACATTTGGGAACCTCTGCCTAGATTTAAGAGGATGTATGGAAATGCTTGGATGTCCAGGCAGAAGTTTGCTGCAGGGGTAGAGCCCTCATGTAACTCTGCTAGGGCAGTGTGGAAGGGAAATGTGGGGTTGGGGCCCCACACAGAGTCCCATCTGGAGCACTGCCTAGTGGAGCTATGACAAGAGGGCCACCGTCCTCCAGACATCAGAATGGTAGATTCACCAACATCTTGCACAATGCACCTGGAAAAGCTACAGGCACAACACCAGTCCATGAAAGCAGCCAGGAGGGAGGCTGTACCCTAAGAAGCCACAGTGGCAGGGATGCCCAAGGCCATGAGAGTCCACCTCTTGCATCAGCATAACCTGGATGTGAGACATGGAATCAAAGGAGATCATTTTGGAGCTTTAACATTTGACTGCCCCATTGGATTTTGGACTTTCATGAGGTCTGTAGCCCATTTGTTTTGGCAAATTTCTCCCATTTTGAATAGGTTTATTTATCCAATGCCCGTACTCCCATTGTATCTAGGAAGTAACTAACTAGCTTTTGATTTTACAGGCTCATAGGTGGAAGGGACTTGCCTTGTCTCAGATAAGACCTTGGACTGTGGACTTTTGAGTTAACACTAAAATGATTTAAGATTTTGGGGGACTGTTGTGAAGGCATGACTGATTTTGAAATATGAGGACATGAGATGTGAAAGGAACCAGGGGTGGGATGGTATGGTTTGGCTGTGTCCCCACCCAAATCTCACCTCGAATTGTAATAATCCCCATGTGTCAAGGGAAGGGCTAGGTGGAGATAATTGAATCATAGGGGTGGTTTCCCCTACACTGTTCTCATGGTAGTAAATAAGTCTCATGAGATCTGATGGTTTTATAAGTGGGAGTTCCCCTGCACAAGCTCACTTGCCTGCTGTTATGTAAGACGTGACTTTGCTCCTCATTAGCCTTCCACCATGATTGTGAGGTCTCCCCAGCCATGTGGAACTGTGAGTCAATTAAACCTCTTTCCTTTATAAGTTATCCAGTCTTGGGTATGTCTTTATTAGCAGCCTGAAAACAGACTAATACAAAATCCAAAACACAAACAGATGAATAATAAGTCATGAGATGGAAGCTGTATTAAAAAGTCTCCCAGTAAAGAAAATCCTGGGACCCAGTGGCTTCACTGGTGAATTCCACCAAACATTTAAAGAAGATCTAACACCAATCCTACTCAAATTATTCAGAAAAAATAGGTGAAAAGGGAATACTTTAAAATTCATTCCACAAGGCTAGTATTGCCCTGATTCCAAAAGCAGACAAAGACATATAAAAAAATTACAGGCCAATATCTCTAATGAATATTGATGCAAAAATCCTCAACAAACTATGAGCAAACCAAATTCAACAATACATTAGAAAGATCCTTCATCATGACCAAGTGCAATCCCTGGGATGCAATGATGGTGAATTGTGTGCAAATCAATCAATATGATACATAATATCAACAGAATGAAGGATAGAAATGTATTAAAATGAGCATTATGACAGACATTAACTGTGTTCAGATTTTATTAAGCTAGCTAGTTTCTATTTAATATTTAAATCTTCCCATAATGAAATGCAGTGATGAACTGTAAAAATCAAGATTAAATAAGAAAATCATTAATAGGGTCAAAGACTTTATTATTGCTATTATGTATAAGCTGAGAAATGGTTGCTTCTTAAGAAAAAATACATCCTTTGTTAAAATATATCCCTTGTTATACTTAGGGCAAGTTACAAACCTCACATTTTTTTTGACAGGAGAATTGTTCCAGTGAATCATTGATTTCCAGTGAACCCCAGACATGACAAGCAGTCTAGTCTCCAAATTTTATTAGTTGGTTGTTACCATCACACTAATAGACAACCTCCATTTTCCAAGAATAAAACTGTAATATCTGTAGGTCATTTTGCAGCTCGATTTCTCTGCCCAGCTTCTAAAATTAGAACAAAGGTGGGGAAGGATGTGATTAACACAGATTCAGTAAAGCATGTCACACATACTCTCCCCCCACCCCATCCCCAAGCAGTAGGTTACCCTTAAAATGAAACAGATCAGTGCTCTCCATTTAGAATCAAACTGTTGTTATCTAGAGACAGTTTAATGTCATACTATGGGGATTAAGTTTGACTTTGTATTTTGCTGGGCAACTTACATTGGAACTTTCATAGGACAACAGAAGGTCTGACAGAGGAACTTAAAAAAATGAAGGAGAAAAGCCATATGATTATTTCAACTGATGCTGAAAAAGCATTTAATAAAATTCAACATCCCTTTATGATAAAAAAAAACCCTAAAGAAACTGGGGAAACAAGTAACATACCTCAACATAATAAAAGCCATATATGACAGACCCATGGCTAGTACCATACTCAATGAGAAAACAGTGAAAACCTTTTCTTGAAGATCCGTAACACAACAAGGAGGCCCATTGTCAATGCTGTTCTTATACGTAGTACTGGAAGTCCTAGCTAGAGCAATCAGAAAAGAGCAGAATATAAAGGAAATCAAAATTGGAAGGGAAGAAATCAAATTATTCTTGTTTGCTGATGATATGATCATATATTTGCAAAAGCCTAAAAACTCCACAAAAAAGCTACTAGAACTGACAAACAAATTCAGTAAATTTGCAGTATACTAAATCAACATACAAAAATCAGTAGCATTTCTATATGCCAACAGTGAACAGTCTGAAAAACATTTTAAAGTAATCCCATTTACAATGGCCACACAAAAAATTATATATCTAGGAATTAACTTAACCAAAGAAGTGGGAAAACTCTATTATAAAAACTGTAAAACACTGATGAGAGAAATTTAAGAGAACACTAAAAATTGGAAAAATATTCCATGTTCAAAATTGGAAGAATTAACTATGTTAAAATGTCCACACTACATAAAGCAATCTAGAGATTCAACTCTATTCCTATTAAAATACCAAAGACCTTCCCCACAGAACTAGAAAAAACTATTCCAAAATGCATATGGAACCATAAAAAAAAAGCTGAATAGACAAAGCTATCCTAACCAAGAACAATAAAACCAAAGAAATCACATTACCTGACTTCAAATTATGCTAAACATATAGTAACCAAAACAGCATGGTACTGGCATGAAAAGACACATAGACCAGTGGAACAGAATAGCAAACCCAGAAAAAAATCCACACATCTACAGTGAAGTCATTTTTGACAAACGTGACAATAACATACATTGGGGAATGGACCATCTCTTCAATAAATGGTGATGGGAAAACTGGATATCCATATGCAAAAGAATGAAACCAGACCCCTTTCTCTCACCATATACGAAAGTAAAATCAAAATGGATTAAAGACTTGAATCGAACATCTTAAACTATGAAACTACTGCAAGAAAACATTGGAGAAAATATCCAAGACGTTGGCCTCGGCAAAAATTTCTTGAGCAATATTCCACAAGCACAGGTAACCAAAGCAAAAATGGACAAATGGGATCACATGAAGTTAGAAAGCTTCTGCACAGCAAAGGTTACAATCAACAAAGTGAAGAAACGACCCACAGAGTGGGAGAAAATCTTTGCAAACTACCTTTCTGACACAGGTTTAGTAACCAGAATGTATATGGAGCTCAAACAACAATATAGGGAAAAATCTTATAATTCAATAAAAAAGATCAAAACATTTAAATAGATATTTCTCAAAGGAAGACATACAAATAGCAAACAGGAATATGAAAAGGTGCTCAACATCATTGATCATTAGAGAAATGCAAATCAAAACTACAATGAAATGTCATCCACTCCAGTTAAAAATAGCTTTTATCCAAAACACAGACAATAATAAATGTTGGCAAGGATACAGAGAAAAGGGAACACTTGTATATTTTGGGTGGGGGTGTAAATTAGTACAACCACTATGAAGAACAGTTTGGAGGTTCCTCCAAATCTAAAAACAGAGCTACCATAAGATCCAGCAATCCTACTGCTGGGTATATACCCAAAAGAAATGAAATCAGTATATCAAAGAGATATCTGAACCTCTATGTTTGTTCCAGCAGGGTTTACCACAGCTAAGATTTGGAAGGGACCTAACAGCCCATCAACAGATAAATGGATAAATAAAATGCTGTAAATATAAACAATGGAATATTATTCAGCCACAAAAAGAATGATATTCAGTCATTTGCAACAATATGCATGGAACTGGAGATCATTATGTTATAAGCCAGGCACAGAAAGACAAACATTACATGTTCTCACTTATTTGTGGGATCTAAAAATAAAAACAATGAAACTCATAGACACAGAGAGTAGAAGGATAGTTTCCAGAGGCTGGGGAGGATAATGGAGTGCAGGTGGGAGGGGGGGGGAAGGTTAATGGTACAAAAAAATGGTTAGAAAGAAGAAATAAGACCTACTATTTGATAGCACAACAGGGTGACTATAGTTAACAATAGCTTAATTGTACATGTACAAATAACTAAAAGAGTGTAATTGGATTGTTTGTAACTCAAAGGATAAATGTTTGAGAGGATGGATACCTCATTCTCCATGATGTGCTTCTTTCACATCGCATGCCTGTATGAAATATTTCATATACCTCATAAATATATACACCTACTATGTACCCACAAAAATAAACAAGAAAACAAACAAAAAAACCCAACAAACAAACAAACCAAAAAGACAGATCAAAAGACTTAGTCATGCAATGTGAAAAAAAAAAGGTAGGGTCTCAAAAGTCAGTTTGTAGCTCTTCTCTCTCATAAATACTCCAACAGTTCACCTGGAGGACTATTGGACAGTACGAGCCTTCTTCATACTCACTCTCTGGGAGTGGATACTCTTCTCTAGGAGGCTCAGATACTTGCAAGTCAAGTCTTAATGGGCTTGGCAATGAGGGAGAAGTTGTTGACATACTTCCCGAATCCCAAGAGAGTCCTGAATTCTTAATATTGGTAAGGCATCCACAGATCTCAATGATCAATGTTTTCATGGCTCCATGCTGTTCCACTTGATAAACGAAATAACTCATGTATTTTATTTAAGTCCAGGAAAACAAGAATTTGTTGAAAACTGACTTAGGGCCAGCCATATTTAGGCTACTGGGTTTTTGATGAGCCTCTATTAATGTAATTTTAATTTATGGCTGCACATTATTGAGGTATGATTGACATGTAAAAACTGTACATATTTAATGTATACAACTAAATGAGTCTGAGGATAAGTATATATCCATGAAACCATCAAGTCCATAGACATATCCATCACCTCCCAAAGTTTCCTTCTGTCTTCTTCACTATAATAATTCTTTCTTGTGAGATCACTTAATATAAGAACTATTCTCTTATCAAATTTTAACTACAATACAGTACTGATAAGTATAAGCACTATGCTGTATGGTGGATCTCCAGGATGTATTTACCTTGCATAACTGAAACTTTGTACCCTTTCATGATCATCTCTCCATTCCCCGCCCCAACCCCTAACAACTACCATGTTTTTGTGTGTATGAGTTTGCCTGTTTTAGATTCATCGAATAATTGTGATCACATAGTGCTTGTCTTTCTTTGCCTGGTTTATTTAACATAGCATCTTATCCTCCAGCTCCATCCATGTTGTCACAAATGGCAGAATTTACTTCTTTTTAAAGGGTGAATAATATTTCACTGTATGTATGTATCACATTTTCTTTCTTCATTCTTGTGCCAATGGACATTTAGGTTGTTTTCTTGTCTTGGCTATTGTGAATAATGTTGCAATGAACATTGAAATACAAATACTCTTTGAGATCCTGATTTCAATTTCTTTGGATAAATACCTAGAAGTGGGATTGCTAAATCATATGGTAGTTTTATTTTTAATTTTTTGAGAAAACATCACACTGTTTTCCATAATGGCTGTAACAATTTACACTCTCATCAAAACTGTAGTTTTCTCCACAATCCTAACCAATATGTGTCATCTTTTATTTTTTAAAAAGTAATGGCCATCCTAACACTTGTGATGTGATATATTATTGTGATTTTGATTTGCATTTCCCTAATGATTAATAATGCTGAGTGTCTTTCATATACCTTTTGACTATTTGTATGTTTTCTTTGGAAAAAAATGTCTAGTCAGGTCCTTTCTTCCTTTTTAAAGTGGGATATTATTAATTTTTTGCTGTTGAGTTGTAGGCATTCCTTATATATTTGATTATTAACACATTTATCAGATATATGGCTGGCAAATATTTTTTCCCATTCCATAAGATGGCTTTTCATTTTTTTTTTGATTGTTTCCTTTGCTGCTCAGAGGTTTTCTAGTTTGATGTAGTTCACTTGCTTTTTTTGCTTGTGTTTTTGGTTTTACATCTATAAAATCATTGCCAAGACCAATGTGAATGATATTTTCTCTATTGTTTCCTTCTAGGATTTTTATGGATTCTTTCTTTATTCCATGCAAGTTAATTTTTGTATGTCATCTAAGCTAAAGGCCCAATTTCACTTTTTTTGCATGTGAATGTCCAATTTTCCCAACACCATTTAATATTATTTTTAATTTAAAAATACTTAGTTATATTTTTATATGTTTTATATTTAATTTTTTGTAGATATTTTAGACTCTTTATTGGTTCACCTTTTTTTAATTCTTAAGTTTTAGTTTTTGTGAGTACATACAATGTGTTTACGTTTATGAGTTAGAAGAGACTTTTTTAAATACTTTAACTTCTACGGTACATGTGCACAATGAGCAGGTTTGGTACATAGGTATACATGTGCTATGTTGGTTTGCTGCACCCATCAACACATCATTTACATTAGGTATTTCTCCTAATGCTATCCCTCCCCCAGCCCCAGACCTCCCAAAAGGCCCTGGTGTGTGATGTTCCCTGCCCTGTGTCCAAGTGATCTCATTGTTCAAATCCCATCTATGAGTGAGAACATGTAGTGTTTGGTTTTTTTGTCCTTGCGATAGTTTCCTGAGAATGATGGCTTCCAGCTTGATCCATGTCTCTGCAAAGGACATGAACTCATCCTTTTTTATGGCTGCATACTATTCCATGCTGTATATGTGCCACATTTTCTTAATCCAGTCTATCATTGATGGACACTTGGGTTGTTTCCAAGTCTTTGCTATTGTGAATAGTGCCGCAATAAACATACGTGTGCATGTGTCTTTATAGAAGCATGATTTATAATCCTTTGGGTATATATCAAATAAAGGAATTGCTGGGCCAAATGGTAATTCTAGTTCTAGATCCTTGAAAAATCGCCACACTCTCTTAGACAATAATTGAGCTAATCTATACTCCCACCAACAGTGTAAAAGCATTCTTATTTCTCAACGTCCTCTCCAGCATCTGTTTTTTCCTGACTTTTTAATGATTGCCATTCTAACTGGCGTGACATGGTATTGGGATTTTGATTTACACATCTCTGAAGGCCAGTGATGAGCATTTTTTCATGTGTCTGTAGGCTGCATATATGTCTTCTTTTGAGATGTGTCTGTTCATAACCTTTGTCCACTTTTTGATGGGGTTGTTTGTTTTTTTCTTGTAAATTTGTTAGAGTTCTTTGTAGATTCTGGATATTAGCCCATTTCAGATGGGTAGATTGCAAAAACCTTCTCACATCCTGTAGGATGCCTGTTCACTCAGATGGTAGTTTCTTTTGCTGTGCAGAAGCTCTTTAGTTTAATTAGATCCCATTTGTCTATTTTGGATTTTGTTGCCATTTCTTTTGGTGTTTTAGTCAGGAAGTCCTTGCCAATGCCTATTTCCTGAATGGTATTGCCTAGGTTTTCTTCTAGGGTTTTTATGGTTTTAGGTCTAACATTTAAGTCTTTCATCCATCTTGAATTAATTCTTTATAAGCTGTAAGGAAGGGATCTAGTTTCAGCTTTCTACATATGGCTAGCCAGTTTTCCCAGCACCATTTATTAAATAGGGAATCCTTTCCCCATTTCTTGTTTTGGTGAGGATTGTCACAGATAAGATGGTGGTAGATGTGTGGTGTTATTTCTGAGGCCTCTGTTCTGTTCCTTTGGTCTATAACTCTCTTTTGGTACCAGTACCATGCTGTTTTGGTTACTGTAGCCTTGTAGTATAGTTTGAAGTCAGGTAGCATGATGCCTCCAGCTTTGTTCTTTTGACTTAGAATTGTCTTGGCAATGCAGGCTCTTTTTTCATTTCATATGGACTTCAAAGTAGTTTTTTCCAATTCTGTGAAGAAAGTCCTTGGTAGCTTGATGGGGATGGCATTGAATCTATAAATTACTTTGGGCAGTATGGCCATTTTCATGATATTGATTCTTCCTATCCATGAGCATGGAATATTCTTCCATTTGTTTGTGTCCTCTTTTTATTTCGTTGAGCATTGGTTTGTAGTTCTCTTTGAAGAGGTTCTTCACATCCCTTGTAAATTGGATTCCTGCATATTTTATTCTCTTTGTAGCAATTGTGAAAGGGAGTTCACTCAGGATTTGGCTCTCTGTTTGTCTGTTAATGGTGTATAAGAAAGCTTGTGATTTTTGCACATTGATTTTCTATCCTGAGACTTTGCTGAAGTTGCTTATCAGCTAAAGGAGATTTTGGGCTGAGACGATGGGGTTATTTAAATATACCATCAAGTCATCAGCAAACAGGGACAATTTGACTTCCTCTTTTCTTAATTGAATACCCTTAATTTCTTTCTCTTGCCTGATTGCCCTGGCCAGAACTTCCAACGCTATGTTGAATAGGACTGCTGAGAGAGGGCATCCTTGCTTGTGCCAGTTTTCAAAGGGAATGCTTCCAGTTTTTGTCCATTCAGTATGATATTGGCTGTAGGTTTGTCCTAAATATCTCTTATTATTCTGAGATAAGTCCCATCATTACCTAGTTTATTGAGAGTTTTTAGCATGGAAGGCTGTTGAATTTTGTCAAAGGCCTTTTCTGCATCTATTGAGATAATCATGTGGTTTTTGTCTTTGGTTCTGTTAATGTGATGGATTATGTTTATTGATTTGCATATATTGAACCAGCCTTGCATCCCAGGGAGGAAGCCAACTTGATCATGGTGGATAAGCTTTTTGATGTGCTGCTGGATTCGGTTTGCCAGTATTTTATTGAGGATTTTTGCATCGATGTTCATCAGGGATATGGGTCTGAAATTCTCTTTTTTTTGTTGTGTCTCTGCCAGGCTTTGGTACTGGATGATTTTGGCCTCATAAAATGAGTTAGGGAGGATTCCCTCTTTTTCTATTGATTGGAATAATTTCAGAAGGAATGGTGCCAGTCCCTCTTTGTACCTCTGGTAGAATTCAGCTGTGAATCCATCTGGTCCTAGACTCTTTTTGGTTGGTAGGCTATTAATTATTGCCTCAATTTCAGAGCTTGTTATTGGTCTATTCAGGGATTCAACTTCTTCCTGATTTAGTCTTGGGAGGGTGTATGTGTCCAGGAATTTATCCATTTCTTCTAGATTTTCTAGTTTATTTGTGTGGAGGTGTTTGTAGTATTCTCTGATGGTAGTTTGTATTTCTGTGAGATCAATGTTGATATCCCCTTTATCATTTTTTATTGCATCTATTTGATTCATCTGTCTTTTTTATTAGTCTTGCTAGTGGTCTATCAATTTTGTTGATCTTTTCAAAAAACCAGCTCCTGGATTCATTGATTTTTTGAAGGTTTTTTTTTTGTGTCTCTATTTCCTTCAGTTCTGCTCTGATCTTAGTTATTTCTTGCCTTCTGCTAGCTTTTGAATGTGTTTGCTGTTGCTTCTGTGGTTAACTGTGATGTTAGGGTGTCAAATTTAGATCTTTCCTGCTTTCTCTTGTGGGTATTTAGTGCTATAAATTTCCCTCTACACACTGCTTTAAATGTGTCCCTGATATTCTGGTACATTGTGTCTTTGTTCTCATTGGTTTCAAAGAACATCTCTATTTCTGCCTTCATTTCGTTACTACCCAGTAGTCATTCAGGAGCAGGTTGTTCTGTTTCCATGTAGGTGTGCTGTTTTGAGTAAGTTTCTTAATCCTAAGTTCTAATTTGATTGCACTGTGCTCTGAGAGATAGTTTGTTATGATTTCTTTTTTTTACCTTTGCTGAGGAGTGCTTTACTTCCAATTATGTGGTCAATTTTGGAATAATGAGATGTGGTGCTGAGAAGAATGTATATTCTGTTGATTTGGGGTGGAGAGTTCTGTAGATGTCTATTAGATCTGCTTGGTGCAGAGCTGAGTTCAAGTCTTCGATATCCTTGTTAATCTTCTGTCTTGTTGATCTGTGCAATATTGACAGTGGAGTGTTAAAGTCTCCCATTATTATTGTGTGGGATTCTAAGTCTCTTTGTAGGTCTCTAAGGACTTGCTTTATGAATCTGGGTGCTCCTGTATTGGGTGCACATATCTTTAGGATAGTTAGCTCTTCTTGTTCAATTGATTCCTTTACCATTATGTAATGGCCTTCTTTGTCTCTTTTGATCTTTGTTGGTTTAAAGTGTGTTTTACCACAGACTAGGATTGCAACTCCTATTTTATTTATTTTTATTTTTTTTTGCTTTCCATTTGCTTGGTAAATCTTCCTTCATCCCTTTATTTTGAGCCTCTGTGCATCTTTGCACGTGAGATGGGTTTCCTGAATACAGCACACTGATGGGTCTTGACTCTTTATTCAATTTGCCAGTCTGTGTCTTTTAATTGGGGCATTTAGCCCATTTACATTTAAGATTAATATTTTTATGTGTTTACTTTATCCTGTCATTATGATGTTAGTTGGTTATTTTGCCCATTAATTGATACCATTTCTCCATGGCATGGATGGTCTTTACAATTTGGCATGTCTTTGCAGTGGCTGGTATCGGTTGTTTCTTTCCATGTTTCATGCTTGCTTTAGGAACTCTTGAAGGCAGTCCTGGTGGTGACATAATCTCTCAGCATCTGCTTGTCTGTAAAAAATTTTATTTCTCCTTCACTTATGAAGCTTAGTTTGCCTGGATATGTAATTCTGGGTTGAAAATTATTTTCTACAAGAATGTTGAGTGTTGGCCCCCACTCTCTTCTGGCTTGTAAGGTTTCTGCCAGGAGATCCACTGTTAATCTGATGGGTTTTCTTTTGTGGGTAACTCGACCTTTCTCTCTGGCTGCCCTCAAAACTTTTTCCTCCATTTTGACCCTTGTGAATCTGACAATTATGTGTCTTGGGATTGCTCTTCTCAAGGAGTATCTTTGTGGTGTTCTCTCTGTTTCCTGAATTTGAATGTTGGCCTGCCTTGCTAGGTTGGAGAAATTCTCCTGGATAATATCTTGAAGAGTCTTTTCCAACTTGGTTCCATTCTCCCCATCACTTTCAGGTACACCAATCAAACACAGATTTGGTCTTTTTACATAGTCCCACATTTCTTGGACACTTTGTTTGTTTCTTTCTACTTTTTTCTGTAACCTTGTCTTCTGGCTTTATTTCATTAATTTAATCTTCAATCACTGATACCCTTTCTTCCACTTCATTGAATCGGGTATTGAAGCTTGTGCACGTGTCACGAAGTTCTCAAACCATGGTTTTCAGCTCCATTAGGTCATCTACGGTCTTCTCTACACTAGTTACTCTAGTTAGCCATTCATCTAATCTTTTTTCAAGGGTTTTAGCTTCCTTGTGATGAGTTTGAACATCCACTTTTAGTTTGGAAAAGTTTGTTATTACTGACCTGCTGAAGCCTACCTCTGTCAACTTGTCAAAGTCATACTCCATCCAGATTTGTTCTGTTGCTGTTGAGGAGCTGTGATCCTTTGGAGTAGAAGAGGTACTCTGATTTTTAGAATTTTCAGCTTTTCTTCTCTGGTTTCTCCTCCTCTTTGTGGTTTTATCTACCTTTAGTCTTTGATGTTGGTGACTTACAGATGGGGTTTTGATGTAGATGACCTTTTTGTTGATGTTGATGGTATTCCTTTCTGTTTGTTAGTTTTCCTTCTAACATTCAGGTCCCTCAGCTGCAGGGCTGTTGGCATTTGCTGGAGGTCCACTCCAGACCCTGTTTGCCTGGGTATCACCAGCGGAGGCTGCAGAACAGCAAATATTGCAGAACAGCAAATATTGCTGTCTGATCCTTCCTCTGGAAGCTTTGTCCCAGAGGGGTAGCTGCCTATATGAGGTGTCTTTCAGCCCTTACTGGGAGATGTCTCCTAGTTAGTTTACATGGGGGTCAGGGACCCACTTGAGGAGGCAGTCTGTCCGTTCTCAAAGCTCAAACACCATGCTTGGAGAACCACTGCTCTTCAGAGCTGCCAGACAGGGCCATTTAAGTCTGCAGAAGTTGTCTGCTGCCTTTTGTTTAGCTATGTCCTGCCCACAGAGGTGGAGTCTAGAGGCAGTAGGACTTGTTGAGCTGCAGTGGGCTCTGCCCAGTTCGAGCATCCAGGCTGCTTTATTTATGTACTCAAGCATCAGCAATGGTGGACACCCCTCCCCCAGTCAGGCTGCCACCTCGCAGTTTGATCTCAGACTACTGCACAAGAAGTGAGCAAGGCTCTGCGGGTCTGGGACTCGCCAAGCCAGGCACAGGAATCTCCTTGTCTGCTGGTTGCTAAGACCTTGGGAAAAGTGCAGTATTGGGGTGGGAGTGTCCCGTTTTTCCAGGTAGTCTGCCATGGCTTCCTTTGGGTAGGAAAGGGATATCCCCCAACCCCTTTCACTTCCTGGGAGACGTGACGCCCTGCCCTGCTTCAGCTCACCCTCTGTGGGCTGTACCCTCTGTCCAACCAGTCCCAATGAGATGAACCAGGTACCTCAGTTGGAAATGCAGAAATCACCCATCTTCTGCTTTGATCACGCTGGGAGCTGCAGCCTGGAGCTGTTCCTATTTGGCCATCTTGGAACACCTCCCCACCCCGAGTTAGAGGAGACATTTTAATACAAGGATGCAATACACAGTAATCACATCAGGGTAAATAAGCTATCTACAGCATAAAGCATTTTTTCCTTTGTGTTGCAAACAATCCAGTTACACTCTTCTAGTTATTTTAAAATGTATAATTAAACTATTTTTATTATAGTCACTCTCTTGTGCTAGCAAGTAGTAGGTCCAATACATTCTTTCAATTTTTTTTGCACCAATTAAGCATCCCCACTTCCCCACACCACTGAATTACCCTTTCCAACCTATGGTAAACATCCTTCTACTCTGTCCCCATGAGTTCAACTGCTTCAATTTTTAGTTCCCATAAATAAGCCTTAACATGTGAAGTTTGTGTTTCTGTGCTTGGCTTATTTCACTTAGCATAATAGCTTCCAATTCCATTCATGTTGTTGCAAATGACAGAATTTCAATCTTTTTTATGGCTAAATAATACTCAATTGTGTATATATACATTTTCTTTATCCATTCATTTGTTGATGAACACTTCAATTGCTTCCAAGTATCAGCTATTGTTGATAGTGGTGCAATAAATATGAAAGTGCAGATATCTCTTAGATATAATGCTTTCCTTTCTTTTGGTTATATATCCAGCAGTAGCATTGCTGGATCATATGGCAACACTATTTTTATTTTTTGAGGAACCTCCAAACTGTTCTCCATGGTGGTTGTACTAACTTACAACCCCACCCAAAATGTACAAGTGTTCCCTTTTCTCTGCGTCTTTGCCAACATTTGTTATTGTCTGTGTTTTGGATAAAAGCCATTTTAACTGGGTGACATGATATTTCATTGTAGTTTTGATTTGTATTTCTCTGATGATCAGGGATGTTGAGCACCTTTTCATAAGCTTGTTTGCCACTTGTATGTATTCTTTTGAGAAATGTCTTTTTAATTTTTTTGCTCTTTCTTTAATTGGATTATAAGATTTTTCCCTAAAGAGTTGTTTGAGTCCCTTACACATTCTGGTTCTCAAACCCTTGTCAGAAAGGTAGTTTGCAAAGATTTTCTCCCACTCTGTGGGTCGTTTCTTCACTTTGTTGATTGTATTCTTTGTTGTGCAGAGCTTTCTAACTTCATGTGATCCCATTTGTCCATTTTTGCTTTGGTTACCTGTGTTTGTGTAGTAAGAAATTTTTGCCCAGGCCAAAGTCCTGGAGATTTTCCCCAATGTTTTCTTGTGATAGAAACTTTAACTTTACCATTTTACTTTAACATGTTTGATTCAAGTCTTTAATCCATTTTGATTTTACTTTTGTATATGGTGAGAGAAAGGGGTCTGGTTTCATGCTTTTGCATATGGATATCCAGTTTTCCCAGCACCATTTATTGAAGAGATGTTCCATTCCCCAATTTATGTTATTGGCACCTTTGTCAAAAATGACTTCACTGTAGATATGGATTTGTTTCCAGGTTTTGCATTCTTTTCCACCGGTCTATGTGTCTTTTCCTGCCATTACTGTGCTGTTTTGGTTAATATAGATTTTGCATAATTTGTAGTCAGGTATTATGATTCCTTCAGTTTTGTTGTTTTTCGTTAGGACAGCTTTGGCTATTTTAGGTATTTTGTGGTACCATATAAATTTTAGGATTGTGTTTTCTATTTCTCTAAAGAGTGCCATTAGTGTTTTGATCGAGATTGCATTGAACCTGTAGATTGCTTTTTGTAGTATATATTAATATTGATTTTTCCAGTACATGAGCATGGAATATCTTTCCAGCTTATTGTTGTCTTCTTGAATTTATTGCATCAATGTTTTATAGTTTTCAATGTCAAGATATTTTATTTCTTTGGTTAAATTAATTTCTAGGCATTTTCTTTAATTTTAGCTATTGTAAATGGAATTGCTTTCTTGATTCTTATTTCAGATGGTTTCCTCTTGGCATTAAGAAATTCTACTGATTTTTGCATGTTCACTTTTTATCCTGCAACTTTACTGAATTTGTTTATCAGTTCTTATAGTTTTTGTGGAATCTTTGGAATTTTCCAAATATAAAATCATATCATCTGCACACAAGAATAATTTGTCTTCTGCCTTTCTGATTTGTATGCCCTTTATTTCCTTCTCTTGTCTGATTGCTTTAGTTAGGTCTTCCCATACTACGTGAAATAACAGTGGTGACAATGGGCATCCTTATTGTGGTCCAGATCTTAGGCAAAGGCTTTAAATTTTTCCTGTTCAGTATAATACTAGCTGTGGGTCTGTCATATATGGCTTTTATTAGTCGGAGGTATATTCTATCAATACCCAGTTTTTAAATAATTTTTAACATAAAGTTATGTTGAATTTTTATTAAATGCATTTTTAGCATCAATTGAAATGATCAAGAATGATCATTTCAATACAAGAACGAATAATTTTTGCCATTCATTTTGTTGATACGATGCATCAAATTGATTAATTTGCATGTTCTGAACCATCCTTGAATCTCTGGGATAAATCCCAGATGGTTAAGATGAAAGATCTTTTTAATCTATTGTTGAATTCTTTCTGCTACAATTTTCTAGAGAATTTTTGCATCAATACTTATCAGTGATACTGGCCTGTAGTTTTCTTTGTTTGGTGTCTCTGTCTGATTTTGGTTTATACTGGCCTCATGGAATAAGTTTGGAAGTACTCCCTCATCTTCTAGTTTTTGAAATAGTTTGAGTAGGAGTGGTATTTGTTCTTCTTTAAATGTCTGATAAAATTTAGCTGTGAATGTATCAGGTCCCAGACCTTTCTTAGCTTAGACAATTTCAACTACAGCTTCAATCTCATTACCTGTTTTTGGTCTGTTCATGTTTCAAATTTCCTTGTGGTTCATTGCTAGTAGGCTGTATGTTTCTAGCAATTTATCCTTTTCATTTAGATTTTCTAATTTATTGGCATATAGTTGCCCATAGTAGCCACTAATGATCCTTTGAATTTCTGTAGTATCATTTATAACATCTCCTTTTTCATCTCTGATTTTATTTATTTGGATCTCTTTTTTGTTTTTCTTAGTCTGACTAAAGGTTTGTCAGTTTTGTTTAACTTTTCAAAAAACCAATTTTTGTGTAGTTGATCCTTTGTATTATTTTCTTTTTCTCAAATTCATTTATTTCTTTTGTTATCTGTAGTATATCTTCTACTAATTTGGGGTTTTGTTTGCTCTTGCTCTTCTAGTTCTTTAAGATGCATCATTAGATTGCTTATTTAAAGCTTACCTTGTCTTTTGAGATAGGTATTTATATCAATCAACTTCCTTCTTCATACTGGTTTTGCTGTATCCCATAGGTTTTGGTATAGTGGGTATTCACTTCTTTCAAGAAATGTTTTAATTTTCTTCTTAATTTCTTTGTTGATTCACTGGTCATTGAGGAGGATACATTTAATTTTCATGCGTTTGTATAGTTTCCAAAATTATTCTTATTAATTTCTAGTTATATTCCATTATGTTCAGAGAAGATGCTTGATATTATTTCAATTTTTTGAGTGTTTTAAGACTTGTTTGTTACCTAAAATATGATGTTTCTTTGAGAATGATACTTATGCCAAGGAAAAAATATTTATTCTAGAGACATTGGATGAAATGTTCTGTAATTATTTATTAGATTTATGTGATCTATAGTGCAGATTAAGTTTGATTATTCTTTGTTGATTTCCTGTCTGGAACATCTGTCTAATACTGAAAAAGGGGTACAGGAGTCTCCAGCTCTAATTGTATTGGGGTCTATCTCTTTTTTAGCTCTAATGATAATTGCTTTATATATCTGAGTGCTCCAGTGTTGGACTCATATATTTACAATTGTTATATACTCTTGCTCAGTGGACCCCTTTGTCATTGTGTATTGACCTTCTACTATCTTCTTATTGTTTTGGTCTTGAAATCTACTTTGTCTGATAAAAGTATAGCTACTGGTGGCTTATTTATGTTTCCAATGGCATGCAATATAATTTTCCATCCCTTTATTTTTATTGTATATGTTTCTTTATAGACGAAATGTGATTCTTGCAGGTAACAAATCACTAGGTCCAGATTTTTTATTTTTTTATTTTTTTAATTTTATTATTATTATACTTTAAGTTTCAGGGTACATGTGCACAATGTGCAGGTTAGTTACATATGTATACATGTGCCATGCTGGTGTGCTGCACCCATTAACTCGTCATTTAGCATTAGGTATATCTCCTAATGTTATCCCTCCCCCCTCCCCCCACCCCACAACAGTCCCCAGAGTGTGATGTTCCCCTTCCTGTGTCCATGTGATCTCATTGTTCAATTCCCACCTATGAGTGAGAACATGTGGTGTTTGGATTTTTGTCCTCGTGATAGTTTACTGAGAACGATGATTTCCAATTTCATCCATGTCCCTACAAAGGACATGAACTCATCATTTTTTATGGCTGCATAGTATTCCATGGTGTATATGTGCCACATTTTCTTAATCCAGTCTATTGTTGTTGGACATTTGGCTTGGTTCCAAGACTTTGCTATTGTGAATAATGCCACAATAAACATATGTGTGCATGTGATTTTATAGCAGCATGATTTATAGTCCTTTGGGTATATACCCAGTAATGGCATGGCTGGGTCAAATGGTATTTCTAGTTCTAGATCCCTGAGGAATTGCCACAATGACTTCCACAAGGGTTGAACTAGTTTACAGTCCCACCAACAGTGTAAAAGTGTTCCTATTTCTCCACATCCTCTCCAGCACCTGTTGTTTCCTGATTTTTAATGATTGCCATTCTAACTGGTGTGAGATAATATCTCACTGTGGTTTTGACTTGCATTTCTCTGATGGCCAGTGATGATGAGCATTTTTTCATGTGTTTTTTGGCTGCATAAATGTCTTTTTTTGAGAAGTGTCTGTTCATGTCCTTCGTCCACTTTTTGATGGGGTTGTTTGCTTTTTTTCTTGTAAATTTATTGGAGTTCTTGTAGATTCTGGATATTAGCCCTTTGTCAGATGAGTAGATTGCAAAAATTTTCTCCCATTTTGTATGCTGCCTGTTCACTCTGATGGTAGTTTCTTTTGCTGTGCAGAAGCTCTTGAGTTTAATTAGATCCCATTTGTCAATTTTTGCTTTTGTTGCCATTGCTTTTGGTGTTTTAGACATGAAGTCCTTGCCCATGCCTATGTCCTGAATGGTATTGCCTAGGTTTTCTTCTAGGGTTTTTATGGTTTTAGGTCTAACATTTAAGTCTTTCATCCATCTTGAATTAATTTTTGAATGAAGTGTAAGGAAGGGATCCAGTTTCAGCTTTCTACATATGGCTGGCCAGTTTTCCCAGCACCATTTGTTAAATACGGAATTCTTTCCCCATTGCTTGTTTTTCTCAGGATTGTCAAACATCAGATAGTTGTAGATATGTGGCATTATTTCTGAGGGCTCTATTCTGTTTCATTGATCTATATGTCTGTTTTGGTACCAGTACCGTGCTGTTTTGGTTACTGTAGCATTGTAGTATAGTTTGAAGTCAGGTAGCATGATGCCTCCAGCTTTGTTCTTTTGGCTTAGGATTGACTTGGTGATGCGTCTCTTTTTTGGTTCCATATGAACTTGAAAGTAGTTTTTTCCAATTCTGTGAAGAAAGTCATTGGTAGCTTGATGGGGATGGCATTGAATCTATAAATTACCTTGGGCAATATGGCCATTTTCATGATATTGATTCTTCCTACCCATGATCATGGAATGTTCTACCATTTTTTTGTATCCTCTTTTATTTCATTGAGCAGTGGTTTGTAGCTCTCCTTGAAGAGGTCCTTCACATCCCTTGTAAGTTGGATTCCTAGGTATTTTATTCTCTTTGAAGCAATTGTGAATGGGAGTTCACTCATGATTTGGCTGTCTGTTTGTCTGTTATTGGTGTATAAGAATGTGATTTTTGTACATTGATTTTGTATCCTGAGACTTTGCTGAAGTTGCTTATCAGCTTAAGGAGATTTTGGGCTGAGACAATGGGGTTTTCTAGATATACAATCATGTCATCTGCAAACAGGGACAATTTGACTTCCTCTTTTCCTAATTGAATACCCTTTATTTCCTTCGCCTGCCTAATTGCCCTGGCCAGAACTTCCAACACTATGTTGAATAGGAGTGGTGAGAGAGGGCATCACTGTCTTGTGCCCGTTTTCAAAGGGAATGTTTCCAGTTTTTGCCCATTCAGTATGATACTGGCTGTGGATTTGTCATAGATAGCACTTATTATTTTGAGATACGTCCTGTCAATACCTAATTTATTGAGAGTTTTTAGCATGAAGCATTGTTGAATTTTGTCAAAGGCCATTTCTGCATCTATTGAGATAATCATGTGGTTTTTTTCTTTGGTTCTGTTTATATGCTGGATTACATTTATTGATTTGCATATATTGAATCAGCCTTGCATCCCAGGGATGAAGCCCACTTGATCATGGTGGATAAGTTTTTTGATGTGCTGCTGGACTCGGTTTGCCAGTATTTTATTGAGGAAGTTTGCATCGATGTTCATCAAGGATATTGGTCTAAAATTTTCTTTTTTGGTTGTGTCTCTGCCCGGCTTTGGTATCAGGATGATGCTGGCCTCATAAAATGAGTTAGGGAGGATTCCCTCTTTTTCTATTGATTGGAATAGTTTCAGAAGGAATAGTACCAGTTCCTCCTTGTGCCTCTGGTAGAATTCCGCTGTGAATTCATCTGGTCGTGGACTCTTTTTGGTTGGTAAGGTATTGATTATTGCCACAATTTCAGAGCCTGTTATTGGTCTATGCAGAGATTCAACTTCTTCCTGGTTTAGTCTTGGGAGGGTGTATGTGTTGAGGAATTTATCCATTTCTTCTAGATTTTCTAGTTTATTTGCGTAGAGGTGTTTATAGTATTCTCTGATGGTAGTTTGTATTTCTGTGGGATCGATGGTGATATCCCCTTTATCATTTTTTATTGCGTCTATTTGATTCTTCTCTCTTTTCTTCTTTATTAGTCTTGCTAGTGGTCTATCAATTTTGTTGATCCTTTCAAAAACCAGCTCCTAGATTCATTAATTTTTTGAAGGGTTTTTTGTCTCTCTTTCCTTCAGTTCTGCTGTGATTTTAGTTATTTCTTGCCTTCTGCTAGCTTTTGAATGTGTTTGCTGTTGCTTCTCTAGTTCTTTTAATTGTGATGTTCGGGTGTCAATTTTGGATCTTTCCTGCTTTCTCTTGTGGGCATTTAGTGCTATAAATTTCCTTCTACACACTGCTTTGAATATGCCCAGAGATTCTGGTATGTTGTGTCTTTGTTCTCATTGGCTTCAAAGAACATCTTTACTTCTGACTTCATTTCGTTATGTACCCAGTAGTCATTCAGGAGC
Source organism: Homo sapiens (assembly GCF_000001405.40). NCBI lineage: Eukaryota > Metazoa > Chordata > Mammalia > Primates > Hominidae > Homo > Homo sapiens. The sequence goes on along the minus strand of NC_000023.11, from coordinate 56,186,761 downwards.
AGGTTGTTCAGTTTCCATGTAGTTGAGTGGTTTTGAATGAGTTTCTTAATCCTGAGTTCTAGTTTGATTGCACTGTGGTCTGAGAGACAGTTTGTTATAATTTCTGATCTTTTACATTTGCTGAGGAGAGCTTTACTTCCAACTATGTGGTCAATTTTGGAATAGGTGTGGTGTGGTGCTGAAAAGAATGTATAATCTGCTGATTTGGGGTGGAGAGTTCTGTAGATGTCTATTAGGTCCGCTTGGTGCAGAGCTGAGTTCAATTCCTGGGTATACTTGTTAACTTTCTGTCTCGTTGATCTGTCTAACGTTGACAGTGGCGTGTTAAACTCTCCCATTATTATTGTGTGGGAGTCTAAGTCTCTTTGTAGGTCACTCAGGACTTGCTTTATGAATCTAGGTCCTCCTGTATTGAGTGCATATATATTTAGGATAGTTAGCTGTTCTTGTTGAATTGATCCCTTTACCATTATGTAATGGCCTTCTTTGTCTCTTTTGATCTTTGTTGGTTTAAAGTCTGTTTTATCAGAGACTAGGATTGCAACCCCTGCCTTTTTCTGTTTTCCATTTGCTTGGTAGATCTTCCTCCATCCTTTTATTTTGAGCCTATGTGTGTCTCTGCACATGAGATGGGTTTCCTGAATACAGCATACTGATGGGTCTTGACTCTTTTTCCAATTTGCCAGTCTGTGTCTTTTAATTGGAGCATTTAGTGCATTTACATTTAAAGTTAATATTTTTATGTGTGAATTTGATCCTTGTCATTATGATGTTAGCTGGTTTTTTTGCTCGTTAGTTGATGCAGTTACTTCCTAGCCTCAATGGTCTTTACAATTTGGCATGTTTTTGCAGTGGCTGGTAGCAGTTATTCCTTTCCATGTTTAGTGCTTCCTTCAGGATCTCTTTTAGGGCAGGCCTGGTGGTGACAAAATCTCTCAGCATTTGCTTTTCTGTAAAGGATTTTATTTCTCCTTCACTTATGAAGCTTAGTTTGGCTGGATATGAAATTCTGGGTTGAAAATTCTTTTCTTTAAGAATGTTGAATATTGGCCCCCACTCTCTTCTGGCTTGTAGAGTTTCTGCCGAGAGATTCGCTATTAGTCTGATGGGCTTCCCTTTGTAGGTAACTCGACCTTTCTCTCTGGCTGCTCTTAACATTTTTTCCTTCATTTCAACTTTGGAGAATCTGACAATTATGTGTCTTGGAGTTGCTCTTCTCGAGGAGTATCTTTGTGGTGTTCTCTGTATTTCCTGAATCTGAATGTTGGCCTGCCTTGCTAGATTGGGGAAGTTCTCCTGGATAATATCCTGCAGAGTGTTTTCCAACTTGGTCCCATTCTCCCCGTCACTTTCAGGTACACCAATCAGATGTAGATTTGGTCTTTTCACATTGTCCCATATTTCTTGGAGGCTTTGCACATTTCTTTTTATTCTTTTTTCTCTAAACTTCCCTTTTCACTTCATTTCATTCATTTCATCTTCTATCACTGACACCCTTTCTTCCAGTTGATCTTGTTGGCTCCTGAGGTTTCTGCATTCTTCACGTAGTTCTCCAGTCTTGGCTTTCAGCTCCATCCGCTGCTTTAACCACTTCTCCGTCTTGATTTTTCTAGTTATACATTCGTCTAAATTTTTTTCAAAGTTTTTAACTTCTTTGCCTTTGGTTTGAATTTCCTCCTGTAGCTCAGAGTAGTTTGATTGTCTGAAGCCTTCTTCTCTGACCTCGTCAAAATCATTCTCCGTCCAGCTTTTTTCCATTGCTGGTAAGGAACTGCGTTCCTTTGGAGGAGGAGAGGCACTCTGCTTTTTAGAGTTTCCAGTTTTTCTTCTCTGTTTTTTCCCCATCTTTGTGGTTTTATCTAATTTGGTCTTTGATGATGGTGATGTACAGATGGGTTTTTGGTGTGGATGTCCTTTCTGTTTGTTAGTTTTCCTTCTAACAGACAGGACCCTCAGCTGCAGGTCTGTTGGAGTTTGCTGGAGGTCCACCCTAGACCCTGTTTGCCTGTGTATCAGCAGCAGTGGCTGCAGAACAGCGGAATTTCATGAACCACGAATGCTGCTGTCTGATCGTTCCTCTGGAAATTTTGTCTCAGAGGAGTACCCGGCCGTGTGAGGTGTCAGTCTGCCGCTACTCGGGGGTGCCTCCCAGTTAGGCTGCTCAGGAGTTCGGGGTCAGGGACGCACTTGAGGAGGCAGTCTGCCCATTCTCTGATCTCCAGCTGCGTGTTGGGAGAACCACTGCTCTCTTCAAAGTTGTCAGAAAGGGACATTTCAGTCTGCCAAGGTTACTGCTGTCTTTTTGTTTGTCTGTGCCTTGCCCCCAGAGGTGGAGCCTACAGAGGCAGGCAGGCCTCCTTGAGCTGTGGTGGGCTCCACCCAGTTCGAGCTTCCTGGCTGCTTTGTTTACCTAAGCAAGCCCGGGCAATGGCGGGTGCCTTTCCCCCAGGCTCACTCCCGCCTTGCAGTTTGATCTCAGACTGCTGTGCTAGCAATCAGTGAGACTCAGTGGGCATAGGACTCTCTGAGCCAGGTGCAGGATATAATCTCCTGGTGCGCCATTTTTTAAGCCCGTCGGAAATGCGCAGTGTTAGGGTGGGAGTGACCCGATTTTCCAGGTGCCGTCTGTCACCCCTTTCTTTGACTAGGAAAGGGAACTCCCTGACACCTTGTGCTTCTCATGTGAGGCAATGCCTCACTCTGCTTCGACTCGTGCATGGTGCACTGCACCCACTGTCCTGTGCCAACTGTCTGGCACTCCCTAGTGAGATGATCCTGGTACCTCAGATGGAAATGCAGAAATCACCCATCTTCTGCATCGCTCATGGTGGGAGCTGTAGACCAGAGCTGTTCCTATTCGGCCATCTTGGCTGCCACCTCCGGGTCCTGATTTTTTATCCATTGAGCCGTTTTCTGTGTTTTGATTAGAGAGTTTCGTTCACTTACAATAAATATTATTATTGATAAGTAAATAGTTAGCCTTGCCATTTTGTCATTTGTTCTCTGTTTTGTCATCTTCTCTTCCTTCTTTCCTTTCTTCCTGTCTTCCTTATAGTGAAGGTAGTTTTCTCTGGTGATATGATTTAATTTCATGCTTTTTAGTTTTTGCAAATTTTTTTTACTTGAGGTTACCATGAGGCCTGTAAATACTATATTGTGGGAGGGTTCCAAGATTGCTGAATAGGAACAGCTACACTCTACAGATCCTAGCATGAGTGGCACAGAAGATGGGTGATTTCTGCATTTCCAACTGTGGTACAGGTTTCATCTCACTGGGGCTTTTTGGACAGTGGGTGCAGCCCACGGAGTGTGAGCTGAAGCAGGGCAGGGCACCGCCTCACCAGGGAAGTGAAAGCAGTCAGGGAATTCCCTTTCCTAGCCAAGGGGAGCCGCGATAGACAGTATCTGGAAAATCAGGAAACTCCCACCCTAATACTGCACTTTTCCATCAGTCTTAGTAAATGGGGAACCAGGAGATTATAACCTGTGCCTGGCTTAGAGTGTCCCTTGCCCACGGAGCCTTGCTCACTGCTAGTACAGCAGTCCAAGATCGAACTGCAAGGTGGCAGCAAGACTGGGTTAGGGGCGTCTGCCATTGCTGAGGCTTGAGTAGGTAATGAAAGTGGCACAGAAGCTCAAAAAGGGTGGAGCCCACCGCAGCTCAAGGAGGCTTACTTGCCTCTGTAGACTCCCGCTCTGGGGGCAGGGCATAGCGGAATAAAAGGCAGCAGAAATTCCTTCAGACTTAAACGTCCATGTCTGACAGCTTTGAAGAGAGCAGTGGTTCTCCCAGCATGGAGTTTGAGATCTGAGAATGAACAGACTGCCTCCTCAAGTGGGTCCCTGACCCCTGAATAGCCTAACTGGGAGACACTTCCCAGTATGAGCTGACTGACACCACATACAGCCAGGTGCCACTCTGAGATGAAGCTTCCAGAAGAAGGAACAGGCAGCAACATTTGCTGTTCTGCAATATTTTCTGCTCTGCAGCCTCTGCTGGTAATACCCAGGCAAACAGGGTCTGGAGGGGACCTCCTACAAACTCCAACAGACCTACAGCTGAGAATCCTGACTGTTAGAAGGAAAACTAACAAACAAAAAGGACACCCACACCAAAACCCCATTTCTAGGTCACCATGATCAAAGACCAAAGGTAGATAAAACCACAAAGATGGGGAGAAAACAGAACAGAAAAGCTGCAAACTCCAAAAATCAGAGCACCTCTTCTACTCCAAAGGAACACAGCTCCTCGCCAGCAACAGAACAAAGCTGGATGGAGAATGACTTTGATGAGGTAACAGAAGTGGGCCTCAGAAGATCAGCAATAACAAACTCCTCTGAGCTAAAGGAGGATGTTCAAACCCACGACTAAGAAGCTAAAATCCTTCAAAAAAGATTAGACAAATGGTTAACTAGAATAAACAGTATAGAGAAGACCTTAAATGACCTCATGGAGCTGAAAACCTTGGCACGAGAACTACGTGACGAATGCACAAGCTTCAGTAGCCGATTCGATCAACTGGAAGAAAGGGTATCAGTGATTGAAGATGAAATAATTGAAATGAAGCGAGAAGAGAAGTTTAGAGAAACAAGAGTAAAAAGAAATGAACAAAGCCTCCAACAAATATAGGACTATGTGAAAAGACCAAATCTATGTCTGACTGGTGTACCTGAAAGTGATAGGGAGAATGGAACCAAGTTGGAAAAGACTCTTCAGGATAGTATCCAGGAGAACTTCCTCAACCTAGCAAGGCAGGCCAACATTCAAATTCAGGAAATACAGAGAGCACCACGAAGATACTCCTCAAAAAGAGCAACTGCAAGACAAATAATTGTCAGATTCTCCAAAGTTAAAATGAAGGAAAAAATGTTAAGGGCAGCCAGAGAGAAAGGTCAGGTCAACCACAAAGGGAAGCTAATCAGACTGACTGTGGATCTCTTGGCAGAAACTCTACAAGCCAGAAGGGGGGGGAGCAATATTCAACATTCTTAAAGAAAATAATTTTCAACCCAGAATTTCATATCCAGCCAAACTAATCTTCATAAATGAAGGGGAAATAAAATCCTTTACAGACACGCAAATGCCGAAAGATTTTGTCACCACCAGGCCTGCCTTTCAAGAGCTCCTGAAGGAAGATCTAAACATGGAAAGGAACAACCGGTACCAGCTACTGAAAAACATGCCAAACTGTAAAGACCACTGATGCTAGGAAGAAACTGCAAGAATTAATCAGCAAACTAACCAGCTAACATCATAATGACAGGATCAAATTCACATATAACAATATTAACCGTAAATGTAAATGGGCTAAATACTCCAATTGAAAAACACAGACTGGCAAATTGGATAAAGAGTCAAGACCGATCAGTGTGCTGTATTCAGGAGACCCATCTCAGGTGCAGAGACACACATAGGCTCAAAATAAAGGGATGGAGGAAGATCTACCAAGAAAATGGAAAACAAAAAAAAGCAGGGCTTGCAATCCTAGTGTCTGAAAAAAACAGACTTTAAACCAACAAAGATCAAAAGAGACAAAAAAGGCCATTACATAATGGTAAAGGGATCAATTCAACAAGAAGAGCTAACTATCCTAAATATATATGCACCCAAGACAGAGGCACCAAGATTCATGAAGAAAGTCCTTAGAGACCTACAAAGACACTTAGACTCCCACACAACAATAATGGGAGACTTTAGTACCCCACTGTCAATATTAGACAGATCAATGAGACAGAAGGTTAACAAGGACATTCAGGACTTGAACTCAGCTCTGCACCAAGCAGACCTAACAGACACATACAGAACTCTCCACCCCAAATCAACAGAATATATATTCTTCTCAGCATCACATTGCACTTCTTGCAAAATTGACCACATAGTTGGAAGTAAAGCACTCCTCAGCAAATGTAAAAGAACAGAAACTATAACAAACTATCTCACAGACCACAGTGCAATCAAATTAGAACTCAGGATTAAGAAACTCAGTTGAAACTGCACAACTATATGGAAACTGAACTACTTGCTCCTGAATGACTACTAGGTACATAAGGAAATGAAGGCAGAAAGAAAGACATTCTTTGAAACCAACGAGAACAAAGACACAACATACCACAATCTCGGGGACACATTTAAAGCAGTGCACAGAGGTAAATTTATAGCACTAAAAGCTCACAAGAGAAAGCAGGAAAGATCAAAATTGACAGCCTAACATCACAATTAAAAGAACTAGAGAAGCAAGAGCAAACACATTCAAAAGCTAGCAGAAGGCAAGAAATAACTAAGATCAGGGCAGAACTGAAGGAGATAGAGACACAAAAAAACGCTGAAAAAAATAAACGAATCCAGAGGGTTTTTGGAAAAGATCAATAAAATTGATACACTGCTAAGAAGACTAGAGAGAAGAATCAAACAGATGCAACAAAAAATGATAAAGGGGATAACACAATTGATCCCAAAGAAATACAAACTACCATCAGAGAATGCTATAAACATCTCTACTCAAATAAACAAGAAAATCTGAAAGAAATGGATAAATTCCTGGACATATACACCTTCCGAAGAAGTTGAATTGCTGAATAGACCAATAACAGTTTCTAAAATTGAGGCAATAATTAATAGCCTACCAACCAAAAAAAGTCCAGGATCAGACGGATTCACAGCCGAATTCTACGAGATGTACAAGGAGGGGCTGGTACCATTCTTTCTGAAACTATTCCAATCAATAGAAAAAGAGGGAATCCTCCCTAACTCATTTTATGGGGCCAGCATCATCCTGATACCAAAGCCTGGCAGAGACACAAGAAAAAAAAGAGAATTTTAGAAAAACATCCCTGAGGAACATTGATGCAAAAATCCTCAATAAAATACTGGCAAACTGAATCCAGAAGCACATCAAAAAGCTTATCCACCATGTCAAGTTGGCGTCATCCCTGGGATGCAAGGCTGTTTCAACATACCCAAATCGATGAATGTAATCCATCATATAAACAGAAGCAAAGACAAAAACCACATGATTATCTCAATAGATGCAATAAAGGCCTTTGACAAAATTCAACAACCCTTCATGCTAAAAACTCTCAATAAATTAGATATTGATGGGATGTATCTCAAAATAATAAGAGCTATTTAGGACAAACCTGCAGCCAATATAATACTAAATGGGCAAAAACTGGAAGCATTCCCTTTGAAAACTGTCACAAGACAGGGATGCCCTCTTTCACCACTCCTATTCAACATAGTGTTGGAAGTTCTGGCCAAGGCAATCAGGCAGGAGAAAGAAATAAAGGTATTCAATTAGGAAAAGAAGAATTCAAATTGTCCCTGTTTGCAGATGACATGATTGCATATTTAGAAAAACCCATAGTCTCAGCCTAAAATCTCCTTAAGCTGATAAGCAAATTCAGCAAAGTCTCAGGATACAAAATCAAAGTGCAAAAATCACAAGCATTCCTATACACCAATAACAGACAAACAGAGAGCTAAATCATGAGTGAACTCCAATTCACAATTGCTACTAAGAGTATAAAATACCTAGGAATCCAAATTACAAGGGATGTGAAAGATCTCTTCAAAGAGAACTACATACAACTGCTCAATGAAATAAAAGAGGGCACAAACAAATGGAAGAACATAGAACATTCCACGCTAATGGATAGGAAGAATCAATATTGTGAAAATGGCCATACTGCCCAAGGTAATTTATAGATTCAATGCCATCCCCATCAAGCTACCAAGGACTTTTTTCACAGAATTGAAAAAAACTGCTTTAAAAGTCATATGGAACCAAAAAAGAGCCCACATTGCCAAGGCAATCTTCAACCAAAAGAACAATGCTGGAGGCATCAGGCTAGCTGACTTCAAGCTATAGTACAAGGCGACAGTAACTGAAACAGCATGGTACTGGTACCAAAACAGACATATATACCAATGGAACAGAACAGAGCCCTCAGACTTAATGCCACACATCTACAACCATCTGATCTTTGACAAACCTGACAAAAACAAGAAACGGAGAAAGGATTCCCTATTTAACAAAGGGTGCTGGGAAAACTGGCTAGCCATATGTAGAAAGCTGAAAATGGATCCCTTCCTTACACCTTATACAAAAATTAATTCAAGATGGATTAAAGACTTAAAAGTTAGAACTAAAACTATAAAAACCCTAGAAGAAAACTGAGCCAATTCCATTCAGGGCATAGGCATGGGCAAGGACTTCCTGACTAAAACACCAAAAGCAATGGCAACAAAAGACAAAATTGACAAATGGGATCTAATTAAACTAAAGAGTTTCTGCACAGCAAAACAAACTACCATCAGAGTGAACAGGCAACCTACAGGATGGGAGAAAGTTTTTGCAATCTACCCATGTGACAAAAGGCTAATATCCAGAATCTACAAAGAACTAAACAAACTTACAAGAAAAAATCAAACAACCCCATCAAAAAGTGGGTGAAGGATATCAACAGACACTTCTAAAAAGAAGACATTTATGCAGCCAACAGACACAGAAGAAAATGCTCATCATCACTGGCCATCAGAGAAATGCAAATCGCTACAGCTCCCAGCGTGAGCGAAGCAGAAGAAGAGTGATTTCTGCATTTCCAACTGAGGTACCAGGTTCACCTCACTGCGGAGTGTCAGAAAGTGGGTGCAGGACATTGGGTGCAGTGCACCCAGTGTGAGCCAAAGCAGGGAGAGGCATCACCTCATCTGGGAAGCACAAGGGGTCAGGGAATTCCCTTTCCCAGCCAAAGAAAGGGGTGACAGATGGCACCTGGAAAATAGGGTCACTCGCACCCTAATACTGCACTTTTCCAACAGTCTTAGTAAACAGCACACCAGGAGATTATATCTGGCACCTGGCTTGGAGGGACCTACACCCACGGATCCTTGCTCATTGCTAGCACAGCAGTCTGAGATCAAACTGCAAGGTGGCAGTGAGGCTGGGGGAGGGGTGACCCCATTTCTGAGGCTTGAGTAGGTAAACAAAGTGGCTGGGAAGAAAGAACAGGGTGGAGCCCACCTCAGCTCAAGGAGGCCTGCCTGCCTCTGTAGACTCCACCTCTGGGGGCAGGGAATAGCCAAACAAAAGGCAGCAGAGTCCTCTGCAGACTTAAATGTCCCTGTCTGACAGCTTTGAAGAGATTAGTGGTTCTCCCAGCACACAGCTGGAGATCTCAGAACAGACAGACTGCCTCATCAAGTAGGTCCCTGACCCCCGAGTAGCCTAACTGGGAGGCACACTGAAGTAGGGGCAGATGGACACCTCACATGGCCGGGTACTCCTCTGAGACAAAACTTCCAGAAAAACGATCAGGCAACAACATTTGCTGCTCACCAGTATCCACTGTTCTGCAGCCTCCACTGCTGATACCCAGGCAAACAGGGTCTGAAGTGGACCGCCAGCAAACTCCAACAGACCTGCAGCTGAGGGTCCTGACTGTTAGAAATAAAACTAACAAGCAGAAAGGACATCCACAACAAAACCCCATCTGTAAGTCACCATCATCAAAGACCAAAGGTAGATAAAACCACAAAGATGGTGAACAAACAGAGCAGAAAAACTGGACACTCTAAAAATCAGAGCGCCTCTCCTCCTCCAAAGGAATGCAGCTCCTCACCAGAAATGGAACAAAGCTGGATGGAGAATGATTTTGACGAGTTGAGAGAAGAAGGCTTCAGACGATCAAACTACTCCGAGCTAAAGAGGAAGTTCTAACCAATGGCAAAGAAGTTAAAAACCTTGAAAAAAAATTAGACGAATGGCTACCTAGAATAACCAATGCAGAGAAGTCCTTAAAGGACCTGATGGAGCTGAAAACCAAGGCACGAGAAGTATATGATGAATGCACAAGCCTCGGTAGCTGATTCGATCAACTGGAAGAAAGGGTATCAGTGATGAAAGTTCAAATGAATGAAATGAAGTGAGAAGATAACTTTAGAGAAAAAAGAATAAAAAGAAATGAACAAAGCCTCAAAGAAATATGGGACTATGTGAAAAGACCAAATCTACGTCTGATTGGTGTACTTGAAAGTGACAGGGAGAATGGAACCAAGTTGGAAAACACTCTGCAGGATATTATCCAGGAGAACTTCCCCAATCTAGTAAGGCAGGCAAACATTCAAATTCAGGAAATACAGAGAACACCACAAAGATATTCCTCGAGAAGAGCAACTCCAAAACACATAATTGTCAGATTCACCAAAGTTGAAATGAAGGAAAAAATGTTAAGAGCAGCCAGAGAGAAAGGTCGGGTTACCCACAAAGGGAAGCCCATCAGACAAACAGATGATCTCTCAGCAGAGACTCTACAAGCCAGAAGAGAGTGGGGGCCAATATTCAACATTTTAAAAGAAAAGAATATTCAAACCAGAATTTCATATCCAGCCAAACTAAGCTTCAGAAGTGAAGGAGAAATAAAATGCTTTACAGACAAGCAAATGCTGAAAGATTTTGTCACCACCGGGCCTGCCCTAAAAGAACTCCTGAAGGAAGCACTAAACATGGAAAGGAACAACCGGTACCAGCCACTGCAAAAACATGCCAAATTGTAAAGACCATGGAGGCTAGGAAGAAACTGCATCAGCTAATGAGCAAAATAACCAGCTAACATCATAATGCCAGGATCAAATTCACATCACATATGAAAATATTAACCTTAAATGTAAATGGGCTAAATGCTCCAATTAAAAGACACCAAGTGGCAAAATGGATAAAGAGTCAAGACCCATCAGTGTGCTGTACTCAGGAGACACATCTCACATGCAGAGACACACTTAGGCTCAAAATAAAGGATGGAGGAAGATTTGCCAAGCAAATGGAAAACAAAAAAAGGCAGGGGTTGCAATCCCAGTCTCTGATAAAACAAACTTTAAACCAACAAAGATCAAAAGAGACAAAGAAGGCCATTACATAATGGTAAAGGGATCAATTCAATAAGAAAAGCTAACTATCCTAAATATATATGCACCCAATACAGGAGCACCCAGATTCATAAAGCAACTCCTTAGAGACCTACAAAGAGACCTAGACTCCCACGCGATAATAATGGGAGACTTTTACACCCCACTGTCAATATCTGACAGATCAATGAGACAGAAAGTTAATAAGGATATTAAGGAATTGAACTCTGCTCTGCACCAAATGGACCTAATAGACATCTACAGAACTCTCCACCCCAAAATCAACAGAATATATATTCTTCTCAGTACCACACTGTACTTATTCCAAAATTCACCACATAGTTGGAAGTAAAGCACTCCTCAGCAAATGTAAAAGAATGGAAATTATAACAAACTGTCTCTCAGACCACAGTGCAATCAAACTAGAACTCAGAACTAAGAAACTCACTCAAAGCCACTCAACTACATGGAAACTGAGCAACCTGCTCATGAATGACTACTCGGTACATAACGAAAAGAAGGCAGAAATAAAGATGTTCTTTGAAACCAACAAGAACAAAGACACAACACACCAGAATCTCTGGGACACATTCAAAGCAGTGTGTAGAGGGAAATTTATAGCACTAAATGCCCACAAGAGAAAGCAGGAAAGATCTAAAATTGACACCCTAACATCACAGTTAAAAGAACCAGAGAAGCCACAGCAAACACATTCAAAAGCTAGCAGAAGGCAAGAAATAACTAAGATCAGAGCAGAACTGAAGGAAATAGAGACAAAAAAAACCCTTCAAAAAATCAATGAATCCAGGAGCTGATTTTTTGAAGGGATCACCAAAATTGATAGACTGCTGACAAGACTAATAAAGAAGAAAAGAGAGAAGAACCAAATAGACGCAATAAAAAATGACAAACAGGATATCACCACTGATCCCACAGAAATACAGACTACCATCAGAGAATGGTATAAACACATCTATGCAAATAAACTAGAAAATCCAGAAGAAATGGATAAATTCCTGGACACATACACCATCCCAAGACTAAACCAGGAAGAAGTTGAATCTCTGAATAGACCAATAACAGGATCTGAAATTGAGGCAATAATTAATAGCCTAGCAACCAAAAAAAGGCCAAGACCAGATAGATTCACAGCCGAAATCTACCACAGGTACAAGGAGGAGCAGTTACCATTCCTTCTGAAACTATTCCAATCAATAGAAAAAGAGGGAATCCTCCTTAACTCATTTTATGAGGCCAGCATCATCCTGATACCAAAGCCTGGCAGAGACACAACAAAAAAAGAGAATTTTAGACGAATATCCTTGATGAACATCGATGCAAAAATCCTAAATAAAATACTGGCAAACCTAATCCAGCAGCACATCAAAAAGCTTATCAACCATGATCAAGTGGGCTTCATCCCTGGGATGCAAGGCTGGTTCAACATACGAAAATTAATAAACGTAATCCAACATACAAACAGAACCAAAGACAAAAACCACCTGATTATCTCAATAAATGCAGAAAAGGCCTTTGACAAAATTCAACAATGCTTCATGCTAAAAACTCTCAATAATTTAGGTATTGATGGGACGTATCTCCAAATAAAAAGAGCTATCTATGACAAACCCACAGCCAATATCCTACTGAATGGGCAAAAACTGGAAGCATTCCTTTTGAAAACTCACACAAGACAGGGATGCCCTCTCTCACCACTCCTATTAAATACAGAGTTGGAAGTTCTGGCCAGGCCAATCAGGAAGGAGAAGGAAATAAAGGTTATTCAATCAGGAAAAGAGGAAGGCAAATTGTCCCTGTTTGCAGATGACATGATTGTATATCTAGAAAACCCCATCGTCTCAGCCCAAAATCTCCTTAAGATGATAGGCAACTTCAGCAAAGTCTCAGGATACAAAATCAATGTGCAAAAATCACAAGCATTCTCATATATCAATAACAGACAGAGAGCCAAATCACGAGTGAACTCCCATTCAGGATTGCTTCAAAGAGAATAAAATACCTAGGAATCCAACTTACAAGGGATGTGAAGGACCTCTTCAAGGAGAACTACAAACCACTGCTCAATGAAATAAAAGAGGATACAAACAAATGGAAGAACATTCCATGCTCATGGGTAGGAAGAATCAATATCATTAAAATGGCCATAATGCCCAAGGTAATTTATAGATTCAATGCTATCCCCATCAAGCTACCAATGACTTTCTTCACAGAATTGGAAAAAACTACTTTAAAGTTCATATGGAACCAAAAAAGAGCCCGCATTGCCTAGTGAATCTTGAGCCAAAAGAACAAAGCTGGAGGCATCACGCTACCTGACTTCAAACTATACTACAAGGCTACAGTAACCAAAACAGTATGGTACTGGTACCAAAACAGAGATATAGACAAATGGAACAGAACAGAGCCTTCAGAAATAATGCTGCTTATCTACCACTATCTGATCTTTGAGAAACTGGCAAAAACAAGAAATGGGGAAACAATTCCCTATTTAACAAAAGGTGCTGGGAAAACTGGCTAGCCATATGTAGAAAGCTGAAACTGGATCCCTTCCTTACAACTTATACAAAAATTAATTCAAGATGGATTAAAGACTTAAATGTTAGACCCAAAACCATAAAAACCCTACAAGAAAACCTAGGCCATATCATTCCGGATGTAGGCATGGGCAAGGACTTCATGTCTAAAACACCAAAAGCAATGGCAACAAAAGACAAAATTGACAAATGGGATCTAATTAAACTCAAGAGCTTCTACACAGCAAAAAAAACTACCATCAGAGTGAACAGGCAACCTACAGAATGGGAGAAAATTTTTGCAATGTTCTCATCTGACAAAGGGTTAATATCCAGAATCTACAAAGAACTCAAACAAATTTATAAGAAAACCACCCCATCAAAAACCAGGCAAAGGACATGGACAGACACTTCTCAAAAGAAGACATTTATGCAGCCAAAAGACACATGAAAAAATGCTCGTCATCACTGGCTATCAGAGAAATGCAAATCAAAACCACAGTGAGATACCATCTCACACCAGTTACAATGGCGATTATGAAAAAGTCAGGAAACAACAGGTGCTGGAGAAGATGTGGAGAAATAGGAACACTTTTACACTGTTGGCGGGACTGGAAACTAGTTCTACCATTGTGGAAGTCAGTGTGGCGATTCCTCAGGGATCTAGAACTAGAAATTCTATTTGACCCAGCTATCCCATTACTGGGTATATACCGAAAGGCTTATAAATCATGCTGCTATAAAGACACATGCACACATATGTTTATTGGGGCACTATTAACAATATCAAAGACCTGGAACCAACCCAAATGTCTAACAATGATAGACTGGATTAAGAAAATGTGGCACAAATACACCAAGGAATACTATGCAGCCATAAAAAATGTGAGTTCATGTCCTTTGTAGGGACATGGATGAAGCTGGAAACCATCATTCTCAGTAAACTATCGCAAGGACAAAAAACCAAACAGTGCATGTTCTCACTCAAAGGTGGGAATTGAACAATAAGAACACATGGACACAGGAAGGGGAACATCACATACCGGGGCCTGTTGTGGGGTGTGGGAAAGGAGAGGGATAGCATTAGGAGATATACCTAATGTTAAATGACATGTTAATGGGTGCAGCACACCAATATGGCACATGTATACATTTGTAACTAACCTGCATGTTGTACACCTGTACCCTAAAACTTAAAGTATAAAAAAAAAAAGAAATGCAAATCAAAACCAAAACAAGATATCATCTCACACCAGTTAGAATGGCAATCATTAAAAAGTCAGGAAACAACAGGTGCTAGAGAGGATGTGGAGAAATAGGAATGCTTTTACACTGTTGGTGGGACTGTAAACTAGTTCAACCATTGTGGACGATAGTGTGGCGATTCCTCAAGGATCTAGAACTAGAAATACCATTTGTCCCAGCCATTCCATTACTGTGTATATACCCAAAGGATTATACATCATGCTGCTATAAAGACACATGCACACGTATGTTTATTGCAGCACTATTCACAATAGCAAGGACTTGTAGCCAACCCAAATGTCCATCAATGATAGACTGGATTAAGAAAATGTGGCACATATACAGCACGGAATACTATGCAGCCATAAAAAAGGATGAGTTCATGTCCTTTGTAGGGTTATGGATGAAGCTGGAAACCATCATTCTGAGCAAACCATCACAAGGATAAAAATCCAAACACCGCATGTTCTCACTCATAGGTGGGAATTTAACAATGAGAACACTTGGACACAGGGTGGGGAACATCACACACCGGGGCCTGTTGTGGGGTTCAGGGAGGGGGAGGGATAACATTAGGAGAAATACCCAATGTAAATGACGAGTTAATGGGTGCAGCACACCAACATGGCACATGTTTACATATGTAACAAACCTGCACGTTGTGCACATGTACCCTAGAACTTAAAGTATAATAAAAGAATACTATACTATAACCTATTATCTAAAGCTAATAACTACTTAACACTGTTTTCATAAAAAGAAAATAATCAAAAATAAAACTAATAAGAACTCTATACTTCATCCCCTTGGTTTTAAACTTTTTGTTGTTTCTATTTATATCTTTTTGTACTGTCTATGTCTTGAAAAGTTATTGTAGTTATTAGTTTTTGATGGATTCTTTGTTTAGTCTTTCTACTAAAGATATAGTGGTTTAGACACCACAGTTACAGGACTATAATATTCTGTTTTTCTACAGACTTACTATTCTCAGTGAGTTTTGTACCTTCAGATCATTTCTTAATGCTCATTAACATCCTTTTCTTTCTGACTGAAGAATGAACTCTCTTGTCCTTTAAGGTTTCCGCTGAAAAGTCTGCTGCCAGATATATTGGTGCTCCAGTGCCTGTTATTTGTTTCTTTTCTCCTACTGCTTTTAGGATGCTTTCTTCATCTCTGACCTTTGAGAGTTTCCGATTAAATGCCTTGAGATAGGATTATTTGGGTTAAATTTGCTTGGTGTTCTATAGCCTATTTGTACTTGTATACTGATATCTTTTTCTAGTTTAGGGAAGTTCTCTGTTATTTTTCCTTTGAATAAACTTTCTACCCCTATCTCTCTACTTCTTCTTTAAGATCAATATTGATTTGCCCTTTTGAAGCTATTTTCTAGATCCTGTGTGTGTTACTTCATTGTTTTTAATTCTGTTTCCTTTAGGCTCTTCTAACCATATATTTTTAAATGTCCTGTCTGTATGCTCACTAATTATTTCTTCTGCTTGACCAATTCTGCTATAAAAAGACTGATGACTTTCTCACTAGGCTTCATGTTTTAGCTCCAGAACTTCTGCTTGATTCTTTTAAATTATTTCAATCTCTTTGTTACATTTGTCTGACAGAATTCTGAATTGTTTCTTTGTGTTACCTTGAACTTTTTTGAGTTTTGTCAAAGTAACTATTTTCAATTCTCTTTCTGAAAGGTCACATTTCTGTTTCTCCAGCATTGGTCCCTGGTTCCTTATTTAGTTCATTTGGTGAGGTCATGTTTTCCTGGATGGTCTTGATGCTTGTGGATATTTGTCAGTTCTGGTCATTGAAGAGTTAGGTATTTATTGTAATCTTCATATTTTGTGTTTGTTTATACCCTTCCTGCTTGGGAAAGCTTTCCAGGTATTTGAATGGACTTGGTTGTTGTGATCTAAGTTATGTTTGCATTAGTGGGCACCCCAAGTCCACTAATGCTGTGGTTTTTCTAGACTAATAGATGTACCATCTTGATGTTTTTGAATAAGATACAGAAAAATTCTATTGATTACCAGGCAGAGACTCTTGTGTACTTCCCTTACTTTCTCCCAAGCAAAGTCTCTCTCTTTGTTCTGATCCACCTGCAACTGAGGGTGGGGTGACACAAGCATCCCAGTGGTCACCACCACTGAGACTGTGCTCGTCAGACCTTAAGTCAGTACAACACTGGGTCTAAACCAAGGCCCACTTGAGCCAGTACTTAGCTACTACCTATGTTCACAAAAGGCCCTGGGGCATTACAATCAGAACATGGCAAAACCAGCCGTGCTTGTGTCCTTCCTTTCATGGTAGCAAGTTCCCCTAGGCCCCTGGTGGGTCCAGAGATGCCATGCAGGAGCCAGGGACTGGAGTCAAAAAAACTTAGAAGTCCACCTCATGTTCTATTATACTGCAGCTGAGCTGGCACTCATAACACAAGACACAGTGCTTCCCACTCTTCTCTTTCCTTTCTACAGCCTTAGGAGCCTAACTCCATGGCTACCACCATCACAGGTCCACAGAGAGTACTGCCAAACTACTGCTTATGTTCTCTTAAGGCTCTTCAGTCAGCTTATGACTGTGCTGAGACACACCTTTCAGGGCAGTGGGCTCCACTCTGGCCCAAGGCAGGTCCAGAAATGCCATGCAAGAGCATTTCTGGACTTTCACTGGAATCAAGGACCCCAAGAGCAAACTTGCCGCTCTATCCTCCTGTGGCCAAGCTGGTACCTAGGGTGCAAAACAAAGTCCCCTTTACTTTTCCCTCCACCTTTATCAAGCAAAAAGAGTGTCTTCCTGTAGCCACCGCGGTTGGGAATGTGCTGAGTCTCATCTGAAACCGGTAAATCTGAGTCTTACCCAAGGTCTATGGGTTACTACCTGGGTATTACCTCTGATTATTCATGGATCAAGGGCTCTTTAGTCACCAGGAGATGGATCCTGCCAGGACCAGGTCATTCCCTTTAAGGCAGCAGTTTCCCTTCTGGCACAGAGTGCGGCTACAAATGTCATCCAGAAGCTAGGGCCTTGAAAGGGGGCCTCATGTCTCTGACTGCTATGGAAGTCAGTTTTTATGCCATTATCATACTATTTTGTTACTAGAGCTTTGCAATACAGCTTGAAATCAGGAAATATGTTGTCTTCAGTTTATTCTTGCTCAAAATTGCTTTGGCTATTCAGGGTCTTTTGTGCTACCTTACTAATTTGGGCATATATACACCATGGAATAGTGTGCAGCCATAAAAAAGGATGAGTTCATGTCCTTTGTAGGGACATGGATGAAGCTGGAAACCATCATTCTCAGCAAACTATCGCAAGAACAGAAAACCAAACACTGCATGTTCTCACTCATAGGTGGGAATTGAACAATGAGAACACTTGGACACAAGACAGGGAACATCACACATCGGGGACTGTCATGGGGTCGGGGAGGGGGGAGGGATAGCATTAGGAGATATACCTAATGTAAATGATGAGTTCATGGGTGCAGCACACCAACATGGCACATGTATACATAGGTAACAAACCTGCACGTTGTGCACATATACCCTAGAACTTAAAGTATAATAATAAAAAAGACTATTTTTTTATGTTTATGTGTAAAAGGTCATAAACATTTTAACAATATTAATTTGTCTAACCCATGGACATGGGATATCTTTCCATCTATTTTTGTCATCTTCAGTTTCTTTTATCAATGTCTTACAGTTTTCAGTGCACAGATATTTTATTTTGGTTAAATTTCTGCTAAGTTTTTTTCTTTTTGATACTATTGTCCATAGAATTGCTTTCATAATTTCTTTTTGGATAGTTCATTGTTAGTGTGTGAAAATGCAACTGATTCTTGTTTGTTGACTTTGTTTACTGAATTTGTTCATCAGTTGTAACAGGTTTTTGAGGAGACTACTTAGAAGCCTAAGCAATTTTGCCTAAAATTGTGACATTATCGAGAAAAATACACATTTTCATGAGATTTATGACTTTCACCAATTTTCCATTGTTTATTGGAAAAAATTGTGTTCTTTAAATCCCTCAGGGCAGCTTTTCAAATTGATAAAAATCTCCACTGGTGGAAAAATATGTGGAGATATAGCTCCATTTATGGGTATACTGTGGTATTTGCTATGAAAATTCAGCATTAAAAATATCTGAATATGGGATGGAAATAATTTATCCACTTTGGTTTGCTCATTTAAAATCTGCTAAGTAATATATGTTTGATTTTGCTTTAAAACTTCCACAGGTCATCAAGAGGTAGTACATTTTAGAATGTGGTTCTACAAAAAGATTGCCTGAACTGGGATATTTTACTGTGAGAATTAAATTATACATATACATAGCATACATAAATATACATAGCAAATGTTCAGCCACAGTGCCTGTCATGGTAAGGGCTCAATCATTGTCATCAACTACTCTTATTAAATAGGACTGCAACAATCATGTAATTCCCCAGTAGTCCTTTGGCTGGATTCCACAAGTTCACTATTTCACTCTCAGGGGGTTTCCTAGTTGGCTCTCTTGAAGCCAAGCATCATGAATGAAGCTTAACAGTGATATGTTCTTCCAGCTAATACGGTAGAGTTAATCCATTTCGCAGTCTCTTCGATTAGAGCGTACTGGAGAAGAGCTCAAATTAGAAAGTAATGTGGGCCAGGCGTGGTGGCTTGCACCGTAATCCCAGCACTTTGGGAGGCATAGACGAGCAGATCATTTGAGGTCAGGAGTTTGAGACCGTCTGGCCAACATGGTGAAATCCCATCTCTACTAAAAATACAAAAGGTAGCTGGGCATGGTGGCACAGGCCTGTAATCTCAGCTACTCGGGAGACTGAGGCAGGAGAATCGCTTGAACCCAGGAGGCGGTGGTTGCAGTGAGCCTAGATAGTGCCACTGCACTTCAGCCTAGACGACAGAACAAGACTCTATCCCCCCGCCCAAAAGAAAGAAAGAAAAAATAAAGCAATGTGTCACATGTGGCAACTCCATTACTTTCTGCAGCGTTATTTCTTGTCTCAGATCATGAGGGAGAGATTCACTCATTGTCCTTTTAGAGTGGCCAGAAAATGGAACACATATGGCTTTTGCACACATCATGTTTCCAAACACATGCATCAGAACTCATAGACACTTGATTGCAAGCAGGAAATCCTTGGATAGGCCTCTCGGGTTCTCAATTAATAGACATTGTTTCTTAAAGCCTGGCAATTGTCACATCTGGAGCACCTCTATAGTAGGCTTCAACCCAGCCTGCTAACAAATGATTTCTCCCCGGAAAACAAATCACTCTCCTAGGAAACACCTACTGCTGTTATTAGCTGGGCAGTTAACAGTAAAGCTGTACAATCTGTCTGACAGTTTCCTACAGTGTAAATGAACAGGAAATCTTGGGACACTAAAGAGCCCTGAATGAAAATGGGACTCACCTTTAAAGTTGGCATATACAGAATAACACTATATGCTACTCCATCTGTAGATGCCACGTGTCCATTAAAAGCAGGATTTATAGCACAAATTCCATTCATTTTTATTGCTACATGAGTGGTTCTTAATGTATCTACAAATATCCCAGGATCCCCAAGATACTTTCAGGGGCCCATGAGGCCAAACAATATTTTTACGGTAATATGAAGACATTATGTGCCTTCTTCACTGCATTGATACTTGTCCTGATGGTGCAAGAGCAATGGTCAATTAAACTGTTGGCACCTTAGCACAAATCAAGGCAGCAGCAAAGTGAGCTAGTAGATGTTATATAGAAGAATATCATACATTTTAGTTTTAAAAACATCAGTTTCACTTAAGAATACCTTGATGAAACTATATAAAGTACTAATTTTATTAAATATTAACTATTAAGTAAAAGTCTTTTTAATATTCTATATGGCCAGAAGCACTTCTTCTGTACACTGAAGTGCAATGGTTGTCTCAAAAAAAAAAAAAATAAAGCACTTATATGATTGTTTGGGGTATAGGTAGACCTAGATGCTATTTTTATTGAATGCTGTTTTACTTCAAAGAGCAACTGGGAGGCAAATTGTGGTTATTCAAATTTAGTCTTTGATAGATATTTTACCAAAAACAAAATTTGAGTTTTCAAGCAAAAGTTAAGATTTTGACAAATTCCTATCTGCCTCTATGTGGCAGAAGTCTTCTTAAAAGTTAAAATGGTTTTCTGAACAGATTGGTGGTGATATTCAAGAAGGCTTTTTTTTTTTTTTTGAGACAGGGTCTCTCTGTCACCCAGCCTGGAGTTCAGTGGTGCAATCATAGCTCACTACAGCTTTGAACTCCTAGGCTGAAGCAGTTCTTCCACTTCAGCATTCCAAATAGCCAGGACTACCAGCATGTAGAAACATATCTGGCTAATTTATTTTTTTCTTGAATGAGGTCTCACTATGTTGTCCAGGCTAGTCTTGAACTCCTGCCCTCAAGCAATCCTCAACTCAGCCTCCCAAAATATGGGGATTACAGGCATGAGCCACCGTGCCCAGACAGATTTTTTGTTATTGTACAATGAAACATGACAACGTTTTGAAGACCCACACAACTGAGTGAACCAAAATTTTTTAAGTCACCAACGTGGTGATATTACGAAATCATGCATAGGAAAAAATCCATTTAAAATGCAAGATAGACCAATGGATTTTAATGTAACAGATTATGAAAAGCTCACTGATATTGTTTCACATTACACATTTCAACCAAGCTTTAAGAAATTACTACTTGTCTAGCCATGTTTTTGCAGAGCAGCTGTGCTGTGTTGGGGGACTGCCTCCACCCCTGGTTGGCTTCGAATCTGGCTTTGCAGATACTGCCCAAAGCAATGTATAGGTTTAATGCTATTCCTACTAAACTGCAATTGAGATTCTTCACAGAACTAAAAGAAGTATTTTAAAATTCATATGGACATTTGGGTTGGTTCCAAGTCTTTGCTATTGTGAATAAAATGTGGCACATATACACCATGGAATACTATGCAGCCATAAAAAATGATGAGTTCATGTTCTTTGTAGGGACATGGATGAAATTGGAAACCATCATTCTCAGTAAACTATCGCAAGAACAAAAAACCAAACACCGCATATTCCCACTCATAGGTGGGAATTGAACAATGAGATCACATGGACACAGGAAGGGGAATATCACACTCTGGGGACTGTGGTGGGGTCGGGGGAGGGGGGAGGGATAGCATTGGGAGATATACCTAATGCTAGATGACACGTTAGTGGGTGCAGCGCACCAGCATGGCACATGTATACATATGTAACTAACCTGCACAATGTGCACATGTACCCTAAAACTTAAAGTATAATAAAAAAAAAAAAAGTTAAAAAAAAAAAAAAAAAAAGAGATAACAAGAAAGAAAAAAAAAAAAGAAATATACTGAGCAGACAGAACAGTGGGCATACAGAAAAGATAGTAATTTTAATTGTGATCAATGTAAAATCCTGCAATTAAATACAATTAATAAATATATTCTAGAGGATAAAAAAAAAAACTGGAAAAAGTACTTCTTGAAACAATACTTACACATTTTATGTGCAATGCAACCTCATAGTTTCTGTTCTTTTCTACTCTATTTGATTTACTAAATTGATCAACCTCAAATTTGAAAACATGAATTAAATATCATTTCCTCTAGGAATCTTCCTTGACCTCATAAACTAGCTCATTGCTCCTGCTCTGTGATTTTACTAGATTTTGCACTTCCTGTATTGTAGCTCTAAATACATTTGGTGTTACGGTTTGTTTACTTTTCTGCCCTTTTAAAGACTGAAAAATGCAGAGACATAGGCTTAGTGTCTATCTTACTATCATGCTTTCTGCATTGAATACAGTACTTGTCTTATGTTAAGTGCTTAAAAATTAAAGTTGAATGATTTGGTAAGTGAAATCTAACCTATTTGAATTAATGACACTAAAAAATAAAGTTGTTGTGTTTGTTCTTGCTGTTGTTTAAAAAAAAAATAAAAAATAAAATTCATATGGAACCAAACGAGAGCCTGAATAGCCAAGCCAGTTCTAAGCAAAAAGAACAAAGCTGGAGGCATTGCACTGCATAAACTATACTACAAGTCTACAGTAACCAAAACAGGATGGTACTGGTACAAAGACAGAGACATAGACCAGTGGAACAGAATAGAGTACCCAGACATAAGACTGCACACCTACAACTATCTAATCTTTGACAAATATGACAAAACAGGCAATGGGTAAATAATTTCCTATTAAAGAAGTGGTGCTGGGATAACTGGGTATCCATATTCAGAAGATCAGAGTTGGTCTCCTTATTTATACCATATACAAAAATTAACTCAAGATGGATTACAGACTTAAATGTAAAACCCTAAACTATAGAAACCCTGGAAGACAACCTAGACCATACCACTGAGGACATAGGAGTGGGCAAAGATTTAGTGACAAAGAACTATAATTCCTGAAAGCAACTGCAACAAATCAAAAATCAACTAATGAAATCTCATTAAACTAAAGACCTTCTGCACAGCAACAGAAACTATCAAGGGTGTAAACAGAATTACAGATTGGGAGAAAATTTTTGTAAACTATGCATCTGACAAAGGTCTAATATCCAATATCTATAAGGAATGCAAAAAATGTGCAAGAGAAAAACAAACAACTCCATTAAAAAGTGGGCAAAGGGCATAAAAAGGCACTTTTCAAAAGAAGACATAAATGCAGCCAAAAATCATATCAAAAAAACCTCAACATCACTTGTTATTACAGAAATGCAAATGAAAACCACAGTTAGATACCATGTCACACCAGTCAGAATGACTATCATTAAAAAGTCAAAAAAATAACAGATGCTGGTGCAGTTGTAGAGAAAAAAAAATGCTTCTACACTGTTGGTGGGGTGTAAATTAGTTGAAGCATTGTGGAAGATAGTGCAGTAATTCCTCAAAGACCTAAAGACAGAAATGCCATTTGAACTAGAAATCCCATTACTGGGCACATACCTGAAGAAATATAAATGATTATATTATAAAGACACATACATGCATGTGTTTACTGCAGCACTATTTGCAATAGCAAAGACATAGAATCCACCTAAATGCCGCAAAATGATAGAATGGATAAAGAAAATATGGTACATAAACACCATGGAATACTATGAAGCTATAAAAAAGAACAAGATCGTGGGGGTGGAGCCAAGGTGGCCGATTAGGAACAGGTGCAGACTACAGCCCCCAGTGTGAGCGGCACAGAAGATGGGTGATTTCTGCATTTCCAACTGATGTACTGGGTTCATCTCACTGAGGAGTGTCAGAAAGTGGGAGCAGGACAGTGGATGCAGCATACGGAGCGTGAGGTGAAGCAGGGCGAGGCATCACCTCACCCAGGAAGTGCAAGGGGTCAGGGAATTCCCTTTCCTAGTCAAAGACAGGGGTGACAGATGGCACCTGGAAAATCAGGTCACTCACACCCTAATACTGCACTTTTCCAATGGGCTTAGCAAATGGCACACCAGGAGATTATATCCTATGCTTGGCTTGGAGGGTCCCATGCCCACAGAGCCTCGCTCATTGCCAGCACAGCAGTCTGAGATCAAACTGCAAGGTGGCAGAGAGGCTGGGGGAGGGGTTCCCGGCATTGCCGAGGCTTGAGTAGGTAAACAAAGCAGCTGGGAAACTCGAACTGGGTGGAGCCCACTGCAGCTCAAGGAGGCCTGCCTGCCTCTGTAGACTACAGCACCGGGGCAGGGCATAGCCAAACAAAAGGCAGCAGAAAACTCTGCAGAATTAAATGTCCCTGTCTGACAGCTTTGAAGACAGTAGAGGTTCTCCCAGAATGCAGCTGGAGATCTGAGAATGGACAGACTGCCTCCGCAAGTGGGTCCATGACCCCCAAGTATCCTAACTGGGAGGCACCCCACAGTAGGGGCACACTGACACCTCACATGGCCAGGTACTCCTCTGAGAAAAAACTTCCAGAGGAACGTTCAGGCAGCAACATTTGCTGCTCACCAGTATTAACTGTTCTGCAGCCTCTGCTGCTGATACCCAGGCAAACAGGGTCTGGAGTGGACCAAAAGCAAACTCCAACAGACCTGCAGCTGAGGGTCCTGACTGTTAGAAGGAAAACTAACAAACAGAAGGGACATCCACACCAAAACCCCATCTGTATGTCACCATCATCAAAGACCAAAGGTAGATAAAACCACAAAGATGGGGAAAAAACAGAGCAGAAAAACTGGAAACTCTAAAAATCAGAGTGCCTCTCCTCCACCAAAGGAATGCAGCTCGTCACCAGCAACTGAACAAAGTTGGATGGAGAATGACTTTGACGAGTTGAGAGCAGAAGGCTTCAGATGATCAAACTACTCTGAGCTAAAGGAGGAAGTTCAAACCCATGGCGTGAAGAAGTCAAAAACCTTGAAAAAAAATTACACGAATGGCTAATTAGAATAACCAATGCAGAGAAGTGCTTAAAGGACCTCATGGAGCTGAAAACCAAGGCATAAGAAGTACGTGACGAATGCACAAGCATCAGTAGCCAATTTGATCAACTGGAAGAAAGGGTATCAGTGATGGAAGATCAAATGAATGAAATGAAGTGAGAAGAGAAGTTCAGAGAAAAAAGAATAAAAAGAAATGAACAAAGCTTCCAACAAATATGGGACTATGTGAAAAGACCAAATCTAAGTCTCGTTGGTGTACCTGAAAGTGATGGGGAGAATGGAACCAAGTTGGAAAACACTCTGCAGGATATTATCCAGGAGAACTTCCGCAATTTAGCAAGGCAGGCCAACATTCAAAGGTCGGGTTACCCACAAAGGGAAGCCCATCAGACTAACAGAAGATCTCTCGGCAGAAATGCTGCAAGTGAGAAGAGAGTGGGGGCCAATATTCAGCATTCTTAAAGAAAAGAATTTTCAACCCAGAATTTCATATCCAGCTAAACTAAGCTTCATAAGTGAAGGAGACATAAAATACTTTACAGACGAGCAAATGTTCAGAGATTTTGTCACCACCAGGCCTGCCCTAAAAGAGCTCCTGAAGGAAGCACTAAAAATGGAAAGGAACAACCGGTACCAGCCACTGCAAAAACATGCCAAATTGTAAAGACCATCGAGGCTAGGAAGAAACTGCATCAACTAACGAGCAAAATAACCAGCTAACATCATAATGACAGGATCAAATTCACACATAATAATACTAACCTTAAATGTAAATGGGCTAGATGCTCCAATTAAAAGACACAGACTGGCAAATTGGATAAAGAGTCAAGACCCATCAGTGTGCTGTATTCAGGAAACCCATCTCACGCGCAGAGACACACATAGGCTCAAAATAAAGGGATGGAAGAAGATCTGCCAAGCAAATGGAAAACAAAAAAAGGCAGGGGTTGCAATCCTAGTCTCTGATAAAACAGATTTTAAACCAGCAAAGATCAAAAGAGACAAAGAAGGCCATTACATAATGGTAAAGGGATCAACTCAACAACAACAGCTAACTATCCTAAATATATATGCACCCAATACAGGAGCACCCAGATTCATAAAGCAAGTCCTTAGTAACCTACAAAGAGACTTAGACTCCCACACAATAGTAATGGGAGACTTTAACACCCCACTGTCAACATTAGACAGATCAACGAGACAGAAAGTTAACAAGGATATCCAGGAATTGAATTCAGTTCTGCACCAAGCGGACCTAATAGATATCTACAGAACTCTCCACCCCAAATCAACAGAATATACATTCTTCTCAGCACCACACCACACGTATTCCAAAACTGACCACATAGTTGGAAGTAAAGGTCTCCTTAGCAAATGTAAAAGAACAGAAATTATAACAAACTGTCTCTCAGACCACAGTGCAATCAAACTAGAACTCAGGATTAAGAAACTCACTCAAAACTGCTCAACTACACGGAAACTAAACAACCTGCTCCTGAATGACTACAGGGTTCATAACGAAATGAAGGCAGAAAAAAAGATGTTCTTTGAAACCAATGAGAACAAAGACACAACATACCAGAATCTCTGGGACACATTCAAAGCAGTGTGTACAGGGAAATTTATAGCACTAAATGCCCACATTAGAAAGCAGGAAAGATCTGAAACTGACACCCTAATATCACAATTAAAAGAACTAGAGAAGCAAGAGTAAACACATTCAAAAGCTAGCAGAAGGCAAGAAATAACTAAGATCAGAGCAGAACTGAAGGAAATAGAGACATAAAAAAACCCTTCAAAAAATCAATGAATCCAGGAGATTGTTTTTTGAAAAGATCAACGAAATTGATAGACCACTACCAAGACTAATAAAGAAGAAAAGAGAGAAGAATCAAATAGATGCAAGAAAAAATGATCAAGGGGATATCACCACCGATCCCACAGAAATACAAACTACCATCAGAGAGTACTATAAACACCTCTATGCAAATAAACTAGAAAATCTAGAAGAAATGGATAAATTCCTCAACACATACACCCTCCCAAGACTAAACCAGGAAGAAGTTGAATCTCTGAATGGACCAATAACAGGCTCTGAAATTGAAGCAATAGTTAATAGCTTACCAACCAAAAAAAGTCGAGGACCAGATGGATTCACAGCCGAATTCTACCAGAGGTACAAGGAGGAGCTAGTACCATTCCTTCTGAAACTATTCCAATCAATAGAAAAAGAGGGAATCCTCCCTAACTCATTTTATGAGGCCAGCATCATCCTGATACAAAAGCCTGGCAGAGACACAACAAAAAAAGAGAATTTTAGGCCAATATCCCTGATGAACATCGATGCTAAAATCCTCAATAAAACAATGGCAAACCTAATTCAGCAGCACATCAAAAAGTTTGTCCACTATGATCAGGTGGGCTTCATCCCTGGGATGCAAGACTGGTTCAAAATACGCAAATCAATAAACATAATCCAGCATATAAACAGAAACAATGACAAAAATCATATGATTGTCTCAATAGATGCAGAAAAGTCCTTTGACAAAATTCAACAACGCTTCATGCTAAAAATTCTCAATAAATTAGGTATTGATGGCACATATCTCCAAATAATAAGAGCTATCTATGACAAACCCACATCCAATATCATACTGAATGGGCAAAAACAGGAAGCATTCCCTTTGAAAACTGGCACAAGACAGGGATGCCCTCTCTCACCACTCCTATTCAACATAGTGTTGGAAGTTCTGGCCAGGGCAATCAGGCAGGAGAAGGAAATAAATGGTATTCAATTAGGAAAAGAGGAAGTCAAATTGTCCCTGTTTGCAGTTGACATGATTGTATATCTAGAAAACCCCATTGTCTCAGCCCAAAATCTCCTTAAGCTGATAGGCAACTTCAGCAAAGTCTCAGGATACAAAATCAATGTGCAAAAATCACAAGCATTTTTATACACCAATAACAGACAAACAGCCAAATCATGAGTGAACTCCCATTCACAATTGCTTCAAAGAGAATTAAATATCTAGGAATCCAACTTACAAGGGATGTGAAGGACCTCTTCAAGGAGAACTACAAACCACTGCTCAAGGAAATAAAAGAGGATACAAACAAATGGAAGAACATTCCATACTCATGGATAGGAAGAATCAATATTGTGAAAATGGCCATACTCCCCAAGGGAATTTATAGATTCAATGCCATCCCCATCAAGCTACCAAGGACTTTCTTCACAGAATTGGAAAAAACTACTTTAAAGTTCATATGGAACCAAAAAAGAGCTCGCGTTGCCAAGTGAATCCTAAGCCAAAAGAACAAAGCTGGAGGCATCACACTACCTGACTTCAAACTATACTACAAGGCTACAGTAACCAAAACAGCATGGTACTGGTACCAAAACAGAGATATAGACCAATGGAACAGAACAGAGTCCTCAGAAATAATGCCACATATCTACAACCATCTGATCTTTGACAAACCTGAGAAAAACAAGAAATGGGGAAACGATTCCCTATTTAATAAATGGTGCTGGGAAAACTGGCTAGCCATATGTAGAAAGCTGAAACTGGATCCCTTCCTTACACCTTATACAAAAATTAATTCAAGATGGATTAAAGACTTAAATGTTAGACCCAAAACCGTAAAAACCCTAGAAGGAAACCTAGGCAATACCATTCAGGACATAGGCATGGGAAGGACTTCATGTCTAAAACACCAAAAGCAATGGCAACAAAAGACAAAATTGACAAATGGGATCTAATTAAACTCAAGAGCTTCTGCACAGCAAAAGAAACTACCATCAGAGTGAACAGGCAACCTACAGAATGGGAGAAAATTTTTGCAATCTACTCATCTGACAAAGGGCTAATATCCAGAATCTACAATGAACTCAAACAAATTTACAAGAAAAAAGCAAACAACCCCATCAAAAAGAGGGTGAAGTATATGAACAGACACTTCTCAAAAGAAGACATTTATGCAGCCAAAAGACACATGAAAAAATGCTCATCATCACTGGCCATCAGAGAATTGCAAATCAAAACCACAATGAGATACCATCTCACACCAGTTACAATGACGATCGTTAAAAAGTCAGGAAACAACAGGTGCTGGAGAGGATGTGGAAAAATAGGAACACTTTTACATTGTTGGTGGGACTGTAAACTAGTTAAACCATTATGGAAGTCAGTGTGGCGATTCCTCAGGGATCTAGAACTAGAAATACTATTTGACCCAGCCATCCCATATCTTTTTTTTTAATTTTATTTTTATTGTACTTTAAGTTCTAGGGTACATGTACACAAAGTGAAGGTTTGTTACATATGTATACATGTGCCATGTTGGTGAGCTGCACCCATTAACTTGTGATTTACATTAGTTATATCTTCTAATGTTGTCCCTCCCCCCTCCCTCCACCCCACAACAGGCCCCGGTGTGTGATGTCCCCCTTCCTGTGTCCATATGTTCTCATTGTTGAATTCTTAGCTATGAGAGAGAACATGTGATGTTTGGTTTTTTTCTCCTTGCAATAGTTTGCTGAGAATGATGGTTTCCAGCTTCATCCATGTCCCTACAAAGGACATGAACTCATCCTTTTTTATGGCTGCATAGTATTCCATGGTGTATATGTGCCACATTTTCTTAATCCAGTCTATCATTGTTGGACATTTGGGTTGATTCCAGGTCTTTGCTATTGTGAATAGTGCCACAATAAACATACATGAGCATGTGTCTTTATAGATCCTCATGACAAGGATGAGTTCATGTCATTTGTAGGGTTATGGATGAAGCTCAAAACCATCATTCTCAGCAAACTATCACAAGGACAAAAAACTAAACATCACATGTTCTCACTCATAGGTGGGAATTGAACAATACGAACACATGGGCACAGGAAGGGGAACATCATGGCCTGTTGTGGGGGGTGGGTAGGGGGGAGGGATAGCATTAGGAGATATACCTAATGTTAAATGATGAGTGAATGGGTGCAGCACACCAACATGGCACATGTATACAAATGTAACTAACCTGCACATTGTGCACTTGTACCCTAAAACTTAAAGTATATAAAGAAAAAAAAAAGAACAAGATCATGTCCTTTGAAGGGCAATGGATGGAGCTGGAGGCCATTATCCTTAGCAAACTAAGGCAGGACCAGGAAACCAAATATGTCATGTTCTCACTTATAAGTGGGAGCTAAATGATGATAACATGTGGACAAACAGAAGGGAACAACATACTCTGGGGCCTATTAGAGGGTGGATGGTGAGAGGAGGGAGAGGATCAGGAAAAATCACTAATGGGTACTAGGCTTAATACCTGGGTGATGAAATAATCTGTACAGAAAACCTCCATGACACAAGTTTACCTATGTAACAAACCTGCACTTGTACCCCTGAACTTAAAAGCGAAAACAAACAAAAAAGAAATTGCTGCTTTTCAAATTTTGATATAACATCAAAGAAGAACATAAACAATTATTTTAAATGTTATGAAAACAAATTATTCTACCAAAAAGACACAAGACACATGAAGTTGAATGTTTGCAACTGTGCTATTCATAATAACAAAGACATGCAATCAATCTAGGTGCCCATCAATGGTAGATTGGACAAAGAAAATGTGGCACATGTATGTCATGGAATACAATGCAGCCATAAAAATGAAATCATGTTCTTTATAGCAACACGGATGGAGCTGGAGGCCATAATCTTAAGCAAATTAATGCAGTAACAGAAAATCAAACACCACATGTTCTCACTTATAAGTAGGACCTAAGTATTGAGCACACACGGAAATAAATATGGAAACAATAGACATTGTGGACTACTAGAGGGTGCAAAGACGAGGTGGGGGTTAAAAAACTACCTATCAGTGACTGTGTTCACTATCAGGGTGATGGGATTTGTATTCCAAACCTCAGCATCATGAAATATTCTAATGTAACAAATCTATAATGTACATCCTGTAACTAAAATAAAAGTTGAAATTTAAAAAAAGATACTATGTTTTCTAAGTACATATCTTTTTAATTTTTTAATTTTATTTTTATTATACTTTAAGTTCTAGGGTACATGTACATAAAGTGAAGGTTTGTTACATATGTATACATGTGCCATGTTGGTGAGGTGCACCCATTAACTCGTCATTTACATTAAGTATATCTCCTAATGCTATCCCTCCCCGCTTCCTCCACCCCACAACAGGCCCCGGTGTGTGATGTCCCCCTTCCTGTGTCCAAGTGTTCTCATTGTTGAATTCCCACCTATGAGAGAGAACATGTGATGTTTGGTTTTTTCTCCTTGCGATAGTTTGCTGAGAATGATGGTTTCCAGCTTCATGCATGTCCCTTTAAAGGACATGAACTCATCCTTTTTTATGGCTGAATAGTATTCCATGGTGTATATGTGCCACATTTTCTTAATCCAGTCTATCATTGTTGGACATTTGGGTTGATTCCAGGTCTTTACTATTGTGAATAGTGCCACAATAAATATACGTGAGCATGTGTCTTTATAGCAGCATGATTTATAGTCCTTTGGATATATACCCAGGAATGGGATGGCTGAGTCAAATGGTATTTCTAGTTCTAGATCCCTGAGGAATCCCCACACTGACTTCCACAATGGTTGAACTAGTTTACAGTCCCACCAACAGTGTAAAAGTGTTCCTGT
Source organism: Homo sapiens (assembly GCF_000001405.40). Taxonomy (NCBI): domain Eukaryota; kingdom Metazoa; phylum Chordata; class Mammalia; order Primates; family Hominidae; genus Homo; species Homo sapiens. The sequence continues at coordinate 56,154,980 of NC_000023.11, read as the reverse complement.
TTCTCCACATCCTCTCCAGCACCTGTTGTTTCCTGACTTTTTAATGATCACTTTTCTAACTGGTGTGAGATGGTATCTCATTGTGGTTTTGATTTTCATTTCTCTGATGGCCAGTGATGATGAGCATTTTTTCATGTGTCTTTTGGCTGCATAAATGTCTTCTTTTGAGAAGTGTCTGTTCATATCCTTTGCCCACTTGTTGATGGGGTTGTTTGTTTTTGTCTTGTAAATTAGTTTGAGTTCATTGTAGATTCTGGATATTAGCCCTTTGTCAGATGAGAACATCGCAAAATTTTTCTCCCATTCTGTAGGTTGCCTGTTCACTCTGATGGTAGTTTCTTTTGCTATGCAGAAGCTATTTAGTTTAATTAGATCCCATTTGTCAATTTTGTCTTTTGTTGCCATTGCTTTTGGCGTTTTAGACATGAAGTCCTTGCCCATGCCTATGTCCTGAATGGTAATGCCTAGGTTTTCTTCAAGGGTTTTTATGGTTTTAGGTCTAACATTTAAGTCTTTCATCCATCTTGAATTAATTTTTGTATAAGGTGTAAGGAAGGGATCCAGTTTCAGCTTTCTACATATGGCTAGCCAGTTTTCCCAGCACCATTTGTTAAATAGGGAATCATTTCCCCATTTCTTGTTTTTGTCAGGTTTGTCAAAGATCAGATAGTTATAGATGTGTGGTATTATTTTTGAGGGCTCTGTTCTGTTCCATTGGTCTATATCTCTGTTTTGGTACCAGTACCATGCTGTTTTGGTACCAGTACCATGCTGTTTTGGTTACTGTAGCCTTGTAGTATAGTTTGAAGTCAGGTAGCGTGATGCCTCCAGCTTTTTTCTTTTGGCTTAGGATTGACTTGGCGATGTGGGCTCTTTTTTTGGTTCCATATGAACTTTAAAGTAGTTTTTTCCAATTCTGTGAAGAAAGTCATTGGTGGCTTGATGGGGATGGCATTGAATCTATAGATTACCTTGGGCAGTATGGCCATTTTCACGATATTGATTCTTCCTACTCATGAGCATGGAATGTTCTTCCATTTGTTTGTATCCTCTTTTATTTCACTGAGCAGTGGTTTGTAGTTCACCTTGAAGAGGTCCTTCACATCCCTTGTAAGTTGGATTCCTAGGTATTTTATTCTCTTTGAAGCAATTGTGAATGGGAGTTCACTCATGATTTGGCTCTCTGTTTGTCTGTTATTGGTGTACAGAAGTGCTTGTGATTTTTGCAGATTGATTTTGTATCCTGAGACTTCGCTGAAGTTGCCTATCAGCTTAAGGAGATTTTGGGCTGAGACAATGGGGTTTTCTAGATATACAATCATGTCATCTGCAAACAGGGACAATTTGACTTCCTCTTTTCCTAATTGAATACCCTTTATTTCTTTCTCCTGCCTGATTGAAAACTGGCACGAGACAGGGATGCCCTCTCTCGCTACTCCTGTTCAACATAGTGTTGTAAGTACATATCTTTTTAAAGCCATATTTTCTTCATATGTTTGAGCCAAAACAACAGATTGTTACAGATTGAATGCAGAGACATGTATGAGAATCCTTCTGTCTTCTTTTAAACTAGACATTAAAGAGATCTGCTGAAAAGTAAGGCAAAGCTACTCTTTTTTTTTTTCTTGAGATGAGTCCCTCTCTGTTCCCCATGCAAGAGCGCAGTGGTGCAATCATAGCTCATTTCAAACTCTGGAGCTCAAGTGATTATTCCGACTTAGCCTCCCAAGTAGCTGGGGCTATAGGCATGCACCTCCATGCCCAGGTAACGTTACTCTTAAGCCTAATTTCTTTTGGGAAATGCAATATTTTTCATAAAAATATGCTATTTATATTAATATATTATTGGCTTACTTATATCATATTAAATTTTTGAATAAATACATGTTTTAGAAATTTCTCATTGGTATTTCCACTATGGTAAATATTGATAAATACAAGTCACATACACAAAAGCTCTTTGCGTGTTCAATGATTTTTAAAAGTATGAAAGGTTCTAAGACCAAAAAGTTTCAGAGCTATTGCTCAACAATCTAAGGAATTTGGATTCTTATGCTATGCTATGTGAGCTCATACATGTTACTTAAGCTGTCTGGGCTTGTTCCTGTGTGATGAAGAGGAGTATAAGGCTTACTGGGCATAGTAAGGATTAACTCTGTTAGTACACACTGAGAAGTTAGAATACATAGTAAACAGTATCTTTTAGAGATATAGGACTTTTAACATCTGAGGAGTGCAGACATGCAGGTAAAGACTCCGCTTTAGGTTGGTGCTAGAAAGAGTAAAAAATAAAGCACTACCTTTGATTACCTTCCCCTCTCTCTACCTTCACCCCCACCCAAGTTTCACCCACTTATTTCCACACAGCTTCCTCTAACTGATGTGTTATGTCAATATATTACCTTTGGAAAATATTGAAAAAGTGCCACTTTGAGACAATGTATTTGCCATCCCTCCTCTATTATTATCTAAGTCTTTGCGCAGTAAAGAACTCTGGGACCGATACTGCCCAGGTAACCCTTCTTCTGAAAGTCTCAAAGAAGTCACTATCTTCTGGTAAAACCACCTTCTATGATTATACAGCAGAGCATCAAGTGAGACCCATTTGTCTACAGGGCTTAGGTCCAAGGCCTAAGCTCTCTATATCTCTAATATCTAATGACTACCTTCCAAAGAAAATCTCACACGAAGGTACCATCTGCCATGCACTATGACCCCCTTATACAATTACCTATAGATAATCTGATTCAACAAGGACGTTAGAGGTTCAGCACCTTGTTGAATTCATTTAGACAGCAACTGGAAGTACAGGTGAATAAGAAATAAAAATAAAGAGGATATATTCTTTTCAAATGTCTGTATAACATTTATAAAAACCCATTGTGTATTAAGCTACAAAGCAAATCCCTGTAAATTCCTAAAACTATAAATTATGCAGGCCAGTCATATTCTCTAATTATATAATAAAACTCCAAATTAAAAACAAAAGAAATCAAATTTAAAATAATGGATTATTTGTATTTTGTACTATGCCATACTAGAGATTAAATTTACTTATCCATTCCCATGATGCTTTAAAAAAGTGGGCCATTAAATGCCAGGGTGTGTTATGGCTCAGTTTTAGGCCCTTTTCTCTTTTCTCTTCTCCCTCCAATAAGGAGAGCTCATGCATGCCTAGAACTTAAATTCTCAAATGTATATGAACACTGTATTCACATTTATATCTTCAACTCACATCTCTCATTCCAATTTCACATCCATTTAACCAACTCTCTACTTGGCTGTTTCAAAGGTACCTCAAACTGAACTGGTTCAAAATTGAACTCATGATCTCCACACCCCCACCAAGCACTCTTCCCCCATTGTGTTCTTTTCCAGTGTTCCCAGTATTTGTGTGGACACCATCACACATCCAGTTACACAAGCCCAAAAATCAGAGGAATTATCCTGGCACTCACTTCTCTCATACTTCCTACCACCCCTATCCAATCTATCACCAAGTGCTGTCAGTTTTACTTTCTATACCTTTCTCAAGTCTGTTCACTTCTCTTCATTTCTACTTCTTCTACTTTAATCCAATATACTCTTGTCTGTACTTGCAATAACCACTTAACTGGCTTCTCATATTCCATCCCCATTCTCTTATAGAGAATACTTCTATAGTTGTACTCTTTATAAGCAGCCAGAGTGATTCTGTTAAGTGAGAAAAAAAGACTACATCCCTACCTTACTTAAACCTTTCGAATGGGCCTTCTCATTACTCTTAGAAGAAAACCCAAAGTCTTTACCAAGACATACAAATCCCTACACTGTTTGGTCCTACCTCTGTGTCTTCAGCCCCAACTTGCTTCTAATTCCTTTGTTCTCTCAGCAACAGCTATCTTATACTTCTTAGAGTTCTTATTTTTACCATACTCCCTCCTGCTCCATATAGTCTTTGCCTATGATGTTCCCTTTTTTTCTGGAATGCTGCTCTGTCCTGGTTTAGCCTAGATTACTAATCCTTTAGAAGTCAAGCCTTCTCTGACCTTCTGAGGAAGGCAAATCATCCATTTTAGCATTTTATAACAACATATTTTTCTTTGTTGAACTTATTACAGTTTTATATTAGTATGATTAATAATAATTATCAGCAAAAAACCCTCCTTTCAGCAACCATGTAGATAAAACATCTTGGAAGGAGATACTGTAATCCTAGTCAAGTCTTTAGATGACTGCAATTCTGGATGAAACAGGTATTTTTGACACTTAAAGAGGAAGAGAAGAAAGAGTCCTAGTGAGAGTAGCCCAGGGATAGGAGGGCAGCCAGGAGGTTGTGTAATGGAAACCAAAGAGAGACTATTTTTGAGGAACTACAGGCCAAGAGCATCCAACACAGCAGGTCTAGGGAGGGGTCCCCAAGCATCCATCTCTGATAGCTTGTCTTTCCTTCATTGATATAGATGATACATTACTCATTTGACAAAATACACACTACATCCCAGGTGTTGTACCAGGTGCTGGAGTTAATGTAAATACCAAAGCTTCTTTGCCTTCAGATAGCTTTCACATAAAAATGACATCAAAGCAGCATTTAAGTTCTTAAAATTATTGTGAATTTTAAAAAATAAGCATCCATGTCAGTAGGAGTGGGTTGTGGTGGGCTAAGGTTAGGGCAGGGAGAAAAACATCTACTTTTCTGGAAATAAAGCTCCAGATTCATCTATTATGAACTTCATCTGAGGTGAAGGTGTTAAGGAACCTTCACTAAAGGCTCTATCTCCTTCTCCTTTCTGTTCACCCATAGCTAAGTCAGGATGACCTTGCCGTCAGCCTAGGGCTAAGGAAGACATTTTGTACATGGCCATTTGACTTGAAGAGATTGTAAAATTTAAAATCAGTTCATGTTCCAGGGCTATGTACAACAGAGAAGACTGAGTCTTTACTCCAAGTGGACCTCCTGCCCAACATTCAAGTAGAGCAAAGATATTTGGTGAACCCAGTGCTTAACAATACATCTTTTGAATTACATGAAGTACTCAGCATTTAAAAAATTAATAGAAGTCTCTAAAGTTTATAAAAATGTAAAAAAGCAAAGGCTTCTCTAAGGTATTTATGCCTTAGAGAATCAGAAAAATGGTGTCTCTGTGACTCTAAAGGGGAAAATTGGGAGGGGGCTTTTCTTAAGGGGTTAGTGAGATTTGAGCCCCACTATTGCCAGATCTTTGGATTTTCTAGGAGAAATCAGAAATCTGGACCTTTGTGAAATATTTGATAATTTTTAACATTAGCAAATAACTCAATTTTTAGGTGTATCTTTGAGACATTTTGAACCTGCACACCACCCACGTTTCAACACTCTTCTTTTTTATTTTGCTTTTTTGCATTTCTTTTTTTGTTTTACACTTTCAACTTCTATTTTAGATTCAGGGCGTATATGTGCAGGTTTGTTGGTTGGGTGTATTGTTTGATGCTGAGGTTTGGGGTACAAATGATCCTATCAGGCAGGCAGTGAGCATAGTGCCCAATAGGTAGCTTTTCAGCCCTTGTCCCACTCCCCCCTCCACTTTCTAGTAGTCTTCAGTGTCTATTGTTCTCATTTTTATGTCCATGTGTACCCAATGCTTAGCTCCCACTTACATGTAAGAACATGTCAACCCTCTGCTTTATACCCTCTCCCTTTGAATCTCATGCAATAACATTAGATGAATGCCAAATCTAAATTTCTATCCCTGACCTCTCTTCTATGTTCCAGACTTTTATATCTAAATATCCGACATAGATATAGACATCAGGTGTCACTATTCAGATATTATAGATATAAAAATGCCCCATTCTCTTCATTGATTCCACTACCACTCTAGTTCTAGGACTCAACATCTGTTGTTGGAACTAATGTAACCACTCCTTCACTGGTCTTTCTGCTTCTATTCTTGCTCCCAACAGTTTAATTTTCATTTACCCACAGCCTTCCATTATATTTTGAATAAAATGAAAACCCTTTATATGGGCTATGAAGCCCTTCATGGGTCTGGGCTTATAGATGCTGCCTTTGGTAAATGAATCAATATTTACATTTCACAAGCCTTCCATTTTGATATAGTTTGGCTGTGTCTCCACCCAAATCTCATCCTGAATTGTAATAATCTCCAGTGTCAAGGGTTGGGCCAGGTGGACATAAGTGAATCATGGGGCAGTTTTCCCCATACTGTTCTCCTGGTAGTGAATAAGTCTCAAGAGATCTGACGGTTTTATAAAGGGGCGTTCCCCTGCACATGCCCTCTTGCCTGCCACCATGTAAGATACCCCTTGGCTTTTTCTTTATCTTCTGCCATGATTGTGAGGCCTCCCCAGCCATGTGGAACTGTGAGTCCATTAAACCTCTTTCCTTTGTAAATTACCCAGTCTTGAGTATGTCTTTAATTATTAGCAGCGTGAGAACAGACTAATACACATTTCTTACAAAATCCACAGAGCCATTATCATGTTTTCCTTTTGCTACTTCTACTTCATAGGGAGCATAGAGTATAGTTATGGTGTATTTCTCTATTTTTTTTTTTAAAGCTCGTGTAGGATCCTTTGTTTTAAAGTTCGAATGTATTTTTATTCTTAAGAAATGGTATAAACTCACCAACAACAGAGACGTAGAGTTGGTTAATGAGTTCTGTAATTTTTATGAGTAGGAGAACACAACAGTAAAGAAAAGGAAGAATAATTGGAAGAATTAGGGCCTAATTTTAAGTTATTCATATTTTGCTTTATTATGTAGGGTTTTAAATTATCTTTTAATTCTTTGAATTCCTGCTCAAGGAACAATTAATACCAAAAGTGCATTATTAATTTCTGAGGGTGTGCATGCATATCTGTGAGGTGTGCACAGCATGTAGCATATGCCCAAACATTTTTATTGAGGTAAAATTCACATAACACAAAAATAACTACTTAAAAGTGTATAATTAGAGTGACATTTAGTACATCCAAAATGTTGTGCAACCATTGCTTCTCTCTAGTTTTGTTTTGTTTTGAGACAGAGTCTCACTCTGTTGCCCAGGCTGGAGTGCAGTGGCATGATCTCAGATCACTGTAACCTCCGCCTCCCAGGCTCAAGCAATTCTTGTGACTCAGCCTCCTGAGTAGCTAGGATTACAGATGTGCACCACCTTGCCGGTCAATTTTTGTATTTTTAGTAGAGACAGAGTTTCGCCATGTTGGCCAGGCTGGTCTCGAACTCCTGACCTCATGTGATCCACCCACCTCGGTCTCCCAAAGTGCTGGGATTACAGGCATGAACCACCATGCTCGGCATTCTATTTAGTTTCAAAAAGTTTTCATCACACCAAAAATAAACCTTATACCATTTAAGTAGTCACTGCTTACCCTTCTCTAACCCCACCCACTGGCAACTCTTAATTTCCTTTGTATTTCTATAGGTTTTCCTGTTCTTGATATTTCATATAAATGAAATAATGAAATACGTGACCTTTTGTCGCTGGTTTCTTTCGTTAGCACAATGTTTTTTATTTTTTGTTTTGTTTTGTTTTGTTTTTTGTTTTTGCACAAATCCCATCAGATTTCTTTTATTCTAAAATATATAAGACTTCAAGTCTAGAAGTATCTGTAAGAGTTAAAAGCCCCTTTTAAGATGCCACAATATTACACTATAGTCAAATCAATCTTTCCCAGAAATTCTCCTTACAGTTGAATTTCATTCAGCACAGGTGAGATGTACAGAATGGAAAACTTTCTTTTATGCTCTTTCCGTCACCACTAGCAGCAGTTCCAAGCCTTAGGCTCCTTCTCTTCAAATCCTGCCCTATGAAAGTCTGTTTCTCCTCTCCATTTCCCCCTGATTATATGATGACTGGTGCAATATGCCACATTCTGATGTGTCTAATAACATGATGCTATTATACAATTTCCTTTTTCACAATACCTTCTTCTTTCTTCCACCAGGCCACCTAAAATGGAATCTTGATCAAACTCCCTACGGGCATTCCCATAGTCATACACTCACCCAGGGACAACAGCAACTGCTACTGGCGCTGAGATTTTGGAAGTTCTTAGAGTACAACTTAAAGTTGAATTGTGCTTTCTGTTTAAAGATACCCTAGGACTATGTCTCTATTCATATAACGAAAGAAAATATGTGTTTTAAACCTTTTTCACAGCAGAATTGTTTTAGATAATGTTTTGAACACTGAAAAATTCCTCCCATCTGGGTAGAATCTTGAACACTTTTCACAGACTATCTTGTACCTCTTTTTCTCTTCTTCTTCTTTTTTTTTTTTTATTATACTTTAAGTTCTGGGGTATATGTGCAGAACGTGCAGGTTTGTTACACAGGTATACACATGCCATGGTGGTTTGCTGCACCCAACAGCCCGTCATCTACATTAGGTATTTCTCCTAATGCTATCCATCCCCTAATCCCCCCACATCCAGACAGGCCCCAGCGTGTGATGTTCCCCTCCCTGTGTCCATGTGCTCTCATTGTTCAACTACCCCTTATGAGTGAGAATATGTGGTGTTTGATTTTCTGTTCTTGTGTTAGTTTCCTGAGAATGATGGTTTCCAGCTTCATCCATGTCTCTGCAAAGAACATGAACTCATTGTTTTTTATGGCTGCATAGTATTCCATGGTGTATATGTGCTGCACTTTCTTTATCCAGTCTATCATTGATGGGCATTTGAGTTGGTTCTAAGTCTTTGCTATTGTTAACAGTGCCACAATAAACATATGTGTGCATGTGTCTTTATAGTAGAATGATTTATAATCCTTTGGGTATATACCCAGTAATGGGATTGCTGGGTCAAATGGTATTTCTAGTTCTAGATCCTTGAGGAATTGCCACACTGTCTTCCAAAATGATTGAGCTAATTTACACTCCCACCAACAGTGTAAAAACGTTTCTATTTTTCCCCATCCTCTCCAGCATCTGTTGTTTCCTGACTTTTTAATGATCACCATTCTAACTGGCATAAGATGGTATCTCATTGTGGTTTTGATGTGTATTTCTCTAATAACCAGTGATGATGGGCTTTCTTTCATTTGTTTGTCGGCTGCATAAATGTCTTCTTTTGAGAAGTATCTGTTCATATCCTTTACCCACTTTTTGATGTTTTTTTTTTCTTGTAAATTTGTTTGAGTTCTTTGTAGATTCTGGATGTTAGCCCTTTGTCAGATGGATAGATTGAAAAAACTTTCTCCCATTCTGTAGGTTGCCTGTTCACTCATTAGCACAATGTTCTTTTTTTATTATATTTTAAGTTTTAGGGTACATGTGCACAACATGCAGGTTTGTTACATATGTATACATGTAGCACAATGTTTTTAAGGTTCATTCATGTTGTAGTATGTAACAGTATTTCATTCCTCTATATAACGGAATAATATTCCATTGTTTGGATATATCACATTTTGTTTATCTTTTCATCTGTTGATGGATATTTGTGTTGGTTCTACTTTTTGGTTATTGCGAATAGTGCTATGTACATTTGTGTACAAGAATTTATTTGAACATTTGTTTTCAATTCTTCTGGGTATGTAACTGGGAGTGAAATAGCTGGACCATCCGGTAACTGTAGCTTTTTGAGACTTCCAAACTATTTTCCACAGTTTTCCACAGTAGGTGTATCATTTTACTTTCCCAACATCAGTGGATGAGGGTTCCAATTTCTCTATATTCTCATCAACACTTGTTATTTTCCAATCTAGTTGGTGTGAAGTAGTATCACACTATGACTTTGATTTGCATTTCCTTAATGCCTAGTGATGTTGAGCATCTTTTCATGTGCTTGTTGGCCATTTGCATATCTTTGGAAAAACGTCTCTTCAAATCCTTTGCCCATATTTTAAGTGGCTTGTTTGTCTTTCTTTTGTTGAGTTTTTAAAAGTTCTCTATGCATTCTGGCTGGGCGCTGTGGCTCATGCCTATAATCCCAGGACTTTGGGATGTCAAGGTGGGTGGATCACTTAAGGTCAGGAGTTCAAGACCAGCCTGGCCAACATGGTGAAACCCCATCTCTACCAAAAATACAAAAATTAGCCGGGTGTGGTGGTCTGAGCCTGTAATCCCAGCTACTCGGGAGGCTAAGGCAGGAGAATCGCTTGATCCCGGGAGGCAGAGGTTGCAGTGAGCTGAGATGGTGCCACCACACTCCAGCCTGGGCAACAGAGCGAGACTCCATCTCAAAACAAACAAACAAACAAACACCAACTTCTTTTCTTTTCTTTTTTTTTTTTTTGTGTGAGACAGAGTCTTGCTGTGTCACCCAGGCTGGAGTGCAGTGGCACCATCTCGGCTGACTGCAACCTCCACCTCCCGGGTTCAAGCGATTCTCCTGCCTCAGCCTCGTGAGTAGCTGGGATTACAGGCTCCCGCCACCATGGCTGGCTAAGTTTTTGTTTGTATTTTTAGTAGAGACGAGGTTTCACCATCTTGGCCAGGCTGGTGTTGAACTCCTGACCTTGTGATCCACCCGCCTCGGCCTCCCAAAGTGCTGGGATTACAGGCGTGAGCCACCGCGCCCAGCCGAAAGAAAAGTGTTCTTTATGTATTCTGATACTAGATCCTTATCAGGTATATGATTTGCAAATATTTTCTTTTATTCTACAGGTTGCCTTTTCACTTTCTTGATGATGCCCACTGATGCACAAAAGTTTTTAATTTTGATGATGTTCAATTTATTTGTTTTTTCTTTGTTTGTGCTTTTGGTGTTATATGTAAAAATCCAATCCCAAATGCAAGGTCATGAAAATATACCCCTATATTTTCTCCTATGAGTTCCTGTTTTAGCTCTTATATTTTAGTCTTTAATTTACTTTAAGTTAATATTTGTATATGGTAAGAAGTAAGATACACTACATTCTTTTGTATGGGGATATCCAGTTGCCCCAGACTATTTGGTGAAGAAACTGTTCACTACTGATTGAATAATCTTGGCAGTTACATCACCAGTGTTGGGTCATATTGAATTAGTGATTGAACGAAATCCCTTTTTGTTGTTGTTTTTCATGAATTCTGGGTTTCCCATATTTTGTAATACCATACTTGACTCAATGTTTCCAACTATAGAACTTGACACTTATCTTGGATAGATTTCACCCCGTGGATTTTTATTCTATTATTCATTCAATAAACATTTATTGAAGTTCTACTATATATCAGGCACTGAACTTATCAAAGCAGCTCAAGATTGACAAGATTGTTTAAATGGTTGCAACAAAGTATAAAATTTTTCTTTCTCCCTGTCTTATTTTCAAGAGACATACATAACACCCATTCATGACTCTCATTCCATCACTGAGATTTACCTCATAGGATCAGAAATGGGAGGAAGTAAAGAATGGTAAGGGTTGGGGTGAAACTTGGTAATGGAATTAAGTTCAGGGATGTGAAAGGGAAAGTGGGATGAAATAAGGGTGTCTATTACATATGCCACTCATTCATTTGTTCATCTATCATATCTTCTTTGAATGCCTACTATGTCTCAGGCACTATTCTAGACACTGGCAGACATATTAGTGAATAAGAAAAATAAATCCCTGTCCTTGTGTTACCTTCATTCAAGTTGGGGAGATAGATATAAACACATAAACAAATATCTAAGGTCAGACAATGTTAAATAAAAGCAAGGTAAAAGACAGTGAGTGATTAGGGGCTGCTATTTTAATGAAGGAAGGCTTTTTAAAGAAAGTAGCATTTAAGCAGAGACATAAAGGAGATAACTGAGAAAGACATAGGACAATCTAGAAGAAATGTTTTAAGCAGAGGGAATAACTAATGAAAGGGGCCTGAGACGAGAGCATGTCTGTTACATTCCAGGAACAGTGAGGGGACCAGTGTGGCAAAATCACAGACAGAAAAGGGAAGAGTCGCAAAAGATGAGGTCAGAGAGGTAGCAGAAGCCCAGAGTGCATAAGGCCTTGGAGGTCATGATCAGGCTTTGACTTTTATTGTGCATGAGACAGAAAGCAATTAAAAGGTTACAAAGAGAGGAGTGACAATGTCTGATCCATATTTTTAAAGTGTCACGTTAGGCCAGGGACAAGCAAAAAGACCACTAAATCAGCTATTGCATTAATCCAGATGAAAGATTATGGTAGCTTGCATCACAGTAGTAATGTTAGAGGTGTTGAGATCATGTTCCAAAGGCAGAATTTCCTCAGTATGCTGTTGGATAGGATGTAGAGTGTCACAGAGACTTCCAAGAGATGACCTCAAGGTTTTGGGCCTTGCCAAATGAAAAGATGGAATTGTCATTATTTGAAATGGAGAAGAATGAAGGTTAAGTAGGTTTGGTGATAAAGGGTGGGGAAGAAGACTTAAGTTTGGGACATGTTAAGTTTGAGATGCCTAACAGATATCCAAGTAAAGATATCAAGTAGGTGGTTAGATATATGTTATAATTTCAGGGGTATGGTTTTAGCTGGGTATATACAACTTAAGAATAGTTGACATTTAGATGGCATGTGAAGGCATAGGAGTGGAGGATAGTATCTAAAAAGCGAGCATACAAAGAAACAAGCTCCGAAGATTGATCCTTGTATCACTCCAAAGTTTAGAGTTGGATGAGATATGGAAGATTCAGTAAAGAAACCAGAGCCAGAGAGGTAGGAGGAAAACCAAGAGAGCATAGGAAGCCAGAAGTAACATAAAGAAACTGTTTCCAAGAAAATGAATGACTAAAACTATCTTTTGCTACATATAATTTTGAGTAAGGTGAGGACTGAAATTTTACTACTGGATTTAGTAACTTGGAGGTTATTGGTGAACTTGACAAGCCCATTTCAGTGAAATGGTAGGGATAAAATCCTATAGTTAAAAATAACAAACGAAAAGATAGTTTAATGGTTTACTTCATAGGTTCCACGAAAAATAATTGCCTATTAGAGAAATCATAACAGACAAGGGACAGAATGGAATGAGTTCTGATAGATAAATAAAAATTTGCTGGGAAAAGAAAAGATGGGATACTCTAGATACAAGAAACAGCATAAGCAAAAGGCACAGAAGTCTTGATTTGCACAAGATTGTGTAATTTGTGAGCAATTTGTCTTCGCTGAAAACATAGCATTCATGAGAGGTGAAGTTTTGGTAATAGTTGAATTTTTGTTCATATAACTTTTGGCTTGATTCCCAGCATGACAGCAGGATTTCAAGTGAGACCTTTGGTCATTTGTATCATCACCAGGTGGTAGTGAAGGCATCACCATATATTATTTATTAAGGATACACTTGTGCTTGATTCTGTCCTCAAACTATGTAAGTAAGTATTAATACCATGTCAGTTTTCCCCAGTTAAGGTATAACTGTAATTTCAACATAAATATGAACAGTTTTACTCTTCCAAACATAAAAAGATACCATAAATTCACAGATAAAAAACAGGGTGTTAATGAAATATGATTAAACAAACAGATTAAAGAAAATAAGAGATTTCAAAAATAGACACATATATGAGGATTTGTATTTGATAAATGTGGTGGCATATAAAATTAATTAGAAAAAATAGATTACTTAATAAATTAAATAATCTTTAATTTATAAATAAATTAGATTGCACTTGGCAAACCAGCTATTCATTTGGGAATAACAAAGTTAAATTCTTACCTAATACAATATAATCCACTCTCTACCCACACAAAAAAAATGAACAAAGGATATACATTGGAAATTCATAGGAAAATATAAATGACCTGAGTCTTAACTTTAATTAACTGTTAGCAAATGCTGGCCGGGTATGGTGGCTCACGCCTGTAACCCCAGCACATTGGGAGGCCAAGGAAAGCGGATCACTTGAGCTCAGGAGTTCAAGGGCAACTTGAGCAAAATGGTGAAACCCTGTCTCTACTAAAAATATAAAAAAAATTAGCCTGGTGTAGGGGCATGCGCCTGTGGTCCCAGCTACTTGGGAGGCTGAGGCGTGAGGATTGCCTGAGTCCAGAAGGCAGAGATTGTGCTACTGCAATCCAGCCTGGGTGACAGTGAGACTCCATCTCAAAAAAACTACAAAAAACAAAAAATTGTTAACAAATGCAAAGTAAACAATAATGAGATGTTTTTAGCCACTTAGATTGTCAATTTTTAAAAAAGTTGATAATACCCTGTGTTGGCAAGAGTATGAAGAAAGTTTTATGCACATGCACAGTTGGTGGGTATGGAAATTGGTATAGCATTTCTTTTTTTTTTTTTTTTTTTTTTACTGGAGGGGCAGCGTTTTCATTTTTTTCTTTCCACCTTTTATTTTATGTGGAGCTAGTACTTGTGCAGGTTTCATATATGGGTTAATTGCATGTCATGAAGGTTTGGTGTACAGATTATTTCATCACTCAGGTAATAAACATAGTACTCAATAAGCAGTTTTTCGATCTTCACCCTCTTCCCACCATCCACCCTCAAGTAGGCCCTGGTGTCTATTCCCCTCTTTGTGTACATGTGTACTCCAATGTTTAGCTGTCACTTATAAAAGAATATGCATTATTTGGTATTCTGTTCCTGCATTAATTACCTTTTTATAATGTCTGCCATCTCCATCCATGTTGCTGCAAAGTACATGACCTTGTTCCTTTTTATGGCTATGTAGTATTCCATCATGCATACGTATCATGTTTTCTTTACCAAGTCCACTGTAGATGGGCATCTACGTTGATTCCATGTATTTGCTATTGTGAATAGTGCTTCAGTGAACATACGAGTGTGTGTGTCCTTATGGTAGAATTATTTATATTCCTTTGGGTATATACCCATTAATGGGATTGCTGAGTTGAAAGGTAGCTCTGTTTTAAGTTCTTTGAGAAATAGCCAAACTGCTTTCCACAGTGGCTGAACTAATTTACATTTCCACTAGCAGTGTATAAGCATTACCTTTTCACCACAATCTTGCTGGCAACAGTTATTTTTTGACTTCTTAATAAAAGTCATTCTGAGTGGTATGAGATGGCATCTATTCGTGGTTTTGATTTGTATTTCTCTAATGATTAGAAATGTTTGTTGGCTGCATATATGTCTTCTTTTGAGAAGTGTCTGTTCATGTCCTCTGCCCATTTTTTTAACATGGTTCTTAGTGTTTTGCCAGTTAATTTAAGTTCCTTACAGATTATGGATATTAGGCCTTTGTCAGATGCATAATTTGCAAATGTATTCTCCCATTTTGTAGGTTGCCTGTTTACTTTGTTGATAGTTTATTTTGTTGTGCAGAAGCTCTTTAGTTTAATTAGGTCCCATTTGCCTGTTTTTGCTTTTCTTGGTATTGTTTTTGGAATCTTTGTCATGAAATTTTTTCCATGTCCTATGTACAGAACAGCACTTCCTAGGTTTTCTTTTAGGGTGTTTATAGTTTTAGGTTTTACATTCAAGTCTTAATCCATCTTGAGTTAATTTTTGTGTATGGTGAAAGGAAGAGGTCCAATTTCAATCACAGCACCATTTATTGAATAGGGAATCCTTTACCCATTGCTTGTTTTACTCCACTTTGTTGAAGATCAGATGGTTGTAAGTGTGCTATTTTATTTCTGGGTTCTCCATTCTGTTCCATTAGTCTATGTGTTTGTTTTTTGCACCAGCACCATGCTATTTTGGTTAGTGTCATCTTGTAATATACTTTGAAATCAGGTATTGTGATGCCTCTAGCTGTGTTCTTTTGCTTAGCATTGTTTTGGCCGTTCGAGCTCTTTTCTGGTTTCATGTGAATTTTCAAAGAGATTTTTCTAAGTATGTGAAAAATATTGTTGGTAGTTTGATAGGAATAGCATTGTATTTGTAAATTGCTTTGCAGTATGGCCACATTAACAATATTGATTCTTCCTATCCATGAGCATGGAATGTTTTTCCATTTGTTTGTCTTGTTGCTGATTTCTTTCAGCAGTGTTTTGTAATTTTCTTTGTACAAAATTTCTTTCACATCCCTAGTTAGCTGTTTTCCCAGGTTTCTTAGGCTGTTATGAATGGGATTGTATTTTTTATTTGGCTCTCAGCTTGGGTGTTTTTGGTGTGTAGAAATGCTGTTGTACACTGATTTTGTAGGCTAAAACCTTCCTGAAGTTGTTTATAAGACGTAGGGGCTTTTGGGCTGAGACTATGGGCTTTTCTAGGTGTAAAGTCATATTATCTATGAAAAGAGATGGTTTGATTTCTTCTGTTCGTATTTGGATGCACTTTTTTCTCTTTTTCTTGCCTTATTGCTCTGGTTAGCACTTCCCATACTATTTTGAATGGAAATGGTGAGAATTGGCATCCTTGTCTTTTTCAGATTCTCAAGGAGAATGTTTCCAGCTTTTGCCCATTCAGTATGATGTTGGCTGTGGGTCTGTCAGAGATGGCTCTTATTTTTTTGAGGTATCTTCCTTCAATGCCTAATTAGTTGAGGTTTTCAACATGAAGGGATGTTGAATTTTATTGAAAGCCTTTTTTGCATCTATTGAGATGATCATGTGGTTTTTGTTTTTAGTTCCATTGATGTGATGAATCACATATATTGATTTGTGTATGTTTAACCAACCTTGCATCCCTGAAATAAGGCCTACTTGATTATGGTGGATGAGCTTTGTGATGTAGCTGCTGGATTTGGTTTGCTAGTACTTTGTTGAGGAGTTTTGCATCAATGTTCATTAGGGATATTAGCCTGAAGTTTTCCTTTTTTGTTCTGTCTGTGCCATGTTTTGGTATCAGAATGATGCTGGCCTCATAAAATGAGTTAGGGAGGAGTCCTTCCTTCTCCATTTTTGAAATAGTTTCAGTAGGATTGGCACCATCCCTTTAAACATCTGGTGTGATTTCATCTGGCCCAAGGCATTTTCTGGTTTGTACACTTTTTATTACTGATTAATTTCAAAGCTTTTTATTGGTCTGTTTAGGGTATCAATTCCTTCCTGTTTCAATCTTAGGAGGTCATCCAGTTTGTGTGCATAGATGTGCTCATAATAGTCTCTGAGGGTTTTTTTTTTTTTTTTTTTTGTATTTCTGTGGGGTCAGTGGTAATGGCCACTTTGTCATTTCCGGTTGTGTTTTTTCATATATTCTCTTTTTTATCTTGATTAGTCTATCTAGCAGTCTACCAATCTTATTCATTCCTTCAAAGAGCTAAATTTTAGTTTTGTTGATCTTCTGTATGGTTTTTTCACATCTCAATTTCACTCATTTTAAAACCCAGTTTGGTTATTTCTTTTGGTATGGTAGCATTGGGATTGGTTTATGCTTGTTTTTCTTTTTTCTTTTTTTTTTGTTTCTTTGTTTCTTTTTTCTTTTATTATTATACTTTAAGTTTTAGGGTACATGTGCACATTGTGCAGGTTAGTTACATATGTATACATGTGCCATGCAGGTGTGCTGCACCCATTAACTCATCATCTAGCATTAGGTATATCTCCCAATGCTATCCCTCCCCCCTCCCCCCACCCAACAGTCCTCAGAGTGTGATGTTCCCCTTCCTGTGTCCCTGTGTTCTCATTGTTCAATTCCCGCCTATGAGTGAGAATATGCATTGTTTGGTTTTTTGTTCTTGCGATAGTTTACTGAGAATGATGATTTCCAATTTCATCCATGTCCCTACAAAGGACATGAACTCATCATTTTTTATGGCTGCATAGTATTCCATGGTGTATATGTGCCACATTTTCTTAATCCAGTCTATCATTGTTGGACATTTGGGTTGGTTCCAAGTCTTTGCTATTGTGAATAGTACCACAATAAACATACGTGTGCATGTGTCTTTATAGCAGCATGATTTATAGTCCTTTGGGTATATACCCAGTAATGGGATGGCTGGGTCAAATGGTATTTCTAGTTCTAGATCCTTGAGGAATCACCACACTGACTTCCACAATGGTTGAACTAGTTTACAGTCCCACCAACAGTGTAAAAGTGTTCCTATTTCTCCACATCCTCTCCAGAACCTGTTGTTTCCTGACTTTTTAATGATTGCCATTCTAACTGGTGTGAGATGGTATCTCATTGTGGTTTTGATTTGCATTTCTCTGATGGCCAGTGATGATGAGCATTTTTTCATGTGTTTTTTGGCTGCATAAATGTCTCCTTTTGAGAAGTGTCTGTTCATGTACTTTGCCCACTTTTTGATGGGGTTGTTTGTTTTTTTCTTGTAAATTTGTTTGAGTTCATTGTAAATTCTGGGTATTAGCTCTTTGACGGATGAGTAGGTTGCGAAAATTTTCTCCCATTTTGTAGGTTGCCTGTTCACTCTGATGGTAGTTTCTTTTGCTGTGCAGAAGCTCTTTAGTTTAATTAGATCCCATTTGTCAATTTTGGCTTTTGTTGCCATTGCTTTTGGCGTTTTAGACATGAAGTCCTTGCCCATGCCTATGTCCTGTATGGTAATGCCTAGGTTTTCTTCTAGGGTTTTTATGGTTTTAGGTCTAACGTTTAAGTCTTTAATCCATCTTGAATTGATTTTTGTATAAGGTGTAAGGAAGGGATCCAGTTTCAGCTTCCTAAATATGGCTAGCCAGTTTTCCCAGCACCATTTATTAAACAGGGAATCCTTTCCCCATTGCTTGTTTTTGTCAGGTGTGTCAAAGATCAGATAGTTGTAGATATGCGGCGTTATTTCTGAGGGCTCTGTTCTGTTCCATTGATCTATATCTCTGTTTTGGTACCAGTACCATGCTGTTTTGGTTACTGTAGTCTTGTAGTATAGTTTGAAGTCAGGTAGTGTGATGCCTCCAGTTTTGTTCTTTTGGCTTAGATTGACTTGGCGATGCGGGCTCTTTTTTGGTTCCATATGAACTTACTTTAAAGTAGTTTTTTCTAATTCTGTGAAGAAAGGCATTGGTAGCTTGATGGGGATGGCATTGAATCTGTAAATTACCTTGGGCAGTATGGTCATTTTCACAATATTGATTCTTCCTACCCATGAGCATGGAATGTTCTTCCATTTGTTTTTATCCTCTTTTATTTCCTTGAGCAGTGGTTTGTAGTTCTCCTTGAAGAGGTCCTTCACATCCCTTGTAAGTTGGATTCCTAGGTATTTTATTCTCTTTGAAGCAATTGTGAATGGGAGTTCACTCATGATTTGGCTCTCTGTTTGTTTTTCTAGTTCTCCTATGTGTGATGTTAGGTTGTTAATTTAAAATCTTTCTAACATTTTGATGTGGGCATTTAGTGGTATAAACATTCCTCTTAACACTGCTGTATCCAAGAGATTCTGGTATGTTATTTGTTTTCACTGGTTTCAAAGAATTTCTTGATTTCTGCTTTAATTTCATTGTTTACCTGAAAGTCATTCAGTAGCAGGTTGCTGAATTTCCACAGAATTGTATTGTTGTTATTTTATTTTATTTTATTATTTTTATACTTTAAGTTTTAGGGTACATGTGCACAATGTGCAGGTTAGTTACATATGTATACATGGGCCAGGCTGGTGTGCTGCACCCATTAACTCGTCATTTAGCATTAGGTATATCTCCTAAAGCTATCCCTCTCCCGTCCCCCACCCCACAACAGTCCCCAGAGTGTGATGTTCCCCTTCCTGTGTCCATGTGTTCTCATTGTTCAATTCCCACCTATGAGTGAGAATATGCGGTGTTTGGTTTTTTGTTCTTGTGATAGTTTACTGAGAATGATGGTTTCCAATTTCATCCATGTCCCTACAAAGGACATGAACTCATCATTTTTTATGGCTGCATAGTATTCCATGGTGTATATGTGCCACATTTTCTTAATCCAGTCTATGATTGTTGGAAATTTGGGTTGGTTCCAAGTCTTTGCTATTGTTAATAGTGCTGCAATAAACATACGTGTGCATGTGTCTTTATAGCAGCATGATTTATAGTCCTTTGGGTATATAACCAGTAATGGGATGGCTGGGTCAAATGGTATTTCTAATTCTAGATCCCGGAGGAATCACCTCACTGACTTCCACAATGGTTGAACTAGTTTCCAGTCCCACCAACAGTGTAAAAGTGTTCCCATTTCTCCACATCCTCTCCAGCACCTGTTGTTTCCTGACTTTTTAATGATATTGTTTTGTGAGGCCTTCGTGGTATTGATTTTTATTTTTATTGCACTGTGGGAGTAAGGTGGTATCGCACTGTGGTTTTGATTTGCACTTCCCTGATCATTAGTGATGCTGAGCATTTTTTCATATGTTTGCCGGCTATTTGTACATCTTCTTTTGAGGATTGTCTATTCATGTCCTTAGCCCACTTTTTGATGGGATTTTTTTTTTCTTTCTTTCTTTTTTCCTGCTAATTTGTTTGAGTCCCTTGTAGATTCTGGATATTAGTCTTGTCAGATGTATAAATTGTGAAGATTTTCTCCCACTCTGTAGTTTGTCTGTTTAATCTGCTGACTGTTCTTTTTGCTTTTCAGAAGTTCTTTAGTGAAGTTCCACCTATTTATCCTTGTTTTGTTGCATTTGCTTTTGGGTTCTTGGTCATGAAGTCTTTGCCCAAGCCAATATCTAGAATGGTTTTTCCAGTGTTATCTTCTAGAATGTTTATAGTTTCAGGTCTTACATTTAAGTTATTGATCCATCATGACTTGATTTTTGTATAAGGTGAGAGATGAGGATATAGTCTCCTAGATGTGGCTTGCCAATTATCTCAGCACCATTTGTTGAAAAGGGTGTCCTTTCTCTACTTTGTTTTTGTTTGCTTTGTTGAAGATCAGTTGGCTGTAAGTATTTGGGTTTATTTCTGGGTTCTCCTTTCTGTCCCATTGGTCCATGTGGCCATTTTTATACCAGTACCATTCTGTTTTGATGACTATGGCCTTATAGGATAGTTTGAAGTCAGGTAATGTGATGCCTCCAGATTTTTTCTTTTGCTTAGTTTTACTTTGGCTATGCAAAATTTTTTTTTTGGTTCCATATGAATTTTAAGATTGTTTTTTCTAGTTCTGTGAAGAATAGTGGTGGCATTTTTTATGGGAATTGCATTGAATATGTAGACTGCTTTTAGCAGTATGGTCATTTTCACAATATTGATTCTACCCATCCATGAGCATGAGATGTGTTTCCATTTGTCTGTGTCATCTATGATTTATTTCAACAGTGTTTTGTAGTTTTCTTGTAGAGGTCTTTCACCTCCTTGGTTAGGTATATTCCTAAGTATTTTTTTTTTTTTGCAGATATTGTAAAAGGGGTTCAGTTCTTGATTTAATTCTCAGCTTGATCACTGTTGGTGTATAGCAGAGCTACTAATTTCTGTACATTAATTTAGTATCCTGAAACTTTTCTAAATTCATTTATCAGTTCTAGGAGCTATTTGGACGAGTCTTTAGGGTTTTCTAGGTATACAATCATATCATCAGAAAACAGTTATAGTTTGATTTCCTCTTTACCAATTTGGATTCCTTTTATTTCTTTCTCCTGTATGATTGCTCTGGCTAGGACTTCCAGCACTATGTTGAATAAAAGTGGTGAGAGTGGGCATCCTTGTCTTCTTCTAGTTCTCAGAGGGAATGCTTTCAACTTTTCCCCTTGCAGTATTATGTTGGCTGTGGGTTTGTCATAGGTGGACTTTATTACATTGAGGCATGTCCCTTGAATGCTGATTTTGCTGAGGGTTTTAATCTTAAAGGAATGCTGGAATTTGTAAAATGTTTTTCTGTATCTATTGAGAAGATCATGTGATTTTTGTTTTTAATTCTGTTTACGTGGTGTATCAAATTTATTTACTTGCATAAGTTAAACCATCCCTGCATCCCTGGAATGAAACCCACTTAATCATGACGGATTATCTCTTTGATATGCTGTTGGATTCAGTTAGCTAGTATTTTGTTAAGGATATTTGCATCTATGTTCATCAGAGATATCAGTCTGCAGTTTTCTTTTTTTGTTATGTCCTTTTCTGGTTTTGGTATTAGGTTGTTACTGGC
This sequence comes from Homo sapiens, assembly GCF_000001405.40. Classification (NCBI taxonomy): domain Eukaryota; kingdom Metazoa; phylum Chordata; class Mammalia; order Primates; family Hominidae; genus Homo; species Homo sapiens. The sequence continues at coordinate 56,133,168 of NC_000023.11, read as the reverse complement.
TTCATGGAATGATTTAGGGAGGATTTGCTCTTTCTCTGTTTTGTGGCATAGTGTCAAAAGGATCAGTACCAATTCTTCCTTGAATGTCTGATAGAATTCAGCTGTGAATCCATCTGGTCCTGGACTGGTTTTGTTGGCCATTTTTTTAATTACCATTTCAATCTCACTGCTTGTTATTTTTCTGTTCATGGTCTCTAATTCTTCCTAATTTAAGCTAGGAGGGTTGTATATTTCCAGGAATTTATCCATGTCCTCTAAGTTTTCTAGTTTATATGTGTAAAGGTGTTCATAGTAGCCTTGAATGATCTTTCATATTTCTATGGTGCTGGTTGTAATATCTCCCATTTCATTTCTAATTAATGTTATTTGGATCTTCTCTCTTCTTTTCTCAGTTAACCCTCCTAACAGTCTATCAGTTTTATTTATCTTTTCAAATAACCAGCTTTTTGTTTCATTTATCTTTTGTATTTTTTTGTTTCAATTTCTTTTAGTTCTGCTCTGATCTTTGTTATTTCTTTTCTTCTTCTGGGTTTGAGTTTTGTTTTTCTTTCTTCTCTTCTGCTGGGTTTAAGATTTGTTCTTATTTCTCTAATTTCTTGAAGTGTGACCTCAGATTATCCATTTGTGCTCTTTCAGATTTTTTTATGTAGGGATTTAAGGCTATGAACTTTCCTCTTATCACTTCTTTTGCTGCTTCCCAGAGGTTGTGATAGGTGTGTCAATATTATCATTCAATTCAAAGAATTTTTGTATTTGCCTCTTCATTTCATTGTTGATCCAATGATCTTTCAGGAGCAGGTTATTTAATTTCCATGTATTTTCATGGTCTTGAAGGTTCCTTTGGAGTTGATTTCCAATTTTATTCCACTGTGGTCTAAGAGAGTACTTGATGTAATTTCAATTTTCTTAAATTTAATGAGACTTATTTTATGGCTTATCATATCATCTATCTTGGAGAAAGTTCCATGCACTGATGAATAGAATGAATATTCTATGGTTGCTGGATAGAATGTTCTGTAAATGTCTATTAAGTCCATTGTTGTAGGGCATAGTTTAAATCCATTGTTTCTTTGTTGACTTTCTGTCTTCTTGACCTGTCTGGTGCTGTCAGTAGAGTATTGAAGTCCCCCACTATTATTGTGTTGCCATCTGTCATTTCATAGGTCTAGTTGTAATTGTTTTATAAATTTGAAAGCTCCAGTGTTAGGTGCATATATATTTAGGATTGCGATATTTGCCTGTTGGACAAGCTCTTTTATCATTATATAATATCCCTCTTTGTCTCTTTTAACTGCTGTTGCTTTATTAAAGTTTGTTTTGTCTGATATAAGAATAGCTAATCCTGCTTGCTTTCTGTGTCCATTTGCATGGAATATCTTCTTCCACCCTTTTACCTTAAGTTTATGTGTGTCCTTATGTGCTAGGTGAGTCTCTTCAAGGCAGCAGATACTTGGTTGTTGAATTCTTATCTATTCTGCAATTCTGCATTTTTTAATAGAGCATTTAGGCCATTTACATTCAACTTTAGTATTGAGATGTGAGGTAGTATTCCATTTATCATGCTATTTGTGCCTGAATACCTTTTTTTTTAATTGTATTTTGTTTATGGTCCTACAAGATTCATGCTTTAAAGAGGTTCTGTTTTGATGTATTTCCAGGATTTGTTTCAAAATTTAGAGCTCCTTTTAGCAGTTCTTGTACTGCTGGCTTAGTAGTGGTGAATTCTCTCAGCATTTGTTTGTCTGAAAAAGACTGTATCTTTCCTTCATTTATGAAGCTTATTTTCACTGGATAAAAAATTCTTGGGTGATAATTGTTTTGTTTAAGGAGGCTGAAGATAGGGCCCCAACTCCTTCTAGCTTGTAAGGTTTCTGCTGAGAAATCTGCTATTAATCTGATAGGTTTCTTTAATAGGTTACCTGGTGCTTTTGCCTTACAGCTCTTAAGATTCTTTTCTTCATCTTGACTTTAGATAAGCTGATGACTATGTGCCTAGGCAATAATCTTTTTCTAATAAATTTCCCAGGTGTTCTTTTAGCTTCTTGTATTTGGATGTCTAGATCTCTAGCAAGGCCAGGGAAATTTTTCTTGATTATTCCTTCAAATATGTTTTCCTAACGTTTAGATTTCCACTTTCTTATTCTTAGGTTTGGTCATTTAACATAATCCCAAACTTCTTGGAGGCTTTGCACATTTTTGAAATTCTTTTCTCTTTGTCTTTGCTGGTTAGGTTACTTTGAAAACCTTGTGTTTGAGCACTGAAGTTCTTTTTTCTGTTTGTTCAATTCTATTGGTGAGACTTTCCAGTACATTTCGCATTTCTCTGTGTTCTTTATTTTTTAAAGTTGTGATTGTTTTTTATTTATGCTATCTATTTCACAGAAGATTTCTTCCCTCATATCTTGTATTTCTTTTAAAAAATTTTAAAGTTTGGACTTCATTTTTCTCTGGTGCTTCCTTGATTAGCTTAATAATTGACAGTCTGAATTCTTTTGCCAGCAATTCAGGGATTTTTTTCTTGGCTTGGATCCATTGCTGGTGAGTTAGTGTAACTGGCAGTAGGGGGGTGTTAAAGAACCTGGTTTTGTCATATTACCAGAATTGTTTTTCTGGTTCCATCTCATTTGGGTAGGCTATGTCAGAGCGAAGATCTCGGGCTGAAGGCTGCAGTTCACATTGTTTGTACCACGGGGTGCTCCCTTGATGTAGTACTCTCCTGATTTTCTTAAGGATGTGGCTTCCTGAGAGCCAAACTGTAATGAATGTTATTTCTCTTCTGGATCTAGCCACTCAGCAGGGCTACCAGGTTCTGGTCTGGTACTGGGGGCTGTCTGCACAGAGTGCTTTGATGTGAACCATCTTCAGTTCTCTCAGTCTCCAGTGAGACTGGCAGTGAGGTGGCGGGAGAGTGAAATGGACTCTGTGAGTGCCCTTAGTCGCAGTTGCTTGATGCACAAGGTTTGTGCTGGTTGGCCTCCTGCCAGGAGGTGAGGATTTCAAGAGACCATTAGCTGTGGTAGTATAGGGGAGAATCAGGAGAATCAGGAGGTGGGCGAGGCCTTAGAACTCCCAAGATAATATGGCCTTTGTCTTCAGCTACTGGGGTGGGTTAGGCATGTCTGAGCTCAGACTCTCCTTGGGCCTGGCTTACTGAGGCTGCTGTGGGGGTTGGGAGGTTGGGGGTATGGTACCCATGTCAATGGAGTAATGCTCCCAGGAGAGTTATGGCTGCTCTGCTATGTCATGCAGGTTGTTAGGGAAGTAGGGGAAAGCTAGAAGTTACAGGCCTTACCCAGCTCCCATGCAACCCAAAAGGCCAGTCTCACTCCCACCGTGCCCCACCCTGACAGCACCAAGTTTGTTTCCAGGCAGTGAGTGAGCAGGGCTGAGAACTTGTCCCAGGCTACCAGCCTGCCAGCTGAGAAAGAAAGCATGGCTTTTGCATCTTTTTGCCTGTTGAGTCTGCGCACTGGATTTATGCCCTCCCTCGAGTTTTGGCCGGGAGACTTCACGTTTGGTTCAAGTGGTTACAAAGTTTAGCTGGAGGTTTCCTTTTCCCTTTGGTCTTTCCCCAGTTCCTCTGGCAGCCCTCCCACAGGACTCCTGTGAGACAAGTCAGATCTGGCTTCCCCAGGGACCCAGATGGCTCACAGGGCTTTTCCTACTGTTTCCTCTACCCCTGTATTTCGCTCAGCTCTCTAAATTGTCTCAGATCCAGTTAAGGTCATATCCTTCTCCTGCGATCTGGACCTTCAGGTTCCCCAGTGAGAGTGTGTGCTCGGGAGTGGACAATCCCCCTTTCCCACTTTCCCAGTTTAGGCACTCACAGTATTTGGGCTATCTCCCGGGTCCTGCAGGAGTAATCCTCTTCCTTCAAAGGGTCTGTAGATTCTCTCAGCTTTTCTGGTCTATTCCTGCAGTAGTTCTTTGAGTGAAAGTTCATGATGTGAGTCTCCACACCCTGTTCTGTCTGTCCAAGTGGGAGGTGCAATTTAGTCCTGTCTCCTTTCTGCCACTTTTTTCAGATATAACAGAGATTTAAAGACATTTTCATTTTGCAACTGATTAGATCTAGATGGTGTAGGAAGGTGAATCATCTACACTGCTCAACTCTACCAGTGGCACTCCATTTACCCCACCCCAAAGTGTAACCTGGTATAAGATTTTTTAAGTACATGACTAGTAATTTTTCTCTCTCTCTCCCTGATTACACTTTTTTGCACATTGCAGACACTCAATTTTCATGTGTTCACAGAAATGATGTTTTGAGAAGTTCATAACACCTCACAATATGACACTCAATCCAAATCTCATCAGCTACATTTGCACACCAACTACACTGTGGGTTTTTTGTTTGTTTGTTTGTTTTGCTTTGTTCTTATGATCTAATTTGCCAATTTAAGAAACTTTTTCTAATCTAGACTGAATGCAGTGTTAGAAAACTGACTCAGTTTTGATCCCATTTGGTACATTACATGGGAGTATCTGACTTATAGATGGGTGCAAAACCTTTAAAAGCAGCTCTGAAGTAAACAGTCAAACAGATAAATGCTAAGCCATTTATTTAAAGAGAAACCTTCCTATATTATGTCAAATATGGACATACTTCTTTATTTTCTACTTTTTTTCTATTGAGGTTGGGAGTTGGGGCATAAAATGGTCTCTTGTTGACAAGCAAAGGTATTCTAAGGTAATTAAGTAATAGATTTTTCTGCCAAAGCTCTGGCGAAAGGATATATTCACAATTTTACCCAAAGCTGGTGAGCTGAACTAAGGATTGATACTAAAGTATGTTTGTTATTGTTCTGTTCCTTACCTAAAGTAGAAGATAAACTGACCCCAGGAACATAAACCAGGCCTAAAGGATATGATTCAAATAATTTTCAAAACCATCATGAGTTCTTTCAGTCTATCAGAACTCCTCTCCAGTGAATGGAATTTTGTATGTTTCACATGCTCTTCCTATTCACTCTATCCTAAGTTTCTCTCCATCTGTTGCTATACTCTTTTAAATATCCTTGTTATTTTACTTGCTCTTCCCTTCATCTGGAATGCTTTCTCAATGAACCACTCTTACCACCACCCTTCACCCCTCAGTTGCTTACTGAATGTTCATCCTTCAAAATTCTGCTCAAATTCTAGCTCAAGCATTACCCTCCTGATGACACTGTCATCCTTCATGCCATCAAGCTCCCTATTCTAATCTATCAGTACCTGGCAAAGACCTTTAGTATAGCGTTGAGCATAATGGGAATTGTATAGTTATATTATTTCTTTGTTGGCCCTTATCTGTTTTTTTTCTTTCTGGAGGGCCAACATAGACACTTTGTAGATACTCAATTTATTGTTTGCTTTAGCAAGGTTCCATGAAATAATTATTTTCCATCTTTATTGAAATAAATTGTACATTTTAAGGTATATAACATGATATTTTGATATATATACACATTGTGAAATGATTACCAACAAGCCTTCATTTAAAGTAGTTTTTGTTTTTGTTTTGATACAGGGCCCTTGCTCTGTCACTCAGGCTGGAAGGTAAGGGCCTGATCACAGCTCACTGCAGCCTCAACCTCTTGAGCTCAAGTGATCCTCCAGCCTCAGCCTCCCAAGTAGCTGGGACTACAGGCACACACCATCATGCCTGGTTATTATTATTTTTTTTATTTTTGTAAAGACAGGGTCTCACCATGTTGCCTAGACTGGTCTCAAACTCCTGGGCTCAAGGAATCCTCCCACCTCAAATTGCTGGGATTATAGGCATAAGCGACTGTGATTGGCCTATGTTTTAGCACTGGAGCTCATGTTTTATCTGTAGTGGAGGCTGGAGTTCATGTTTTATCTGTAGTGCTACAGTGTTTAAAACATAAGAGACACACAGCAAATTTTTCATTTGTTCAGTACTAGGGATACATTGATAAACAAAACAATATGCCTTATAGAGCTAAATTTTAGTTAGGGAAAATGGACAATAAACAATATATAATATGTCAGAGAAACTAAGAGTGAGTAAAAGGGATGGAGAGTGCTGGGAAGTGTGTTGCTGTTTTACACAGGTCTCTCTGGGAGGCACTATTTGAATGGAGGCCTGAAAAATTAAGAAAGTGAGCCATGTAGGCCAGGCATGGTGGTTCACATCTGTAATCCCAGCACTTTGGGAGGCCGAGGCGGGTAGATCACTTGAGGTCAGGAGGTCGAGACCAGCCTAGCCAACATGGTGAAACCCCGTCTCTACTGAAAATACAAAAATTAGCCAGGCGTGGTGGTAGGCGCCTGTAATCCCAGCTACTCAGGAGGCTGAGGCAGGAGAATCACTTAAACTGGGGAGGTGGAGGTTGCAGTGAGCCAAGATCGTGCCATTGCACTCCAGCCTGGGTACAAGAGCGAGACTTCGTCTCAAAAAAAAAAAAAAAAAAGAAAGAAAGAAAGAAAAAGAAAAAGAGAAAGAAAGTGAGCCATATAAATATTGGAGGGAAGAGAATTCCAAGCAGAAAAAATGACAAGTGCAAAGTTGCTCTGAATTGAATAGAGTGAGTGAGTGGAAACAGGGAGTAGGAGATGGGGTCAGAGAGGGAGCAGGACCCAAATCATGCAGATTCTTTTATGTCAGGTATAGCACTTTGGCTTTCAGTTTGAATAATATGGGAAGCCACTGAAGGGATCTGAGTGGAGGTGTGATCTGATCTAAGTTAGGTTAAAACAAAATCACTCTAGCTGATGTGTTAGAATAAATTGTTAGGGGCAAGGATAGACGAGGAGTGATTAGTTAAGAGGCTATTATGATATTCTAAAAGAGAGATGGTGGTAGTTTGGATCAGGAATGGTAGACTGGAGGTGAACAGAAGTGATTAGATTTAGGATATTCTGTTTTTTAAGGTTAGAGCCAATAGCATTTGCTGATTTTGTTATTATATATGGACACAGTGATGAATCTAATGTTTTTGGTCTTATCAACTGAAAGGAAAAGCTGCAGGTTACTGAAATGGGGAAGTCTGGGTGGAAAAGGTTGGTGATAGCCATTGTAACGCTGAGTCATGCTTTGGCTAGGTTAAGACTGGGACAAGTTAAGATGAATGGATGAAGATAAGCAGTTCTCATGTCTTTCCTACAAGCATATTAAGTCTACATGATTTTAGTGTTTTCTGAGTTACCATTAATCACAAAACTACAAAAACAAAATCAATGACTATTATAAAAATCACTACAATTTATTGTAAATAATAAGTACCAGGCACTGTGGGTGCTTTATATGCATACTCTCATCTCATCATTCCCCAAACCCTAGGAAGTACAAATTATTTTTCCATTTTCACATGATATAGCTGAGGTTCAGAGAAGTTAAGCATCCTATGCAAGTAATAACACTGCACTGGTAAGTGCCAGAGAGTATATCACACCCTAAACCCGTTATGTATTTCTATTCTACACTCTTCCCCATAAACTAGATTTGAGCTATCCCTGTTACAGTATATTTCCTCCAGATTTACAATTAGAGTAATGGATATTCTGTAAGGAGAAAAGGTACTTACTTAAGGCCTAACTACTGGCAGTGATGCAGACAGAAAGATACCATAGTCCAGGGAAACACCTTCTCATAAGAAACAATAGCCGACCACTAGAAAAGATGCCAGACAATGATAGGGAATGCAAATGTGACTTGAAGGCCTCATAACCTGTTGGAGGGAGCAGGCTACATTATCCATGCCCTGTTACATGTAGATTGGAACACATGGAATCCTCTTGTCTAGTTGCCATTTTAAAAATAAAGTCAAGGTATCTATTCCATCTTTAGTATAGGACAGACACATTACACTCCCCAGGACTCTAGACATTTTCATATGAATAGCTGTTTCTGTCTTCCTCTGAGAGGCACCCCTTAGTCTAAGAAAGACACTGAGAAGTTGTTTTCAGAGGTTAGGCAAATGAGAAAGGATTGCATCTGATGTCTCTAGGCTATGAGGATGGAGGAGTGAAAGAAAAAGATGTCATGTCTGCTACATCTGTTCTTCTAATTTAAAAGTACCACCACCCACGTTTTACACTTCTTAAAAGTGCAGGTGGAAAAAGTATTGCTGATCATACCCTAATCCATACTAATGTAATGAAGGCAAAAACTGGAAAACTGGTGCAGACACTGAAGTGACTCAGACACGAGGGCTCTTTAAGCTGTCATCTGAATCAAGCCTGCCCACTTGACTGTTAGCCTAAAATCAACTCAGTGTAGAAAGAGGCTTCTGAAGAGGTTTTGTAGTGCATTTTCATTTCTGAATGAAATCTACAATTGAGCTTCCTCTGACTTTTGATCTTCATTAAGAGAGTTCTTCTTGTGACTCAGGAAATGGGAATGAGAATGTGAAAGAAATGAACACCAAAAGGTCACAGTGACATAAAAAAAATCATTTTCTCTGGGTTTAGCCATAGCCAAGACTTAAAAGACAATGCACAAGTTTTTATGACATCACCCTTCTTTACCCAGAATGACCATAGTATACATAAGCTGGGCTAAACTGAGCCCACAGAGACTTGATACAGACTGGAAATTCTCCCAGAAAAATCCCTTGGCAATGATGCAGAAGACTCCATTGACTTCTCTCTCTATAGGCCACAATTGCCTACGGTTTATAAAGGCAGCTGTGAATGAAAAGCATCATGTTTTATATGGCATCAGAAATTGATAAACGATTCATGTACTTCAGGTAGAGACATAGTATAGACTAGCAGTTAAGAGACTGGTCACTGAAGCCAGTTTGTTTGCATGCAAATCTAGACTCTGTTATTCCCAAGTTGTACGACCTTGGGCAATTTATTTACTCAACAAAAACTGACTGAGGTTCTAATATATGTGAAACTTTGTTTTAGGCACTTTGGATACCTCAATGAACAAAACAGGTACACATCCCTGCCTTCATTAAGCCTGCATTCTAGTGGGGAAATGTAAGCAATAAACAAATGTAATTTTATAGCATGAGTGTAAAAAGCATTAGGGAGAAACAAAAATGTAGAGCAAAGCCTACATTTCATTTGTTTTGAGCTTCCTGCTTTAAGTCCTATTTCTGAGTTACCATTAATCACAAAACCACAAAAACAAAATCAATGACTATTATAAAAATAACTACAATGTATTGTAAATAATAAGTACCAGGCACTGTGGGTGCTTTATATGCATACTCTCACCTCATCATTCCCCAAACCCTAGGAAGTACGCTGAGCTAGCAGGAAGGGAGTTACTTAACTTTTCTGGCCTCAGTCTCCTCACTTGTAAAATGTATATCATAATGGTTTAAAATGTGAAGTGCTGGACCAGTGCCTGTCACATAGGACATGCTTCATTAAATTTATTATTACTGTCCCACGATGTCATTTGACCAAAGACTATTTTCTACCAAAATGTCATTAATGCCCTGGAAAAATAATTCTTTAGTTCAGCATCTATTTGTGGAAATAGTCACAGTATCCCATCTTAGAGTTAGGTAGATTTCAGAAATGTCTGAGAAGGGGTCAGCTAAATTGGATGCCACTTTTGTAAAATATTATATGGAGAATAAATATAGAAACAAGGCTTTATACTTACTTATAAAGTTAATAACTTATTTATAAAATGTTTCCTTCCTTAATGAGTGAAACCTCACCACTCTTCTTAGAAATAATCCCTTTTATCAATCCCTTCCTTTAACCAAACTTTCTCTTATGCTTCTATTAGTGCCCTCTGCCCAAGTCCTCTTATTTCATCCAATGTCTAGATAAATTACAACCTTAAAGAGTTTAGAGGTTATCTCAGGCTTGTGCCCAGAATTGAGACTTTCATAAGTTTAGCTTTTTGGTCTACTAAGATCGGTAACTTTCTTTCTTTCTTTTCTTTCTTTCTTTCTCTTTCTTTCTTTCTTTCTTTCTTTCTTTTTCTTTCTTTCTTTCTTTTTCTTTCTTTTTTTATTTTTGTAAAAAGTAAGGGGAATGCACTGGCTCTCTGTCAAACATGCTTGGGGTGAAAGCTTAAGTAACACAGAGAAAAAATGTTGAAAGGAAGCATAATGAGGAGCCCTCATTCTAGAATCCTTGTTCTCCAAGACACTGGAGATGTCAGAAAAGCAGGAATGCTTATATCCAACTCCGTTGACTTCTTACTCCACCCACTTATTGTGTGTGTGTGTGTCTTTCAGGGTGGGCAGGGAGTGGAAAAGGGGGAGAATTAGGAGAACAGAGTATGAGAGTCAACAAAGGAAAGAAAATAAGAAAGGAGGTAATTGAGGCAAGGCAAATCAGAGGTCTTAAAACCAAGTTAAGGCTGGGCATGGTGGCTCACAGCTGTAGTCCCAGCAATTTGGGAGGCCTCGGCAGGAGGATCACTTGAGCCCAGGAGTTCAAGACCAGCCTAGGCAATATAGTGAAACCCCGTTTCTATTAAAAATGAAATATATATATAAAGCAAGTTCAACTCCAGGGAGTAACATTACAAGAAAAAGAAAGCATAGGTACACAGAAATTTATCATGTGAATAGGGCTTAAAGCAGGAAGCTCAAATGAAAAATTTCAATAATAAACCTCAATTTTTCTCCCCCTTATTTAAAAGTACTTAATATTTTAATTAAAAAATAACACATGAAGTCATTAGAAATGTTCCACTATCATAGAGCAGAAAAAACTCCTTCATCTCTCCTTAAAGTAGGTTTGTACAAAAGTATCAGAACAGTATTATTAATACTATCATCAGTATAATTGAATGCATACCAAGTATCATATATTTTGCATATTGTATGTCATTTATTTCCCATTTTTATGGTAGCATCATTTTGACAGAGGAATAAACAGATGCTGAAAAAGGTTAAATCACTCATCCAAAGATACTCAGCTGATAAGTAGTGGGGCCATGATTGGAATCCAGATTTGGCACATTCCCAAACTTTTTCACTTTGGCATGTTGACTTCCAAGTATAATTTGTTCACATTTTGTTTTTTTCATATATGTCAGTCTTACCTCCTCAAATAGACCATTAACTGTCATTGAGTATTCTTTTTCACCCCTCCCACAGCCCATACCACAAGGCAGGGCACAAAACAAATTTTATTAATGTCCTAGTGAGTGTTTCATAAACCTTTATGGCTTTATTATCATTTCAGTTAATAAGGAGTAGAGAATAATCAAGCAATGACAACCTTAATGATAACAAAAATTATGAAATTTTACTCAAAACATGTTCAGAGAAAAAACTATCACCCAATTTTTGCAGATGTAGATACTGATTCCATAAATGTTTATTGAGTATCTACTAAGTGCAAGGGTTTGCACAATAAAGACACACACACAGTTGGAAATGATTTTTCCTGGGATTAAGTAGGAGTGTTTCCTTCAAATAAGGACCTTTCTATTTATGACCATAGTTACTAAGGACTATCAACTACTTTCTGAAGTATATGATAAGTCACATCAAACTTACATAGGTACTGTGGCAATAATGAAAACCATCAGGCCCTGGCTGTGGCAAGTAGCCTTTATTTGAATCTAAAGTTCAGCCAACATGGGCCATGTGGCTTTTCTCCAAGAATCATCCTACTGGGATGCTAAAGAAAAGCTGAAGAAGGCAGAAACATGAAAAGATAAATCACAATTCTTCTCTGTCTTTGGGAAAAGAATTTCCGGGTCAGAAGAACTGAGCTTTCAGGGCAGTCTGATAAAATTACAGCCACGTGAAAACTAAAGGAGTCAGGATATAAGTCCAAAAGCAATAAATAATGCCAATAGACAAGTCAGTCCTGCCCACTCAGAAACGTTCTCTTTCCTCTCCCCTTTCTTCACTTTTCTCCCTTTTCTCTAACTGCAGGCTATTCTTTCTCCAACCTCTTCCTTTCCAGCCCTTCTCTCCATCCTTTCTCCTTCCTTTGCCCTTTATCTTTTCCTTTCTTGATTATCCCTTTCACAGTCATAGGCAGGAAGCCTTATGTGTGTGGTGTCTGAATTTAGTGTTTTCCTTTTTTTTTTTTTTTTTTTGAGACGGAGTCTCGCTCTGTGGCCCAGGCTGGAGTGCAGTGGCGGGATCTCGGCTCACTGCAAGCTCCGCCTCCCGGGTTCACGCCATTCTCCTGCCTCAGCCTCCCGAATAGCAGGGACTACAGGTGCCCGCCACCACGTCCGGCTAATTTTTTGTATTTTCAGTAGAGACGGGGTTTCACTGTGTTAGCCAGGATGGTCTCAATCTCCTGACCTCGTGATCTGCCCACCTTGGCCTCCAAAAGTGCTGGGATTACAGGCGTGAGCCACTGTGTTCGGCCCGGAATTTAGTGTTTTCTTTAGGTCCAGGGCATGCTACAGTCACCCTGCTCAGAAGCTAGCAGGATTACTTGAGAAAGAATGAAAAAGGTCAAACTCTCACCCTCACTTGGAAACATGCCCTCTAAAACCCAGAATTTATGCTTCCTTGAGCCTCAAAGGGGAGGAGGTGGGGCATATTCTCTTTTTCTCTCACCTTCATACAAAAGAAGAGGGAAAGGCCCTAGGTGGTGGGTGAGTGAGTGGCAGCAGGAAGGGATGACCAAAAGCATGTTTCTGGAGCTAGCAATAACACTCATCCCAAGGCCTAAGAGACCATGGGAATTTCTGGAGAGCTGGTATAAATGGAGGAAATGGGGTAAAGCCATTCAGGCTGGGGACATTTTTCTCTTTCATCTCTCTTTTGAGCCCTTCATGCAGGAACCAAGAGCACAGACAAATAGTTGGACACCTGGCCAGCTGCCTGGAATGGTCTCTTCCTTAAGGGAGAGCTTAGCCACTGCACAAAGGTCAGCTGAATAGTGGGAAATAGTGTTTGTTTAAAAGTCGAAAAAACTCAGGGAAAATTTCCTGTATTACCAAAGCTGAAAAATGAAATCCTAAGCCTTCAAGAGGGCTGTAGCTTGAAGTCCCTGGACATTCTACCTAAAGCTGGGCACTGTTAGCATCAGGGTTCGGATTGGGTGGCATAAGAAAAAGGAGACAAGGCAGTGGTGGCATCCAGAATTCCCACATCGGAAGAGCTTAGGTAAGTTGGGTTGGAAAAAAAGTAGGAGACTAAAAGACTAGTTTTGGAGCTCTATTTGCACTGCAAGCATACTGTGGGACTTACATTGTAGATTCCAGATTAGTTAAAAGTAAAGTTTCCAAAGATACTTTTAAACTAAAAACTAAGGATAATATATATATATATAGCCTTTCTAAACACCCTCCGCTAGTGTAAAAGGGCCGAAATGGAGTAACCATCAACTACGTGGACTTCCAAATTTTCTAGTACCCAAAGAATACTTGGGTACTACCTTATGGCTCCTACCTTATGCAGATCCAGACCTAAACTTGCACAACCCATTCTTCTGCTTGCAGGCACACTGGAGAAGTCAGCCCCTTCTGTAACTGAGAAACTAGTCAGCCTACAGAAACTAGACTACGTTAAAACAACAACAAAACAACCCCAAAACCTAAAGTTTTTTTAAAATCACTAAAAATAGGCCAGGCGCGGTGGCTCACACCTGTAATCCTAGCACTTTGGGAGGCAAAGGCGGGTGGATCATGAGGTCAGGAGTTCGAGACCAGCCTGGCCAATATGGTGAAACCTCGTCTCTACTAAAAACAAAAAGTAGCCAGGCATGGTGGCATGCGCCTCTAGTCCCAGCTACTTGGGAGGCTGAGACGGGAGAATCGCTTGAACCCAGAAGGCAGAGGTTGCAATGAGCCAAGATCACGCCACTGCACTCCAGCCTGGGTGACAGAAGGAGACTCTGTCTCAAAAAATAATAATAAGCGGAACCTGGTGTGATGATTGCTCTGTCACAGCCAGCTTGCTTCAGCTGGCCTCCCCTGGGATGCCTCCTCAGCTCTCCCATTAGGCTCTTTGGGGATCAGGCAGCAAAGACAGAGGCAACCTTTTCATTCTCCCACCATGACCCTCTTCCTCCTTTTCCCACTTTAGCAAAGGAAATAAAAGCTCTCTTCTGTCAAAGCGGACCCCAGTAGGAGGAAAGAAGGCTCTGTGGGAAGTAGATCAGTCTCTTTAACTTCTCTTCCTTCTGTCTTTCACATACAGGCCTCCTCTCTTCAAACTATGACAAATACTTTTGATTCCATGGCTCAGATAAGATAATCCCTCACAGATTTAAGAAAAGCTATCCTGGGTCCTGCAAAACAGAGTTACATACAACATTCTCTCTATCTACACCTTCTCCAGGAATTTCCTCCTATTTGAGACTTCCTACATCCTGCCCTTCCTCCTCCCAACTATGAGCCTATGTGAACTATATAAAGTTTGTGACTGAAATATACATATATACAACAAATGAATATATAAATACAATCAAAAACAATCTAAATTAGAAACTTCAGACCAGCAGAGCTGTATACTGCTTCAGAAAAAGCTTGCGTTATGTAACCAGAAGGAAGAACATTATTATTGGCAAAATTTTATCACCCAGAAGAAGTTTTTCCATTATAGTTTATTGATGATTAAATTACAATAACATTTGCACTAAAAACTAAGAGATTTTAGTGCAAATCTAAAATCTAGTGGAAGGATTTGAAATTAAGAGTTAGGAGACTTAGGCTTTCAAGTGTGACCCTAAACAAATCATCTAGTCTCTTTAGGCCTCAGTTAACTCAGGTCAGAATCTCCACTCTACCTATCTCATACAAACATTGTAGTAAACAAGTGAAAATAAGACTGTGAGGGCCTTAGAAATCGATACATAAAATGTACTTAAGAATAATACAAATAGTAATGATAAGTATTTATAACTTCTATTTCAGACCATTTAAGGTTTATCTGACTTTCTGAGTTGTTTATGGCCTAATGGAATTCACCAACTCCATTCTCATAGCGCATATTAACAGTAATAGCTGACTTATATTGAGCAATAGGTGCCAGATATTGTATTAAGTGCTTTATATATATACACACACATTAGCTCCTCTGCAACTCACAACAGCCCTGTGGGGTAGGTAAACTGAGTATGAGAAATGTTAACTGTCTAAGGTCATACAATTAGGAATTGCTATAGTCTGATTTTTGTCCCCCCTTCCTGCCCTCATTCTTATGTTGAAATCCTAAGTCCCAAGCTGATGGCATTAGGAGGTAGAAAATTTGGGAGGTGATTATTTCATGAGGGCTCTGCCCTCACGGAATGGAATTAGCACCCTTATAAAAGAGGCCTTAGAGAGGTTGCTTGCCCCTTCTGCCATACCAGGACCAGGAAGTGGGCCCTCACCAGAAACCCAATATTCTGGCACCCTGATTTTAGACTTCCCAGCCTCCAGAACCATGAGAAATAAATTTCTGTTGTTTATAAGCCACCCAATCTATGGTACTTTGTCCTAGCAGCTCAATGGACTAAAACAGAGGTGCAGAGGTTAGCACTTAAATTTAGGCAGTCTGACTTCACTGCTGCCCCACACTGACACAAGGATTAGATTAAACAGTTAAAGATAAATGAATTTGAAGAAACACTAAAAGACAGTTAATCAAAAACATGATCCAATGTGTTGGTCCTGCAGTTGTCTTGCTTCAGAACAATTTAACATTTTACATATGAGTATCTGAAAGTGGCATATTTAATAAGAATGTAGAATAATTGTTTCACTGTTCCTAATGAACAGTTCTGATTGAGGAATAAGCTGAAATCAATGGCAAACTGAGGTTCTTTCTGTTTTTTTTTCCCCCAGAGATGATAGAGCACAATAGAGCAGCCAGGGTAGACTATATATTCTATGAGGACAGGATCATGCTTTTGTCACAGAATGCAAAAATTCAGTGAATACAAAACCTCAATTTTGTCTAAGGCACTTGCATCTCCTGCTCAGCACTCAGCACAAGCCTTGCAATAGAGCAGATGCTCAGGGAATGTTTGTTGAATAGATTTGATTTCAAAAAGGAGCATGCTAATGTTCATGAGCAAGTTCAAATGTATATAAGGGGGAAGTTGAAATGGGAGGATAGTTACTTGTACTGAAATGTGTTAGGACTGTTATATCAAAGTCTCTGGTTCTCACAAGGTATTTCATGGCTTGGAGAGTTCTACTTTTTTTCCCTTCTTTTTTAAAATTAATAGAGATAGGGGTCTTGCTGTGTTGGCCAGACTGGTCTCAAACTTCTGGCATCAAGTAATCCTCCCATCTCAGTCTCCCAAACAGCTGGGATTACAGACATGAGCCATCATGCCTGGCCAAGAGTTCTAACTTATTAGAAAGTTCACTCAAGAACTCATGTTAGGAATTTATTAAAGCATGATATTGCACCAAAGAAAGTATAGATAAGAGTTCTAACATGTTACAATGTTTATGAACTGTTAAGGTATTTTAAAGGCAGAACATTTCAAATGCCTAGTGAGCTAAGGTACAGCATGGTGACTATAGTTAATGATATTGCATTGTATACATGAAATCTGCTAAGAGGGTAGATCTTAAATGTTCTCACTACACACAAAAAAAGAAAATACGGTAACTGTAAGGTGATAGATATGTTAATTATCTTGATTGTGGGAATCATTTCACTATATATATATATATATATATATATATATATATCAGAACATCATACTGTATACCATGATATAGACAATATTTTATTTCTGAAGTATACCTCAATAAAGCTGGGGGAAAAAATCCCACATCCAGCTGATGCCCATCTTCTCTCATGACCATTCCTCCTCCAGCTTTCCAGGCCCTTTTCAGGAACTTGCAAATTCTGGGCCTCTGGCTATAACACTGATTTCTGGCAGAAAAGGCCACCAGGGTGAAAAGACTTCAGAATTAGCTCTCAACTGAATGGAGATGAGGGTAGTTATTTTTCACTAGCTCTTTCATCAATTCTTCTCATTGGATCCCATCAGGCTACCTTCTCTCTCATAAATACTATATTGCAACAGATCCAGCCTTTCTCTCAGAATCCCGGGCTGGATCCTCCTCATCACACCTGTTCCTGCCAGGTACAGCTCCATATGAGCATTCAGGCTTGCAGCCAGGATCTCTTTGGCCAGATGCTGGACCTCAGACTGCCAAAGCAGTTTCACGCCATGTAGTAACAACTTTAATTTTAGAGCAGAAGCAGTCTGGGCCCCAAGGCAAAGAGCTAAGAAAGCACAGAATAAAAAGTCAAATCAGGGAAGAAATGCTGTTCTATACAAAAGCTGACCATCAGTTAGATGAATTCATATTTAACAAAGTGAACCTGGTAACTTTAGTGGGAGAATTCAGTAATGGAATAGCTTTCACATGGAACAGAAAAGATAGATGCTTGAAGCCTAACTCTTCTCTTTATTAGCTCTGTGACCTTAGGTATGGTACTTACTTGCTCTGTGTATCAGGTTTCTCATCTGAAAAAAGTGGTAATAACAGTATTTACTTTATAGAGTTGTCATGAATATTCAATGAGATATTCCATATAAAGTTCTTACAAACTTGCTTGACACAAGGTAAGTACTTGCTAAATGATATTATTATTATGGGAATATCAGCTTTCGATCCTGCTTAGCCGGGTACCACATCAGTTTACTAAAGGTATATCTGGTGCACTGAAAGATATTTTACTACATAATGCCTGCCCTCATGGCCTGAGGGCACTCCCAGCTTGCTTGTTCTACACCTGTGAATGGTAAGGTCCACTTCTATCACTAATTAACTGGGAACAACATCACTCCAAAATGCATAGGGAATAAAGATTCCTTTGATCATGTTTTCCAGTATGTTAAAGAAATTTTAGCTGTCAACTGCCAAACCTAGACTCAATAACAAAAATCCTCAGCAGATGCTCCTTTCCAGATGTGTTGGCTTCCATTTTGAGAATGAGATAAATCAGGACTTGAGTCTCAGAAAAAGAATTCAGAGACTATCTAACCTTCCCCTTCATGACTTTGACTATTTTTTACTTAATATATTTTTTAAATGGACTTACCTAAAAAATGATTTCTTGTGTGTGATGGGGTTTTACTATGTTGCCCAGACTAGTTTCAAACTCCTGAGCTCAAACAATCCTCCTGCCTCAGCCTCTAGAGTAGCTAGCATTACAGGCACATGCCAGCGTGCCTGGCCAAAAAAATAAATAAATAAATAAATAAATAATTTTAAGAGAAAAACATAATCTTACCACAAATAGAAAATTCCTCCCATATGTAGTATACATTCAAGGAAATCCATAACTATTCAAACTTTTTAAAATTTGACAAGAAACAAAGAGTTGTATAATTTTTTCATTTTATAGATGAGACAAACTGAAGTGTGGAGAAAAGACCACACACAATATAAGTCAGCGTAGTGAGTAAAAAGTAAAACGGAAGCCAACGCTTCTGATGCCAATTTAAGTACTCTTTATGTTACTCTTTATATTATGCTACCTTTGATCTGTATAAAATTGTAATGCTTTTTCCTACCACTCCACATATCCTTCACTTTTGCCTGAGGCAACTTGGGGAAATATGTGATTTCTAAAACAACTAACTAAAATATTTCTTAGTCCTTGATTCTGCTCTCATATCAGATAGGCAAACTAAAGAACAAGGAAGTTATTTGATTTAGCCCAGGCATTCAATATAAAAAACTATGTCTATGTCCATATGCAATATGAGGACGGTCATTCCACTTTTCACACCTCTTGGCACAGGTAGTCACACCCAATGTCTACTGTTTTGCCTGCTGGATAATAGAATTCCACAAATCAAAGTTGCAAGAGGTCATATAATTGCAAACTCTCTTTATCTGACAAATGAGAACACTGAAGTTTAGAAAGAAAAACAAGCACTTGCGCAAGATATTCCAGTAAGTTCGCAGCAGAGCGATATCTAAAACTAGAGGAGGTCCTTGGGTCCCAAGCACAGAACTGTGCAGACACTTGGCGGCCGCTAACATTGCGCCCAGGGGCAGCACGCTGGAGATGGCCTAAGATGACCGACTTCCTGGGGGGAAGGGTTGGCTGCCATCACTGGGGCTCCAGTAGGCCTTTATCCCCTGTGGGTGCCAAGGAGACTGGGCGGTTTGGATCAGTAGGAACTCCCCACAGTGTAGCACAGCAGCTGTGACCAATCATGGACAGACTGCTTCTATAGGTGGGACCCGGATCCATCCCTCCTAACCGGGCGGGGCCTCCTTGCGGGAATTTTAGCAACTCCAGCCAGGGATTTACAGACAGAACTATGATCCCCCTGGGACAGAGCCCCTGGGGGTAGGGCCAGCCGCAGTCTCCCATTCAGAGGACTTAGTCAGTCCCCCTGCTAGCTCTGAGGAATCCGGACAATCCAGAAGAGTGGGATTCCCCCCAGCACAGCTCACCTGCTTAGCCAAGGGGCCAGACTGCTTCCTTAAATAAGCCCTTGATCTCCTGCATCGTGACTGGGTGAGACCTCCCAACAGAGGTCACCAGACACCTCATACAGCTCTGGATGAAGGGGACCTGACATATATCTACAGAACACTCCACACACTCTACCCAAAAACAACAGAATATACATTCATATTAGCATTGAAGGAGTTCTCAAATTCAAAACCGATCTGTAAAGACTTGACTAGCAGTGTGTGTGCGTGTTTGTGTTGTGTGTTTTTTCATTTCTTTTTTTCTTTTTTCTCCTTTTTAATTTTTTTGTCTAGACATCACAAAAAAAAAAAAAAAAAAAAAACTATCCCTGCCAGGTCACTGTCTGACCACTGAAATAGTAAAATGGAGACTTCAGTAACAACACAAAATAATAATTCTATATTTTGCAAAAATTAGTTTGGAAAAGTCACTATACAAATGAAAGCCCACAGCTCATAACAAGCACCAACAGCAAACCTAGGGAGGGGAGAAAACTCTTATTTTCAGAGTTACCACATAACATTTAAAATGTCCAGTTTTCAACAAAAAACAAGGCATACAAAAAAAAAAACCATGAAAGTATGGCCTATTTACAGGAAAAAATAAACAAAAATTATCCACAAAGAAGTCTAGACATTCAACTTCCTAGACAAAGACTGTCTTTTTTTTTTTTTTTTCTGAGATGGAGTCTTGCTCTGTCGCCCAGGCTGGAGTGCAGTGGCATAATCTCTGCTCACTGCAACCTCTGACTCCAAGGTTCAAGCCATCCTCGAGTAGCTGGGACTACAGCCATGTACCACCATGCCCAGCTAATTTTTGTATTTTTAGTAGAGACGGGGTTTCACCATGTTGGCCAGGTTGGTCTTGAACTCCTGACCTCAAGTGATCCCCACTCCTTGGCCTCCCAAAGTGCTAGGATTACAGGCATGAGCCACCATGTCCAGCTGCATCAACTGGCTTAAACAGGCTCACAGAGGTTAAAAAGAAAACCTTAAAAAAATTAAAAGCTACAGAAAACCAGGAAAAGGATTTCTGAACATAATACCAATAAAAACACATTACAAAAAGAACTAAAATAAAAATTTTGACACTGAAAAGTATAATAGTTGAATGAAAATTTCACTAGAGGGGATACAAAGCATATTTGAACTGGCAGAAGAAAGAACTAGTGAACTTGAATATAGGACAATGTAAATTACCAAATCTGAGGAGCTAACAGAAAATAAGAATGACAAAAAATAAACAGACCTTAAGGGTTGTGTGGGACACCTTCAAGCATACCAACATGTGCATTATGGAGGTCCAAAAGGGAGAAAAGGGAGAATGGGGTGGAAAGAATATTTGAAGAAATAACAACCAAAAAATACCAATTTGTTTTCTTTTTTAAAATTTTTTTTATTATACTTTAAGTTCTGGGATACATGTGCAGAACGTGCAAGTTTGTTACATAGGTATACACATGCCATGGTGGTTTGCTGCACCCATCAACCCATCATCTACATTAGGTATCTCTCCTAATGCTATCTCCCCCAGCCCCCCACTCCATGGCAGGCCCCAGTGTGTGATGTTCACCTCCCTGTATCCATGTGTTCTCACTGTTCACCTCCAACTTATGAGTGATAACTTGCAGTGTTTGGTTTTCTGTTCTTGTGTTAGCTTGTTGAGAATGATGGCTTCCAGCTTCATCCACATCCCTGCAAAGGACATAAACTCATCCTTTTTTATGGCGGCATAGTATTCCATGGTGTATATGCACCACATTTTCTGAATCCGGTCTATCATTGATGGGCATTTGGGTTGGTTCCAAGTCTTTGCTATTGTGAACAGTGCCACAATAAACATACGTGTGCATATGTCTTTATAGTAGAATGATTTATAACCCTTTGGGTATATACCCAGTAAAGGGATTGCTGGGTCAAATTGTATTTCTGGTTCTAGATTCTTGAGGAATCGCCATACTGTCTTCCACAATAATTGAACTAATTTACACTCCCACCAACAGTGTAAAAGCATTTCTATTTCTCCACATCCTCTCCAGCATCTGTTGTTTCCTGACTTTTTAATGATCGCCATTCTAACTGGCGTGAGATGGTATCTCATTGTGGTTTTGATTTGCATTTCTCTAATGGCGAGTGATGATGAGCTTTTTTTTCATATGTTTGTTGGCTGCATAAATGTCTTCTTTTGAGAAGTGTCTGTTCATATCCTTTGCTCACTTTTTGATAGGGTTGTTTGTTTTTTTCTTGTAAATTTGTTTTATGTTCTTTGTAGATTCTGGATATTTGCCCTTTGTCAGATGGATAGATTGCAAACATTTTCTCCCATTCTGTAAGTTGCTTGTTCACTCTGATGATAGTTTATTTTGATGTGCAGAAGCTCTTTAGTTTAATTAGATCCCATTTGTCAATTTTGGCTTTTCTTGCCATTGCTTTTGGTGTTTTAGTCATGAAGTCTTTGCCCATGTGTATGTTCTGAATGGTAAAATACCAAATTTGATAGACTGTTGAATCTACACATCCAGAAGGCCAATGAACTCCAAGTAGAATAAACTCAAAGAGCTCCACAACTAGATACATTATAATCAAACTGCTGAAAGCCAAGAGAAAGAGAGAATCCTGAGAGGAGCAAGAAAGAAGTGATCTGCAATAATGCATCACACATAAATGTGATCCTCAATAATTTAAAGATATGATTTATCATCAGAAACCATAAGAGTTAGAAGGCAGTAGGCTGACTTATTCAAAATCCTGAAAGAAAAAGCTGTTAAACAAAAATTCTTTGTCTGTAAAACTATTCTTCAAGAATAAGCAGAGATTAAGACATTACCAGATAAAGAAAAGCTGAGAAAATTCATTACCAGTAGAAGGACTCTAATAAAATGGTAGAGAGAGTCCCTTGGATTGAGATAAAAGGGCATTAGACAGTAACTTGAAGCCACATGAAGAAATAAAAAAACTTCAGTAAAGGTAACTATATAAATAAATATAAAAGCAAATATTATTAATATTAGGTTAGTAATTCCTTTTTGTTTACAATAAGATTTAAAAGACAAATTAATGAAACAAAAATTATCAATACATGTTAATGTATTAGATTAATGTAAAGATATAATTTGTGACAAAAACAACATAAAGAAGTAAGCCATACAGAAACAAATTTTGGACATAATTGAAGCTACATTGGCATAAATTCAAACCAGGTTGATCTAATTTTAGGATGCCTATTGTAATGATCATCATGAACACTATAAAAAAACTAAGATATACACAGGAAACAAAATTAGAAGGGAATCAAAATAATACACTAGAAAAAATCAAACAAAAAAGTCAGTATTAGAGGAATTGAGAAACAAATAAATTATGACTTACAGAAAACAAATACAGTATAGCAGAAGTCCTTCCGATTAGTAGTCACATTACACATAAATGACTTAATCATCAGTTTAACAACAGAGTCTGGCAGAATGTACAAAATGAACGACCCAACTATATGATATTCGCAATAGACTTAGGTTAGAGACAAAAGACTTGAATAATTTGGAAGTAAAATAATGAAAAAAGCTATTCCATGCAAATAGTAACCAAAAGTGAGATGATGTAACTATATTAACATTATAAAAAAAACACTTTAAGTTAAAAGAAGTGGCACTACTCACAATAGCAAAGACATGGAATCAACCCAAATGCCCATCAATGATAGACCAGATAAAGAAAATGTGGTACATATTCACCATGGAATACTATGCAGCCATAAAAGGAAGGAGATCATGTCCTTTGCAGGGACATAGATGGAGCTGGAAGCCATTATCCTCAGCAAACTCACGCAGAAACAGAAAACCAAACACCACATGTTCTCACTTATAAGTGGGAGCTGAACAATGAGAACACATGGACACAGGGAGGGGAACAACACACAATGGAGCCTATTGGGGGTGGGCAGGGGGAGGGAAAGCATCAGGAAAAATAGCTAATGCATGCTGGGCTTAATAGGTGATGGGTTGCAGGTGCAGCAAACCACGATGGCACGTGTTTATCTATGTAACAAACCTACACATCCTGCATGTGTACCCTGGAACTTAAAATAAAAATAAAAATTAAAAGAAAATAAGAAAGGGAAAAAATAAGTTATGAGAAACAAAGAAGGTCATTTTGTATTGATAAAAGGTCAATCTAACAAGAATGTATAATAATTATAAACATGCATGCACAAAGCAACAGAATCAAAATTATATGCAAACACTGATAGGATTAAAGGGAGAAATAGACAATTTACAATAATAGTTGACTTCAATGTTCTAATTTCAATAATAATCGAACATTTAGAAAGAAGATCAACAAGAGAAGAGAGGACATGGAAAACACTATAAACTAAACCTAGTAAACATATATAGAACACTCCACCTAACAACATTAGAATACATATTTTTCTCAGATGAGCATGGAACATTCTTCAGAATAGAATCGATCTTTTTTTTTTTTTTTTGAGATAGAGTTTTGCTCTATTGCCCAGACTAGAGTGCAGTGGCATGATCACAGCTGACTGAAGCCTCAATCTCCCTAGCTCAAACCATCCTATCACCTAAGCCTCCTGAGTAGCTAGGACTACAGGTGCACACCACTATGCCTGGTGAATTGTTGATTTCTTTGTAGAGACAAGGTCTCACTATGTTGCTTAGGAAGGTCTCAAATTCCTGGGCTCATGATCCTCCCACCTTGGCCTCTCCAAGTGCTGGGATTACAAGTATGAGCCACTATGCTCAGCCTAGAACATATTTAAGGCACAAAATGAGTATCAATAAATGTAAAGAGATCAAAACCACACAAAGGATTATCTCTGGCGACAATGAAATGAACTAGAAATCAACACCAGAAGGAAAACTGAGAAATTTACAAGTATGCAGAAATTAAAGAAAACACTCTTAAACAGCCAATTGGTTTAAGAATAAAACACAAGGTAAATTAGAGAATAGCCCAAAGAAAATGAAAAGCAAAACACCACATATGAAAACTTATAAAATATGGTGAAAACAATGCTCAGTGGGAATTTTACAGCAACAAATGCATAAATTTAAAAATAAAACTTCTCAAATCAATAACACAACTTTTCACTCTTAGGAACTACAAAAGAGCAAACTAAACACAAAGCTGGCAGAAGAACAGAAAAATTAAGATCAGAACAGAGGTAAACAAAATAGGGAATAGAAAAGCAATAGGAAAAAAATTTTAAAGACCAAAATATAATTCATATAAAAGATCAACAACATTATCAAACTTTAAGCAATACATAAATAGAAAACAGATAAAGATGCAAATAACTAACATCAGAAATAAAAGTAGAGACATTACTACCAAATTTATAGAAACCAATCAATATAATATACCACATATATACACATACATATGAAAAAAGATAACATAATCTTCTCAGTTGATGCAGAAACAGCATTTGACAAAATCCAATAAACTTTCATAATAAAAGCACCCAGAAAGCAATAACTAGAAACAATAATTCCTCAGAATGATAAAAGGTATTTATGGAAAGCCCACAACTAAATTACACTTAATAGTAAAAGAATAAAACCTTTCCCCTTAAGATCAGAAATAAGAAAAGGATGTCTGCTTTCAACACTGCTATTCAACATTGCACTGGAAGTAATAGCCAGTACAATTAGGCAGATTAAAAAAAATGCATTGTCATTAGAAAGAAAGAAGTAAAACTATTTATATCTGCAGATGATATAATCCTGTATATAGAAAATCTGTCAAAATTATTTAAAAACCTATGGGAGCTAATAACAAAACTCAGCAAATTTTCATGATACAAGCCAACCAACAAAAATCGGTTGTGTTTCTACACACAAGCAATGAACAACTGAAAAGATTTTTTTAAATTCCATTTACAATAATATTCAAAAGAATACAAATAAAAATTGGGAATATATTTTACCAAGGAGGTGAAAGATTTGTCCACTAAAAACTCTCAAACATTGCTAAAAGAAATTAAAGAGGACCGGGGATCCGTTCTAAGATGGCCGAATAGGATCAGCTCGGGTCTGCAGCTCCCAGCATGATCGAGGCAGAAGATGGGTGATTTCTGCATTTCCAACTGAGGTACCTGGTTAATCTCACTGGGACTTGTTGGGACTGTGGGTGCAGCACACGGAGGGCGACCTGAAGCAGAGCAGGGCATCGACCTACCTGGGAAGCACAAGGGGTCAGGGGATTTCCCTTTCCTAGGCAAGGGACTCCGTGACAGACTTTACCTGGAAAAAATGGGAAACTCCCATCCAAATACTGTGCTTTTCCCACAGTCTCAGCAACCCGCAGATCAGGCGATTCTCTCCAGTGCCGGGCTTGGCGGGTCCCATGTCCATGGAGCCTTGATGACGGCTAGCACAGCACTCTGAGATCGACCAGCAAGGCTGCAGCCTGGCTAGGAGAGGGGAGTCCGCCATTGCTGAGGCTTGAGCAGGTAAACAAAGCATCCAGGAAGCTCGAACTGGGTGGGGCCTACTGCAGCTCAGCAAGGTCTACTGCCTCTATAGATTCCACCTCTGTGGGCAGGGCATAGCTGAACAACAGGCAGCAGAAACTTCTGCAGACTTAAATGTCCCTGTCTGACAGCTCTAAAGAGAGCAGTGGTTCTCCCAGCAAAGCGTTTGAGCTCTGACAATGGACAGACTGCCTACTCCAGTGGGTCCCCGACCCCTGTGTAGCCTAACTGGGAGACACCTCCCAGTAGGAGCCGAAAGACACCTCATAGAGGGGGGTGCCCCTCTGGGATAAAGCTTCCAGAGGAATGATCAGGCAGCAATATTTGCTGTTCTGCAGCCTCCACTGGTGATACCCAGGTGCACAGGATCTGGAGTCATCCTCCAGCAAACTCCAACAGACCTGCAGCTGAGGGACCTGACCGTTAGAAAGAAAACTAACAAACAGAAAGGAATAGCATCAACATCAATAAAAATGGTATCTACACCAAAACCCCATCTGTAGGTCACCAATATCAAAGACCAAAGGTAGATAAAACTGCAAATATGGGGAGAAACCAGAGCAGAAAAGCTGAAAATTCTAAAAATCAGAGCACCTTTTCTCCTCCAAAGGATTGCAGCTCCTTGCCAGCAATGGAACAAAGCTGGACAGAGAACGACTTTGATGAGTTGACAGAAGTAGGCTTCAGAAGGTTGGTAATAACAAACTTCTATGAGCTAAAGGAACATGTTCTAACCCATTGCAAGGAAGCTAAAAACCTTGAAATAAGGTTAGACAAACGGCTAACTAGAATAAACAGTGCAGGGAAGAACTTAAGTGACCTGATGGAGCTGAAAACCATGGCACAAGAACTTCATGATGCATGCACAAGCTTCAGTAGCTGATTCGATCAAATGGAAGAAAGGGTATCAGTGATGGAAGATCAAATTAATGAAGCCAGAAGACAAGTTTAGAGAAAAAGGGGTAAAAACAAATGAACAAAGCCTTCAAGAAATATGGGACTATGTGAAAAGACCAACTCTACGTCTGATTGGTGTACCTGAAAGTGATGGGGAGAATGGAACTAAGAGGGAAAACACTCTTCAGAATATTATCCATCAGAACTTCCCCAACCTAGCAAGGCAGGCCAATATTCAAATTCAGGAAATACATAGAATGCCACAAAGATACTCCTTGAGAAGAGGATCCCAAGACATATAATCATCAGATTTACCAACACTGAAATGGAGGAAAACATGTTAAGGGCAGCCAGACAGAAATGTCAGGTTATGCAAAAAGGGAAGCCCATCAGACTAACAGCTGTCTCTCGGTAAAAATCCTATAAGCCAGAAGAGAGTGGGGGCCAATATTCAACATTCTTAAAGAAAAGAATTTTCAACCCAGAATTTCACATCCAACCAAATTCAGCTTCATAAGTGAATGATAAATAAAATCCTTTACAGACAAGCAAATGCTGAGAGATTTTGTCACCACCAGGCCTGCCTTACAAGAGCTCCCCAAAGAAGCACTAAACATGGAAAGGAACAACAGATACCAGCCACTGCAAAAGCATGCCAAATTGTAAAGACCATTGATGCTATGAAGAAATGGCATAAATTAATGGGCAAAATAACTACCTAACATCATAATGACATAATGACAGGATAAAATTCACACATAACAATATTAACCTTAAATGCAAATGTGCTAAATGCCCCAATTAAAAGACACAGACTGGCAAATTGGATAAAGAGTCAAGAACCATCAGTGTGCTGTATTCAGGAGACCCATCTCGCATGCAGAGACACACATAGGCTCAAAATAAAGGGATGGAGGAAGATCTACCAAGCAAATGGAAAGAAAAAAAAAAAAGCAGGGGTTGCAGTTCTAGTCTTTGATAAACCACAGTTTCATCCAACAAAGAATGAAAGAAGGCCATTACATAATGGTAAAGGGATCAGTTCAACAAGAAGAGCTAACTATCCTAAATATATTTGTACCCAATACAGCACTACCCAGACTCATAAAGCAAGTCCTTAGAGACCTACAAAGAGACTTAGACTTCCACACAATAATAATGTGAGACTTTAACACCCCACTGACAATATTAGACAGATCAATGAGACAGAAGGTTAACAAGGATATCCAGGACTTGAACTCAGCTCTGCACCAAGTGGACCTAATAGACATCTATAGAACTCTCCACCCCAAATCAACAGAATATACATTCTTCTCAGCACCACATCACATTATTCCAAAATTGACCACATAATTGGAAGTAAAGCACTCCTCAGCAAACGTAAAAGAACACAAATCACAACAAACTGTCTCTCAGACCACAGTGCAATCAAATTAGAACTCAGGATTAAGAAACTCACTCAAAACCACACAACTACATGGAAACTGAACAACCTGCACCTGAGTGACTACTGGGTACATAATGAAATGAATGCAGACATAAAGATGTTATTTGATATCAATCAGAACAAAGCCACAACGTACCAGAATCTCTGGGACACATTTAAAGCAGTGTGTAGAGGGAAATTTATAGCACTAAATGCCCACAAGGGAAAGCAGGAAAGATCTAAAATTGGCACCCTAACATCACAATTAAAAGAACTAGAGAAGCAAGAGTAAACACATTCAAAAGCTAGCAGAAGGCAAGAAATAACTAAGATCAGAGCAGAACTGAAGGAGATAGAGACACAAAAAACCCTTCAAAAAATCAATGAATCCAGGAGCTGGTTTTTTGAAAAGATCAACAAAATCGATAGTCCTCTAGCAAGACTAAAAAAGAATAAAAGAGAGAAGAATCAAATAGATGCAATCAAAATGATAAAGGGAATATCACCACCGATCCCACAGAAATACAAAGTACCATCAGAGAATACTATAAACACCTCTATGCAAATAAACTAGAAAATCTAGTAGAAATGGATTAATTCCTGGGCACATACACCCTCCCAAGACTAAACCAGGAAGAAGCTGAATCTCTGAATAGACCAATAACAGGCTCTGAAGTTATATGGCAATAATCAATAGCTTACCAACCAAAAAAAGTCCAGGACCAGATGGATTCACAACCGAATTCTACCAGAGGTACAAGGAGGAGCTGGCACCATTCCTTCTGAAACTATTCCAATCAATAGAAAAAGAGGGAATCCTCCCTAACTCATTTTATGAGGCCAGCATCATCCTGATACCAAAGCCTGGCAGAAACACAACAAAAAAAAGAGAATTTCAGACCAATATCCCTGACGAACCTTGATGCAAAACTCCTAACTAAAATACTGGCAAACTGAATCCAGCAGCACATCAAAAAGCTTATCCACTATGATCAAGTGGGCTTCATCCCTGGGATGCAAGGTTGGTTCAACATATGCAAATTAATAAACATAATCCAGCATATAAACAGAACCAAAGACAAAAACCACATGGTTATCTCAATAGATGCAGAAAAGGCCTTTGACAAAATTCAACAGCCCTTCATGCTAAAAACTCTCAATAAATTAGGTATTGATGGGACGTATCTCAAAATAATAAGAGCTATCTATGACAAACCCACAGCCAATATCATACTGAATGGGCAAAAACTGGAAGCATTCCCTTTGAAAACTGGCACAAGAAAGGCATGCCCACTCTCATCACTCCTATTCAACATAATGTTGGAAGTTCTGGCCAGGGCAATCAGGCAGGAGAAAGAAATAAAGTGTATTCAATTAGGGAAAGAGGAAGTCAAATTGTCCCTGTTTGCAGATGACATGATTGTATATTTAGAAAACCCCATTGTCTCAGCCCAAAATCTCCTTAAGCTGATAAGCAACTTCAGCAAAGTCTCAGGATACAAAATCAATGTGCAAAAATCACAAGCATTCCTATACACCAATAATAGACAAATAGAGAGCCAAATCATGAGTGAACTCCCATTCACAATTGCTTCAAAGAGAATAAAATACCTAGGAATCCAACTAACAAGGGATGTGAAGGATCTCTTCAAGGAGAACTACAAACCACTGCTCAATGAAATAAAAGAGGATACAAACAAATGGAAGAACATTCCATGCTAATTGATAGGCAGAATCAGTATCGTGAAAATGGCCATACTGCCCAAGGTAATTTATAGATTCAATGCTATCCCCATCAAGCTACCAATGACTTTCTTCACAGAATTGGAAAAAACTACTTTAAAGTTCATATGGAACCAAAAAAGAGCCCACATTGCCAAGTCAATCCTAAGCCAAAAGAACAAAGCTGGAGGCATCATGCTACCTGACTTCAAACTATACTACAAGGCTACAGTAACCAAAACAGCATGGTACTGGTACCAAAATGGAGATATAGACCAATGGAACAGAACAGAGCCCTCAGAAATAATGCAACCTCTGAGGAGGAGAGAGGGGCTAGAGATTGAGTTGATCACCAATGGTCAACGGTTTAATCATAATGAAACCTCCATAAGAACTCATAAAGCATCACACCCCGGGGACTGTTGTGGGGTGGGGGGAGGGGGGAGGGATAGCATTAGGAGATATACCTAATGCAAATGACGAGTTAATGGGTGTAGCACACCAACATGTCACATGTATACATATGCAACAAGCCTGCAAGTTTTGCACATGTACCTTAGAACTTAAAGTATAATAAAAAAATAAAAATAAGAAATAAAAAAGAATACAATCCCATTTACAATAGCCAAAATAAATGAAATATCGAGAAATACAGGTAACCAAGAGGTGAAACATTTCTACAAGAAGAATTTTAAAATCCTGCTGAACGAAATCAGAGATGACACAACTAAATAGAAAAACACCCCATGTTCATGAAATGGAAGAACCAATATTGTTAAAATGGCCATACTGCCCAAAGAAATTTATAGATTCATACCTATTCCTATCAAACTAACAACATCATTTTTTTCACAGAATTAGAGGGAAAAAAACTATTCTAAAATACATGCGGAACCAAAATAGAGCCTCAATAGCCAAAGCAATCCTAAGGAAAAAGAACAGAACTGGAGTTTTCAAACTACCTGACTTTAAGCTGTATTACAAGGCTAGAGTAACCAAAATAGCATGGTACTGCTACAAAAGCAATACATAAACCGATGGAATAGAATAGAGATCCTATAGAAATAAAGCCACATGCCTACAACCATCTATCTTCAAGAAAGCTGACAAAAACGAGCAATAAGGAAAGGACTCCTTATTTAATAAATGGTGCTGGGATAACTGGCCAGCCATATGCAGAAGATTAAAAATAAACACATAGCTTTCACCATAAACAAAAATTAAATCAAGATGGATTAAAGATTTAAATATAAGACTTCAAACTATAAAAATACTAGAGAAAAACCTAGGAAATTCCCTTCTTTATACCAGTCTCAGGAAATAATTTTTGGCTGAATTCCTAAAAAACAATAGCAACAAAAACAAAAATTGAGAAGTGGGACCTAACTAAACTAGAGGGGTTCTGCACAGCAAAAGAAGCTATCAACAGAGTAAGCAGACAACCTACAGAATGGGAGAAAACATTTGCAAACTATGCATCTGACAAAGGTCCAATATCCAAATGCATAAGGAACCTAAGCAAATCAAGAAGTAAATATCAAATGAACTTATTAAAAAACAGGCAAAGGACATGGACAGGCACTTCTCAAAAGAAGACATACAATCAGCCAAGAAGCATAAGAAAAAATGTTCTCCATCACTAGTCTTCAGAGAAATGCAAATCAAAACAGCAAGATACCAGAGTGGCTGTTATTTAAATGTCATAAATTAACAGATGCTGGTGAGGCTGAGGAGAAAATGGAATGCTTATACACTGTTGGTGGGAATGTAAATTAGTTTAGCCACTGTGGAAAGCAGT
Source organism: Homo sapiens (assembly GCF_000001405.40). Taxonomy (NCBI): domain Eukaryota; kingdom Metazoa; phylum Chordata; class Mammalia; order Primates; family Hominidae; genus Homo; species Homo sapiens. Next base: position 56,101,541 of record NC_000023.11, on the reverse strand, counting down.
TTGGAGATTTCTTAATGAAATTAAAATGGAGCTACCATTTGACGAAGGAATCCCATTACTGGTTGTATATCCAAAGGAAAATACCTCTGTCAAAAGGTCACATGCACTACTACATTCTTCACAGTGCTATTCACAATAACATAGACATGGAGTCAATCTAGATGTCTGTCAGTGGTAGATTGGATCAAGAAAATATGGTACATATAGACCGTGTAATTATATGCAGCCATAAAAAAGAATAAAATCATGTCCTTTACAGCAACCGGATGCAGCTGAAAGCTATCATCCTAGAAGATTTAACACAAGAACAGAAAGCAAAATGCCACATGTTCTCATTTATAAGTGGAAGCTAAACTTTGAGTACACATGCACATAAAGATGGGAACAACAGACACTGGAGACTACTAGAGGAAAAAGTATGGGAGAGGTGCACTATCTGAAAAACTACCTATTGGTTACTATGCTCGCTACATGGGTGACAGAATCATCCATATCCCAAACCTCAGCATCATGCAATATACCCATGTAACAAACCTGCACAAGTACCCCCTGAATGTAAAATAACACTTGAAAAAATGTTCTAATAATAGATTGTAATGATAGTTGCAAAATTGTGAATATACTAAAAATCATTGCACCGCACACTTTAAATGTATGATGTTTATGATATGTGACTTATATCTAAATAAAGATGCTTAAAAAATGAAAGTACTTTATTTGCTCATCCATAAGAAACAATTCCTCATCCATTCAAGTTTTATCGCAAGACTGCAGCAATTTAGTAATAGCTTCAGGCTCTACTTCTAATTCTAGTTCTCTTGTGATTTCCACCACATCTTGCAGGTGTTTCTTTGGCTGAATTCTTGAACCTCTCAAAGTCACCCATGAGGGTTGGAACCAACTTCTTCCAAACTCCTGTTAATGTTGATATTTTGCCCTTCTCACATAAATCACAAATGTTCTTAATAACACCTAGAATGACAAACCCTTCAAATCCTTTCCAGAAGGTTTTCCATTTACTTTGCTAAGATCCATCAGAGAAATTAGTATCTATGGCAACTGCTGTCTTACAAAATGTATTTCTTAATAATGTTTGAAAGTCAAAATTACTTTTTGATCCACGGGCTACAGAATGGATGTTGTCTTAGCCATACAAACAACATTAATCTCCTGTACATTTTCATCAGAGCTTGGGTGACCAGGTGCACAGTCAATGATCAGTACTATTTTGAAAAGAATATTTTTTATTCTAAGCAGTGTCTCAATTGTGGGCTTAAAATATTCATTAAACTATGCTGTAAACAGATATGTTGTCATCCAGGCTTTGTTCTTCCTTTTATAGGGCACAAGCAGAGTAGATTTAGAATGATTCTTAAGAGCCCTTGGGTTCTCGGAATGGTGAATGAGCACTGACTTCAACTTCAAGTCCCCAGCTGGAGTAGCCCCTAAGAAGACATTCAGCCTGTCTTTCGAAGCTTTGAAGCCAGGCATTGACTTCTCTTCTCTAGGTATGAGAGTCCCAGATGGCATCTTAGTAAAATATAAGGCTCCTTTTGTCTACATTGACAATCTGCTGTTTAATGTAGCCACTTTTATCAATTATCTTAGCCAGATCTTCTGGATAATTTCCTGCAGTTTCTACATCAGCACTTGCTGCTTCACCTTGCACTTTTATGTTATGGAAATGGCTTCTTTTCTTAAACCTCAAGAACCATCATTCTGGTTTCCAACTTTTCTTCTGCAGCCTCTTCAACACTCTCAGTCTTCATGAAATTTAATAGTTAAGGACTTTCTCTGGATTAGACCTTGGCATAAAGGAATGTTGTGGCTGGTTTGATCTTCCGTGCAGACAATAAAACTCCATATCATCAACAAGGCTGTTTTGCATTCGTGTTGGTGTGTTTACCAGAGTCATCCTTTTAGTTTGTCTTAAGCGCTTTTCATTCGCATTCATAACTTGGCTAATTGTTGAATGCAAGAGGCCTAGCTTTCAGTCTATCTTCCCTTTTGGCAAGACTTTCTCACTAAGCTTAATCATTTCTAGCTATTAATTTTAACTGGGAGATATTTGACTCTTCCTTTCACTTGAACACTTAGAGGGCATTGCAGGGTTACTAATTTACCTAAGTTAATATTGTTGTGTCATAGGGAATAGAGAGGTCTGAGGAGAGAAACAGAAGTGAAGGAATGGCTAGTGAGAAAAACAACACACATAACATTTCTCAATTAAGTTTACCATCTTATATGGGTGCAGTTCTTGGTGCCCCAAACAAATTAAAATAATAATATCAAAGATTACCACAGATCACCGTAACAGATATAATAATAATTTTAAAGTTAAAAATCTTGTAAGAATTAGCAAAATGTAAGACAGAGACACAAAATGAGCACATGATGTTGAAAAATGGCACTAATAAACTTGCTCAACATAGGATTGATACCTGTTAGCATGTGGTGTTTCTGTGAAAACACATCTGCAAAGTGCAGTAAAGAGTGAAGCACAATAAAGTGACATATGTCTTGTTACTCAGAAATAAGACTGCTGGATCATATGGTAGTTTAAAATGGGATTGTTTTTATTAATTTCCTTTTTAGATAGTTCATCCTTTTTGTAAAGAAATGCAACGGATTTTTGTATGTTGATTTTGTATCCTGCAAAATTACTTAATTTCTTTATCAACTTTAAGAGTTTTTTGGTGGAGTCTTGGTAATCTTAAATATAAAATCATGTCATCTGCAAGAGAGACAATTTTAATGCTTCTCTTCCAATTTGGGTGTTTTTTATTTCTTTCTCTTGCCTGATTCCTCTGGCTACGACTTCCAATGCTATGTTGATTCAGGTGGTGAGAGCGGGCATTCTTGCCTTGTTTCTGATCTTAGATGAAAAGCTTTCAGTTTTTCACCAATGAGTATAATGTTACCTGGAAGCTTTTCATATACAGCCTTTATTGAGTTGAGGTACTTTTTTTCTCTTCCTGGTTGAGAGTTATTTTTTTTAATCATAAAAGGATACTTAATTTTGCCAAATGTCATTTCTGCATCCATTGAGATAATCATGTGGTCTTTGTTCTTTAATTTGTAAACATGGTGTATCACATTAATTGATTTTCATAAGTTGAAACATCCTTGATTCCCAGAGATAAACCTCACTTTTTATATACCTTTTGTTTCCTTTTCTTTGTTTATCACATTGGCTAGGTGTCTAAGTTGGTTTGTGTTGCTATAAATGAATACTTGAGGCTGGGTAATTTATTTTTTAAAAGTTTATTTGGCTTATAGTTCTGATGTCTGGAAAAGTTCAAGATTAGGGATATGCATCTGGCAATGGCCACAGGTTACTTCCATTCATAGCAGAAGGTGAAAGGGAGCCAGCATGTGCAGAGACCACATGGAAAGGGAGGAAGCAAGAGAGAGATGGGAAGTGCCAGGCTCTTTTTAACAACCAGTTCTTGTGGTAACTAATATAGAAAGAAATCACTCAGCCCCTACCTCCTAGGGAGAGCATTAATCTATGTAGTTATATGCCTCCATGATACAAACACCTCCTATTAAGCCCTATCTCTAATATTGGGGATCAAATCTCAATATGAAATTTGGAGGAGTCAAGAACTAGGACTTCCAATATGATGCTGAATAGGAGTGGTAAGAGCAAATATCCTTGCTTTGTTACTGATCTAGTTTGTCACCACTATGTATGATGTTAACTGTAGGGTTTTTTTAGATCCACTTTTATCAATTTAACAAAATTCTCCTCTATTTTCTAGTTTGCTGACAGCTTTTATTAAGAGTGATTGAGATGGGAATTGAACAATTAGAACACATGGACACAGGAAGGGGAACATCACACTCTGGGGACTGTTGTGGGGTGGGGGGAGGGGGAGGGATAGCATTAGGAGATATACCTAATGCTAAATGATGAGTTAATGGGTGCAGCACACCAGCATGGCACATGTATACATATGTAACTAACCTGCACATTGCGCACATGTACCCTAAAACTTAAAGTATAATAATAATAATAATAATAAAAGAGTGATTGTTGAAAATTAGCTGGGTGTGGTGCACACACATGTAATCCCAGCTACCTGAGACCCTGAGGTGGGTGGATAGCTTGAGCCCCAGAAGTAAAGGCTGCAGTGAGCTATAGTCATGCCACTGCACTTCAGCCTGTACCCTGCCTCAGAAAAAAAAAAAAAAAAAGAAAGAAAGGGTGTAGAAATTTTCTCACATACTTCCAGGATCAACTGATCCTCCAGCCTCAATCTCCCAAAAAGCTGGGACTTCTCCACACGCAGCTTTGTCAAATACTTTTTCAGCATCTGTTGATATGATCATATAATTTTTCTTCTTTAGCTTGCAGATGTGATGAATTACATTTATTGATTTTTGAATACTAAATCAGCATTAGACACACCTGAACTTAATCACAGTTGTTTGTGTAGTATAATTACTTTTGTACATGGTTGAACCTGATTTGCTAATATTTTGGGGAAATTTTTGCATCTATGTTCACAAAAGATATTTATTTGTATCTTTTTTTTGTGCTTTGACATTGTGTCTTTCAAGGTTGGTTAATTTTATCTAGTTTACAAAATTTATAGGCATAGAGTTGTTCACAATGTTCTTTTAGTGTCATTTTAATGCCCTCGAATTCAGTAAATGTTTAGTATCATCTTAATGCCCTCAAATTCAGTAAATTACTGAATTTAAAATTTAAATTACTAAAATTATCTTATTTCTCATATTAGTAATTTACATAATCTCCATTTTTAGATTAGCCTGTCTAGAGTTCATCAATTTTGTTGATGTTTTCAAATAATCAGCTTTTGATTTTGTTGATATTCCCTATTGTTTTCCTGTTTACAATTGCATTAATTTCTGCTCTAACATTTGTTCTGCTTCTTTGAATGTAATTTGTTCTATTTTCCTCAGATAAAAGACACTATTGATTTTTAGATCTTTAATATATACATTCATATTATAACTTTCCCACTAATCCCTGCTTTTGTTGCATCCCACAAATTTTGATAATTTGTATTTTCATTTTCATTTTATTTTAAACATGTAGAAATTTCTCTTGAGATACCATTTTTAAAATTTTCATGGATTTAAGGGGTACAAATGCAGATTTCTTACATGCATATATTGCATAGTGGTGAGGTCTGGGCTTTTAGTGTACCTATCACCCACAGTGTACATATTACCCAATAGGTAATTTTTCAACCCTCATGCCTCCTACCCTCGCATATTTTGTAGTTTCCAATGTCTGTTATTCCACTCTTTATGCTAGATGCACCCATTCTTCAGCTCCCACTTATAAGTGAGAATACGTAGTATTTGGCGCTCTGTTTCTGAGTAATTTCATCTAGGATAATGGCCTCCAGTTCCATCCATGTTGCTGCAAAAGACATGATTTCATTCTGTTTTATGTCTGTGTAGTATTCCGTGATATATACCATATTTTCTTTATTCAATCATCCATTGATGAACACTTATGTTGATTCCATGACTTTGCTATTGTAAATAGTGCTATGATAAATACATGAGTGTGGGTATATTTTTGATATAATGATTTATTTTCCTTTGGATGATATCCAGTAATGTGATTGCTGAATAGAATAATAATTCTATTTTTAGTTACTTGAGAAGTCTCCATAGTGTTTTCCATAGAGGTTGTACTAATTTACATTCCCACCAACAGAGTATAAGTATTCCTTTTTCTCTGCATCCCCACCATTTGCTGATTTTTTACTTTTTAATGATAGCCATCCTGATTGGTGTGAGATGGTATCTAATTGCGGTTTTAACTTTCATTTCTCTGATGATTAGTGATGTTGAGGATTTTTTATGTTTCTTAGTCACTCGTATGTCTTTTTTTTAAAGAATGGTTGTTCATATCCCTTCCCATTTTTAAATAATATTATTTGTTTTTTTCCTGTTGTCTTGTTTGAGTTCCTTGTAGATTCTAGATATTAGCCCTTTGCTGAATGCTTAGTTTGCAAATATATTTTCCATTCTGTAGGTTGTCTGTTTACTCTAGCTTTTTTTTTGCTGTGCAGAAGCTCTTTAAGTCCCATTTGTCTACTTTTCTATTGTATTTGCTTTTGAGGACTTGGTCATAAATTCTTGGCATAGGCCAATGTCCAAAAGAGTTTTTCCTGAGTTTTCTTCTAGTGTTCTTATAGTTTTGAGTCTTACATTTAAGTATTAAACCATCTTGAGTTAGTTTTTGTATATGGTGAGAAATAGGGTTCCAGTTTCATTCTTCTGCATGTAGCCATTTAATTTTCCCAGTACCATTTATTGAATAGGGTGTACATTCCCCAGTATATATTTTTGTTGGCTTTGTGAAAGAACAGCTAGTTGTAGGTATGGTGTTTTATTTCTAGGTTCTCTATTCTGTTCCATGGATTTACATGTCTATTTTTATACCAGTGCCATGCTGTTTTCAGGTAATATAATACCTCCAGCTTTGTCCATTTTTTTCTCAAGATTGCTTTGGCTATTCAGGTTCTTTTTTGTTCTGTTGGAACTTTTCAATTGTTTTTCCTAATTTCGTGAAGGGCATTGATAGTTTCATGGAGACTATGTGAAATCTGTAGATTTCTTTGGGCAGCATGATCATTTTAATGACATTGGTTCATCCAATGCAAGAGCATGGTATGTTCTTTCATACCAATTTTGACCTATATGTTACTTAAAAGAGTGGATTTTACCTCTACGTGTTTTGGGCTTTCTAGCTATCATTCTGTTATTGATTTCTAGTTTAATTCCATTGTTGTTTGGGAGCACATTTTGTATAATTTTACTGTTTTAAATTTGTTAAATTGTACTTTATGGCCCAGATTGTGGTCTCTCTTGGCATGTGCATTTTAGCAGAATATGTAGTGCTCTGGTCTTGGAAAAAGTATTTTATAGATATCAATTAGATACGTTTTTTTGATGGCGTCTTTTAGTTTAACAATATCCTGTTTGATTGTCTACCTGCTGGATCTGATAATTACTGAGAGAGGGATATTAATATCTTTAACTATAATGGTTACTTTATTTATTTTTCTTGCAGTTTTGCCAGTTTTGGCCTCCTATATTTTGGCACTGTGTTGTTAAGTACATACACGTTAATATATTTATGTTTAATTGGATAATTTGTACTTAGTCATTATATAATGCATGTCTTGATAACTGGCAATTTTTCTTTCTCTGAAATTTGCTTTGGCTAAAATTAATATCCTTACCAAAACTTTCTTTGGTTGGAGTTAACATGAAATATCTTTTCCCACCCCTTTACTTATAACCTATCTAGGTCTTTATATTTAAAGTCTGTTTTTCGTAAATAGCATAGTTGGATCTAGTTTTTTAAATTTACCCTGAGACTCTATGTCTTTTAATTGGTGTATTTGGACTCCTGATGTATAAAATGATTATTAATGTAGTTGGACCAATATTTACCATATTTGGTACACTTTTCTACTCATTGTCCTTGTTCTTCCTGCCCTATTTTGTCTATCACTCATTTTCTACCTTCTTGTTTCAATTAAACACTTTATATAATTCCATTTATCTCCTCTCTTAGCATTCGGTTCTCTCTCATACACACACACACACACACACACACACACACACACACACACACACATATAATATATACGTTGTTGCCATTTACAATTAATCCATGTAGTCTTTCAAATTACATTATATCACTTCATAGTAGTGCAAGCAAGTTATAAAAGAGTATTCCCAACTCTTCCCCTCATCCTTTATAACATTATTGTACTGCATTTGACTTATGCAAAATGTGTAATTATTAAATATTTTGTTGCTGTTATTTTGAGCAGACTATTATTAATATTTTGAGCAAACTGTTATGTTACATAAACTAAAAATAAAAATATATAAGTATTTTATTTATTTTTCCTCTAATACTCCTTTTTTTTAATTTTGGTCCAAGCTTCTGACCTATATCATTTTCCTTTCTTATAAAGGATTTATTTTTACATTTGTTGTAAGGCAGGTCTATTGGCATCAAATTTCCTCAGTCTTTGCCTGTGAATGTCTTTGTTGCTCCTTCATTTTAAAAGCCAATTTTGTTACATACATAATTCTAGGTTATTTTAACTTCCTTCAACACTTTATAAATACCTTACTCCACTCTCTTGTTGTTTGCATGACTTATGAAGAGAAATCTGATCAAATTTATATTTTTGCTTCTCTATAGGTAAGTAGGTAAGGTGTTTCTCTTCATTGGTTTCTTTCAAATTTTTCTATTTGTCTTTGATTTCTGTAATTTGAATACAATATGCCTAGGTATAGATTTTTTGATATTTATCCTGCTGGGTGTTCTAAGAGCTACCTGGATTTCTGGTTTGTTGTTTATTATTACTTTTGGAAAATTTTCAGGCATCACTGTTTCAAACATTTCTTCTGTTTCTTCTCTTTTTTCTGCTTCGGATATTTTTATTACATGCGTGTCACACTTTTTGTAGTTGTCCCACAGTTCTTGGGTATTCTGTTCTGTTTTTTTTTTTTCATTCATTTTCTTCTTTGCATTTAAGTTTTGGTAATTTCTTTTGACATTTATTTAAGCTCACTGATTTTTTTTCTCAGCTGTTTCCAGTCCATCGATGAGCTCATCTAAGGCATATGTCATTTCTGCTGGAGAGGTTTTAATTTATAGCATTTCCTTTTGATTCTGTGACAGAGTTTTCATCTCTCTACTTACATTACTCAGACAGTCTTGCATATTTTCTTCTTTTTCCATTAGAGCCCTTTGAATATTAATTATGGCTATCTTAAACCAAAGCAATTCTAAGAAAAAAAAAAAGCTGGAGGCATCACATTGTCTGACTTCAAAATACATTTCCAGGCTACATTATTCAAAACAGAATAGTATTAGTATAAAACAGACACACAGACAAATGGAACAGAATAGAGAACCAACAAATAAAGCTAAAATGATCTCCAGCAAGGATAATAAGAATTTACACTGGGGAAAGGACACCCTCTTAAATAAGTGGTGCTGGGAAAGTTGGATAGTCACATGCATAACAATGAAACTAGACTCTTATCTCTCACCATACACAAAAATCAACCCAAAGTGGATTAAAGACCCAAAACTATAAAAATATTAGGAGAAAACATAAAGAAAACTGTCCTGGACATTGGTCTACACAAAAAACATGAGTAAGACCTCAAAAGCAATGACAAAAATATTGGACTTAATTAAATTAAAAAGTTTCTGCACTGCAAAAGAAATAATCAGCAGAGTGAACAGAAAATCTACAGAATGGAAGAAAGTATTTGCAAGTTATTTATCTAACAGGGGACTAATATCTGGAATCTACAAGAAACTCAATTCAACAGGAATAAAACAAATAACCCTATTTAAAAATGGGCAAAGGACAAGAAAAGACATTTTTCAAGTGAGGACACACAAGCAACCAAGAAACAAAAAAAACTCAACATCAGCAATCATCAGAGAAATGCAAGTTAAAACCATGCAATCAGATACCATCTTACACCAGTGAGATGTCTATCATTAAAAAGTCAAAAAAAAAAAAAAAAACAATAGATGTTGGTGAGGACGTGGAGAAAAGGAAATACTTATACACTGTTGGTGGGAGTGTAAATTAGTAAAACCTCTGTGGAAAATACCATGGAGATTTCTCAAGAAACTAAAAATGGAACTAGCATTCAATCTAGCAATTGCAATACTGGATATTTACCCCAGGGAAAATAAATCATTATATCAGCTAGGCACGATGGCTCATGCCTGTAATTCCAGCACTTTGGGAGGCCAAACTGGGTGGATCATCTGAGGTCAGGAGGTCAAGACTATTCTGGCTAACATGGTGAAACCCTTTCTCTACTAAAAATACAAAAATTAGCCAGGCATGGTGGCACACCTGTAATCCAAGCTACTCAGGAGGCTGAGGCAGGAGATTTGCTTGAACCTGAGAGGCGGAGGTTGCAGTGAGCCGAGATCACACCACTGCACTCCAGGCTGGGTGACAGAGCAAGACTCTGTCTCAATAAATAAATAAATAATTATATCAAAAAGATACCTATACTTTTATGTTTATCACATGTATTAATCAGTTCTCACTCTGCTATAAAGACACACCCGAGACTGGGTAATTTATAAAAGAAATAGGTGTAATTGACTCACAGTTCCACACGGCTGGGGAGGCCTCAGGAAACTTAAAATCATGGTGGATGGTGAGAGAGAAGCAAAGGCATGTCTTACACGGCGGCAGGTGAGGGAGAGAGAAAACAAGTGATGGGGGAAAAGCCCCTTATAAAACCATCAGATCTCATGAGAACTCACTCATTATCACAAGAATAGCATGGTGGAAACTGCCTCCATGATCCAATCACCTCTCACCAGGTCCCACCCTCGACATGTGGGGTTTATGGGGATTAAAACTGGAGATGAGATTTCGGTGGGGACACAGAGCAAAACCATATCATTACATCACTATTCACAATAGCAAAGTCATGGAATCAACATAGGTGTCCATCAATGGAGGAATGGATGAAGAAAACGTGGTATGTGTAAACCACGGAATACTACTGAGCGTTAAAAATAAAATTACGTTTTCTGCAGCAACATGAACACAGCTAGAAGCCACTATCATAAGTGAAATAACTCAGAAACAGAAAATGAAATACCATATATTCTCACTTACAAGTGGGAACTAATTAATTGGCACACATGGACTGAGGGGAAAAATAGACGCTGAGGACTCAAAAAGGTGGGACTCTGGGAGATGCATGGGTGTTGAAAAATTATGTATTGGGTACAGTGTTCACTATTCAGACCTCACTGCTATGTAATATATCCACGTAATAAACCTGAATGGGTACCCCCTGAATTTATAAAATTAATTTTTTTAAGTGAGCCAAAAACATGAATAGAAATTTCTCAAAAAAAGACATACTATGGCCAACAGGTATATAAAAACATCAACATCACTGATCATCACAGTAATGTAAATCAAAACCACAATGAGATATTATTTTATCCCCACTAAGAATGGATATATTACCTAGCTATTAAAATTCCTGGTTTAATAATTCCAACACATTTGAAATACATAAGTTTGATTCTAATGTTTATTCTGTGTCTTCGTATTGCATGTTTTGTCTTTTACCTTGGCTTGTAATTTTTTTTAATGAAAACCAGACATCATTCACTAGGTAAAAGGAACAGAGGTAAATAGGCTTTTAATATGAGGCTTTATGGTTTTCTGTCTAGCAGTTAGGTTGGATTGACTGTTTGCTGTAGCTCTATTTGTCATATACTAAACTTTCTTCTTGTGTCCTTGAGTTTGTCTCCCATGTTGTTAGTTGATGTGGTGGCAGCATATAAGGCTGAGAAAGCATTCTATAGTTTTATGTGTAGCTGTTAATCTTTCGATGAGCCTGTGCTTCTGGGCTGTGACCTGCACAGATGATTCTGTTTTTCCCCATTAGGTGATAAATGAAGGTTAGAGGGAGCTGGAGTTGAGTATTTCCCTTCCTCCAACTTGGTTAAGCTCTGGTAAAACTAGTAGGTTAGCTTCTGGCAAAATAGTTTCTCTGGACAGCAGGACTTGTTAAGAAGAAAAGAATGCTCTTGGCATATTTCAGCATACTTATTTTTCCCTTCCACTTGCCAGAATATAAGGAAATTTTTCTGAATTTTATTGTGAGAACCTTGTTGTGTTCACGGAAGTAAAACTGAGAAATGTGTGGGGTCCACATAAGACTGGTGATTTTCTTGTAATTCTCAAAGCTTTTCCAAACTGAGCCTCCAGCAATTTTTGAATTGCAGTTTAAGTTTACCCATCCCAGTACTCATCTTTATGGAAGTTTCCACTCTCAGGCATCCACTCTAGTAAACTGTGGTTCTCTGTATTCACCTGTCTGTGTCTCAAACTTTGAAGACTGGTTTGCCCTGGGGCCTCAGTTCTATGCTGAGTCTAAAAGGAGTCGCTGATTTTCAGTTTGTTCTGCTTTTTTCTTGTTGTTAAGACAGGAGTGATAATCTCTGTACAAGCCAACTGGGAAACTGAAAGTCCTCTAGATACTGATTTTGATTAATAAAAACAAGCATCATACATAAGGTGTGGGGGTGCACAGACTTGAATTATTTAATATTTCAGACACAAATGTTATTTATTTTCGACTATAAACTGCCATGTACCACCGCTATTGTAGGCACAGCTTCTCCGCTCACTTTTTCCCTGCTTGGGAAATTAGTAAAAATTAAATAGTCATTTACTACTTGGTATATATTATTTTAATTACTTTGCCTTTCTTTCCCGTAAATTCTGGATGAGATCTTGGCACTGAGAGAGCAAGAATTTTTAATAAAGTTAAGGTTGACAAATTGAGAGGTAAGAGTAAAGTGTTACTATTAGAGCAAATATTAACTTCAGTGGTGGATGGACCTGAGTGGAATACTGCAGTGGGGATGACTTTATAAAACTAGTAAGTAATACATTACTAGAGGGGAGGAAAAAACAGTTGTCAGGAGTTAGAAAAAGATGATGCTTAGAAATAGATGAAGGGCTTGAAAAGGCACTTTTTTCTTTGATTGTGTTCATATTTCAGGCACAAATGTTATTTTGGACTATAGACTGCCATGTCCAACCCTTCTTGTAGCCAAAGTTTCTCTACTTACTTTCTCCCTGCTTGAGAAATCATAGTGAGGCTGTTCTTTGTGCAAGAATGACTACCAATTAAACTAGTTTTCCTGACCCAAATGGAGCATGTGTGACTTGTGGGGACCCATAACATGGCCCAGTGAGAAAGGCTCTGTACAATGAAGACAATAATAATGAGTCAAATCTGTTAGAATGGCTCCCTCTGGAATCTGATGTGGAAATTAGCCAGTGATTAAAGGATAATGAAACAGAATTATAAAAGTGAGAAAAGGAGAGCAGTTGGTCCTCAGAGCCACTTTGGGAAAATATCAGGTAATAAAAAGGAAAGTATGTGATGAAATACAATACCACTTGAAAGATATACTGCCTTATGAGCTCAGAAGATTTTAATAAGGTGGCACATATATCCTTACTATCCTTAATTCTCCTTGTTTATTAGTTTGTTTGAGTGACTCATTATAGAGAAGTAGAAACAGAAAAAAATGTACCTATACACTCAATATCCTGTAAACAAAAATGATTTACATTATTTAGATGTTTTTCACACCTCCTTTATAATAGTTATATTCATCAATCTAGCAGATAAAAAGAAAAGAACTCCAGTTCTCATTCCATGTGCAATGGAAAGTTCAGTTCCCTTCTTATACCTTGCAGGATTCAAGGTGGGTTTTTATTTTTTCTAGGTATACGTTGCCCTGAGCATTGCTTCTGGTGAATTATTCTTATTTGCATCCTAATATTGGTTTCTTCTATTTGGACTATAATTTTTCCAAAAAAGACCATATTTCCATATTTCCTTTTACAACGATTTTCCCAAATCATCACTACACAAGGCAATTGTATGTGGATTAGAGTCTTCAGAGAATAAATGTTACCTAAAAATACAGTATGTTCATATAGCTATATGTTCATAACTAAATGCAGTTTTATGTCTGCTTCATCCAACATCTGATGAAATTGACTAATGGTAAAAAAAAAAAATTACCCAAGACAATGAACCAATTAACCAATAACTATTTATTGAGCAATAACAGCGTGCAGATTATAGAAAAGAAAAACAAATAATCTAATTGATTAACAAAGTAAATAATCAGCCTCTGAGAGTTAAATAAATAATGCTATTTTTCATTTCAAAGAGGCCTGAAAACTCTAATGAAAAATAACTGTTCACAGAAAATGCCTTAAAGAACAGAGCTCCATTATCTCCAAATAAATTGGGCAGCTTTGCTTGGAATACTGCATTGTAGTAGTCTGTTCTCTCATTGCTATAAAAAACCTGATACTGGATAATTTATAAAGAAAAGAAGTGTAGTTGGCTCACAGTTCCACAACCAGAACAGGAACCATGATGCTGGCATCTGCTTGAATTCTGGGGAGGCCTCAGAAAACATACAATCATGGTGAAAGGCAAAGTGGGAACAGGCATGTCACATGGCAGGAGCAGGAACAAGAGAGGGGTGAGGGGGTGCTATACACTTTTAAATGAGCATATGTCACAAGAAGTCACTCACTATTATGAGAAAAGCATCAAGGGGATGGGGCTAAACCATTCATGAGAAATAAACCCCCATGATCCAATCAGCTCTCACCAGGCCCCACCTCCAACACTGGGGATAACAATTCAACATAAAATTTGGTGGGGATACAGATCCAAACCATATCAGGCATACTACATATTTGGCATGCAGTAAACATCTGGTGAATGAATGACTGAATGAATTCATGAAAGAATACAGCCAAACTTCCCTAATCTTGGCAACCTGTGTTCTGTTTGGTTAATATCAGTATTCCCCTCTAACCCTAATAGAGGCCTCTACTTAATTCTCACCTCTGAATTCGGCTTCCAGATAAGCATCAACAGCTTATTCCTTCTAGTTCCAACCTGACCTTAATGACTTCATCTCCCAGTGACTGGTTTCATGCTCTTGAGCTCTAGTCTCCCAGTGGCTGGATTCCTTCTCCACATATCACTGTCCTTTGGTGCTTAGTGTATAACACTGAATTCTAGAATGCTCCCAGTTCTTTAGGTTTGAGTTTTGGGAATCTACTGGTACATCTTAGTGCTGATTGCCTGAACATTAAACCATTGCTAATTACTAACTACATTTTGGCTTTCCACTAGTATTTGCAAGAAGGGGTGTCTTTAAGAAGGTTTTAGACTGACTAATCACCTCCTTAACTACTACTACTACTACTACTTCTACTAACCATAATAATTATCATTATCACAAGAAGCCTATATATTTATTTTATAAACTATAAGAAGAATATGAATAAAGCTACATTTAGAAAAAAATGTCTGTGTTATTGCTTTAGACTATAGACTAACATAAAAGCTTTAAGACAAGCTTACTAGATCTTATTTCCAAATCTTTGTCATCTCTAAGCTCCTCATATTTAGAAATGCTCATGGAACTACTTAGTATTGTTTTTGAACTCAGGAGTGACTGCTCTCAGCCCCATATTTTATAGAACCTTGCTCTTTTCCTGCTCTGTTCATGTCCCTCCGATTGGATGGAACTCAAAGGGTCAAGAAAATTCTAAGTAAGAAAATCAATCACTGGGAGGTGGAGTCACTAAGGCCAGATTGGAACTAGCAGCAAGAAATGAGGCTGAACTGGAAGCTAAATTCTGAAGTATGAATTAAGTAGAGAAATACGATTTACTAAGTTTTCCAATCATAGAATTATTTCTGCTTCCCGACAATTTCTAATCCACAGAAAGCCTTGCTTCCTTGTACCCGTCCCCAAATCACCGCACAGAAGCCCAAATCCTAGTAAGGGTCTTCTAACATTTTCTTCTTGAGATGTCCTTGGTTTTCTGTAATATGTGTTCTCTTTTGCTGCAATGAGTAATAAATCCAATTTGTTCAACTGCAGGTGTGGTCTTAGTTGTCTTTGTTTAGAAGTACCATTAAAAATGGAAAACCTACTGAGGTTCAGTAAGCCCTCACTGACTTCGACCAGAACTCATGACGCAGTGATAGTGTGCATATCTGAGACTCTTTATGTTTCTACATATTCAAGCTGCCATCTTGCCATGGCTGGGAGTTAAGTTTATGCTGAACTGAGCTCAGATATTTCTTGAAGTCCTTCAGTACTGGGTTTATTTTACTTTCCAAGTAATAAAGTCCCTAGATATATTTTTAGTCAACTAATCTGAAAAATATTGCATGTGTGTTTTTCTTATGGTTCATCTGTTTTTCTTACTTTCATGTGTAAACTTGATTGAATCATGGGATGCCCAGTTTTCTAGTTAAACATTATTTCTGAGTATGTCCACAAGTACGTTTCTAGAAGAGATTAGCATATGAAATGATAGACTAAATAAAGCAGGTTACTCTGTCCAACTAATATAGGTGGGCATCATCCAATACATAGAGAGCCTGAATAGAACAAAAGGTGGATGAAGGAAAGATTTGCTTTCTCTACTTAACTGAGCTGAAATATGAACATTCTGTCTTCGGCGCTACTGGTTCTCAGGACTACAGACCCATACTGGAATCTGTCTCTGGCTCTCAGGCCTTTGAACTACACTGCTGGATTTTCTGAGTCACCAGCTTGCAGATGGCAGATTGTGAAACTTCACAGCCTCCATAATCACATAAGCCAATACCCTATAATGTGGGGTGTGTGTGTGTATCTCCCCTCTTGGTTTTGTTTCTCTGGAGAACCTTAATTAACATATCTAGTGATGAGGGCTATTTGTCTACAGGAGAAAAAGTCTATATAGAGTGGCAGGATGTAGGCCAGATAAGCTCATTTTCAAGTGTTTCTCTGGGGCTAATTAGCTCAGAAAATCTTCTCTGACCAGCATTCTTTGGACAAAATTTGTCTAAAATCATCATTTCAAAACCTTATAAAGGCTTCTTCTTAAGTATTTTCTTTGTACCCCCAGGAACTCCTTTGCTTACTTTCAGCTGTCTAGAATCAGGAGGTTTTGTTCAGTCCTTGATTGGTAATGACTGGCCATTGGCCAATCATATGAGATAGAAAGTTACACAGGCAGCATCCTTACTTAGAATTCTCATGGGGACTTCTCAATCTAAATCTGTGCCTTTTTTGTGTTAAACACTTTTTTTCCTTCATGTGTTCTTATTATAATGCTCATTTAAATGCTTTTCTCTCTAACTGGCACAATATTTCACTACAGAGAATTTGAAATTCCAATGGCTACTTTAAAGAGCTTTTAAAACAAGCAAAATTATTAATTTTAGAGGTTGCAGATAACCAAAAGCAAAGAAAGCTTTACGAGGAGATGGATTGTCTAAAACAAAGATCACTTTATTTAGTTTAGTTGACCTCCCTTCTTCTGATTCCATACTTTGAAGCTTAATGAGTTCTGCCTCTTAAAATTATATGTTTTGATTAAAATTGCCAAGAGCCTAAGTTATGTCAAGACTGGCTGTATGTCATTTGTTGTGCCTATATATGTCAAAATATGTTTATGTTTTTTTTTCCTTGCAGAGAGCAAAGAATTTCTTTTTTTGTTTGTTTTGTTTGTTTGTTTGTTTGTTTTCAGGGTCTCACTATGGCCCAGGCTGGAGTGCAGTGATGTGATTTCAGCTCATCACAGCCTTGACTTCTAGGGCTAAAGCAATCCTCCCACGGCAGCCTCCCAAGCAGCTGGGACCACAGGCATGTGCCACCACGCTTGGCCATTTTTTTAAAAAATTTTATGTGGGGACAAGGTCTCCCTATATTGCCCAGGTGACTCAAACTCCTAGGCTCAAGTGATCCTCCTACTTCAGCCTTCCAAAGTGCTAGGATTACAGGCATCATCCACCATGCTTAATTATAGTTATAATTGGCTTTTTATAGTGACAATTTTATATTTGCCTGAAGATAGGCCCCTCTCATTTGTTCCTGTCTTGTAAAATTTTAAAGATCAACTGATCAAAAAATAATTCAGTTGTTTTCTATGCACTCTAGATCAGTGGTCCCCAAACTTTATGGCACCAGGGACCAGTTTCCTGGAAGACAATTTTTTCCATGGATGGAGGGGAAGTATAGTTTTGGGATGAAGCTGTTCCACCTCAGATTATCAGGCATTAGTTATAGTCTCATAAGGAGCCTGCAACATAGATCCCTCACATGCACAGTTCACAATAGGGTACACACTCCTATGAGAATCAAACATCACCACTGATTTGACAGCAGGCGGAGTTCAGGCAGTAATACTCACTTATCTGCCACTCACCTCCAGCTGTATGGCCTGGTTTCTAACAGGCCACTGACTGGTACTAATCTGTGGCCCAGAAGTTGGAGACTCCTGCTATAGATCATCTAGCCCAGATAAACAGTCAAATAGTCTAACAAAAATAAATTATTAAATTACGTTTCTTTTAGTGAGCACTGAAAAGTAAAAAGCCTCTGCTACTATTGCTATGAGATAATCAAAAAAAGCTTTATTTTCAAGGTAGAAAAACATTGGGGGCATGTTCTAGAATCTTTAATAATTAATTTACTGTATAAAATAATGCTAGCACAATATTTTGGTTTGTTAAACATAAGGGCTTAAATTTCTTAGAATTCAAACTTCCTGCATTTACTTCACTGGTTTTATGAGATACATGTTAATGTTATGTTATAAACCAAATATTAAATGAGTTAAATGAACCTCATAACTTTTGTTTCCATAACTTGTTAAAATGTTTACATATAATACGTAACTTTTACATTGATCACAAAAAAATAAACAGAGCCTTAGGGACTTAGGGGACACCATCAAGCCAAATAATTTACACATTGTGGTAATCAAAGAGCATGAAAGGGGCAGAAAAATTACCTAAAGAAAATGGCTGAAATTTCTCAAACTTGAGGACAGACAAGGATATACAAATCCAAGAAACTTAATTAACTAGATATAAGTTAAACTGATGGAGAACCACACAGAGGCACATTATATTCAAAGTGCCAAAAGTCAAAGACAGAGTCTTGAAAGTAGTCAGAAAAATGTGACCTGTCACATATAAAAGATCCCCAGCAAGACTACCAGTGGATTTCTCAACAGAAAATATGGAGGCGAGAAGACAGCAAAATGATATATTTAGGTGCTCAAAGAAAAAAGAAAACTGCCAACCAAGAATTCAACATCTGGCAAAACTGCCCTTTACAAATGGGAAATTGTACCGTAAGAAAAAGTGGAAATTTCACAAATTTGTGGAAATTCTATAACACACTCAAAAAATCATTAAAAGGAGAAGAAACCATGAGAGAAATGGTAAAATATCTTCTGAGGAAGCAAAACAGAATGGAGCTTATGTGATGTATGAAAACTATGATAAAAGGGCAATTTATAGCTGTAAATGCTTACTTTTTTAAAAAAGAAAGATCTTGAATTAACAACTGAACTTTATAGGTTAAGGCATTAGAAAAAAAAAAAAGACTAAATCCAAATCTAGCAGAAGCAAAGAAACAATAAAGATTATAGAAGAGACAAATAAAATAGAGAAAAGAAAAATGAGGCAGAAAGTAAACAAAACCAATAGTTGATTCTTCAAGAATGTCAACAAAATTGACAAACCTTTAGTCAGATTGACTAAAAAAAAAGAGAAGACACAAGTAACTGACATCACAAATGAATCATGAGATATAATTAGCAATTTTACAGAAACAAAAAGAGTTATTTATAAGTGGATAATACAAACAATTGTACACCAACGAAGTGGTTAAGGTAAATAAAATTTTAAAATTCATAGAAATGCACAACCTGTCAAGACTAGATCACGACGAAATGGCAAAATCTGCATACATCTATAACCAGTAAGGAGCTTGAATTAGTAATTTAAAACTTCTAAACAGAGAACAGTCTAGGACCAAATGGCTTTACCACTGAATTCTAGTAAACATTTAAAGAGAATCAACACTAATCCATCTCAAACTGTTTCAAAACATTGAAGAGGAGGGAAAAAAATCCTGATTTATCCTATGAGGCCAGACTTACCCTCAAATCAAAATAAGATTAATATACCACAAAAACTATTGATAAATATCCACTATGAATGTTGATGCAAAAATCCTCAGTATCATACTAGTAAATTGAATTCAACAGCATATTAAAAGAATTATACAACAACAAAGAAGTGAGACTTATCTGAGGAACACAAGGGTGTTTCCACATAAGAATTTCAATCAATGTAATACATCACATTAATAGAATCAGGAAAAATTAGTGCATTGAAAACATCTGACAAAATCTAACATACTTTCATAACAAAAAACTACCCAGAAACCTGGAGTAGAACAGAACTTTCTCCACATAATAGAAGGCATTTGTAAAAAATTCATAGCTAAATCATACACAAAAGTGAAAGACAAAAGTTTCCCAATAAAATCAGGAACAAAATAGGGTTGCCCACTTTCACCACTGCTATTGAAAAGTGTACTGAAAGTTTTAGCTGGAGCAATTAGGCAAAATTAAGAAATAAAAGGCATTACAATTGGAAATGAAACACGGAAACTACTTTGTAGAATACATGATCCTTTATATAAACATCGCAAGAGATCCACATAAAAGCTACTAATTTGCCATATACATAAATCAAATCAAACAGAAAGGACATCCACACCAAAAACCCATCTGTACATCACCATCATCAAAGACCAAAAGTAGATAAAACCACAAAGATGGGGAAAAAACAGAACAGAAAAACTGGAAACTCCAAAAAGCAGAGCGCCTCTCCTCCTCCAAAGGAACGCAGTTCCTCACAAGCAACAGAACAAAGATGGATGGAGAATGACTTTGACAAGCTGAGAGAAGGCTTCAGACGATCAAATTACTCTGAGCTAAGGGAGGACATTCAAACCAAAGGCAAAGAAGATGAAAACTTTGAAAAAAATTTAGAAGAATGTATAACTAGAATAACCAATACAGAGAAGTGCTTAAAGGAGCTGATGGAGCTGAAAACCAAGGCTCGAGAACTACGTGAAGAATGCAGAAGCCTCAGGAGCCGATGCAATCAACTGGAAGAAAGGGTATCAGTGATGGAAGATGAAATGAATGAAATGAAGCGAGAAGGGAAGTTTAGAGAAAAAAGAATAAAAATAAATGAGCTAAGCCTCCAAGAAATATGGGACTATGTGAAAAGACCAAATCTACGTCTGACTGGCATACCTGAAAGTGATGGGGAGAATGGAACCAAGTTGGAAAACACTCTGCAGGATATTATCCAGGAGAATTTCCCCAATCTAGCAAGGCAGGCCAACACTCAGATTCAGGAAATACAGAGAATGCCACAAAGATACTCCTCGAGAACAGCAACTCCAAGACACATAATTGTCAGATTCACCGAAGTTGAAATGAAGGAAAAAATGTTAAGGGCAGCCAGAGAGAAAGGTCGGGTTACCCTCAAAGGGAAGCCCATCAGACTAACAGTGGATCTCTCTGCAGAAACCCTAGAAGCCAGAAGAGAATGGGGGCCAATATTCAACATTCTTAAAGAAAAGAATTTTCAACCCAGAATTTCATATCCAGCCAAACTAAGCTTCAAAAGTGAAGGAGAAATAAAATCCTTTACAGACAAGCAAATGCTGAGAGATTTTGTCACCACCAGGTCTGCCTTGCAAGAGCTCCTGAAGGAAGCACTAAACATGGAAAGGAACAACCGGTACCAGCCACTGCAAAATCATGCCAAAATGTAAAGACCATCGAGACTAGGAAGAAACTGCATCAACTAACGAGCAAAATAACCAACTAACATCATAATGACAGGATCAAATTCACACATAACAATATTAACTTTAAATGGAAATGGACTAAATGCTCCAATTAAAAGACACAGACTGGCAAATTGGATAAAGAGTCAAGACCCATCAGGGTGCTGTATTCAGGAAACCCATCTCACATGCAGAGACACACATAGGCTCAAAATAGAAGGATGGAGGAAGATCTACCAAGCAAATGGAAAACAAAAAAAGGCAGGGGTTGCAATCCTAGTCTCTGATAAAACAGACTTTAAACCAACAAAGATCAAAAGAGACAAAGAAGGCCATCACATAATGGTAAAGAGATCAATTCAACAAGAACAGCTAACTATCCTAAATATATATGCATCCAATACAGGAGCACCGAGATTCATAAAGCAAGTCCTGAGTGACCTACAAAGAGACTTAGACTCCCACACATTAATAATGGGAGACTTTAACACCTCACTGTCAACATTAGACAGATCAACAAGACAGAAAGTCAACAAGGATACCCATACCCAGGAATTGAACTCAGCTCTGCACCAAGTGGACCTAATAGACATCTACAGAACTCTCCACCACAAATCAACAGAATATACATTTTTTTCAGCACCACACCACACCTATTCCAAAATTGACCACATACTGGGAAGTAAAGCTCTCCTCAGCAAATGTAAAAGAACAGAAATTATAACAAACTATCTCTCAGAACACAATGCAATCAAACTAGAACTCAGGATTAAGAATCTCACGCAAAACCACTCAACTACATGGGAACTGAACAACCTGCTCCTGAATGACTACTGGGTACATAACGAAATGAAGGCAGAAATAAAGATGTTCTTTGAAACCAACGAGAACAAAGACACAACATACCAGAATCTCTGGGATGCATTCAAAGCAGTGTGTAGAGGGAAATTTATAGCACTAAATGCCCACAAGAGAAGCAGGGAAGATCCAAAATTGACACCCTAACATCCCAATTAAAACGACTAGACAAGCAAGAGCAAACACATTCAAAAGCTAGCAGAAGGCAAGAAATAACTAAAATCAGAGCAGAACTGAAGGAAATAGAGACACAAAAAACCCTTCAAAAAATTAATGAGTCCAGGAGCTGGTTTTTTGAAAGGATCAACAAAATTGATAGACCGCTAGCAAGACTAATAAAGAAGAAAAGAGAGAAGAATCAAGTAGACGTGATAAAAAATGATAAAGGGGATATCACCATCGATCCCACAGAAATACAAACTACCATCAGAGAATACTACAAACACCTCTACGCAAATAAACTAGAAAATCTAGAAGAAATGGATAAATTCCTGGACACATACACTCTCCCAAGACTAAACCAGGAAGAAGTTGAATCTCTGAATAGACCAATAACAGGCTCTGAAACTGAGGCAATAATCAATAGCTTACCAACAAAAAAGAGTCCAGGACCAGATGGATTCACAGCCGAATTCTACCAGAGGTACAAGGAGGAACTGGTACCATTCCTTCTGAAATCATTCCAGTCAATAGAAAAAGAGGGAATCCTCCCTAACTCATTTTATGAGGCTAGCATCATCCTGATACCAAAGCCTGGCAGAGACACAACCAAAAAAGAGAATTTTACACCAATATCCTTGATGAACATTGATGCAAAAATCCTCAATAAAATACTGGCAAAACGAATCCAGCAGCACATCAAAAAGCTTATCCACCATGATCAAGTGGGATTCATCCCTGGGATGCAAGGCTGGTTCAATATATGCAAATCAATAAATGTAATCCAGCATATAAACAGAACCAGAGACAAAAACCACATGATTATCTCAATAGATGCAGAAAGGGCCTTTGACAAAATTCAGCAGCACTTCATGCTAAAAACTCTCAATAAATTAAGTATTGATGGGATGTATCTCAAAATAATAAGAGCTATCTATGACAAACCCACAGCCAATATCATATTGAATGGGCAAAAACTGGAAGCATTCCCTTTGAAAACTGGCACAAGACAGGGATGCCCTCTCTCACCACTCCTATTCAACGTACTGTTGGAAGGTCTGGCCAGGGCAATTAGGCAGGAGAAGGAAATAAAGGGAATTCCATTAGGAAAAGAGGAAGTCAAACAGTCCATGTTTGCAGATGACATGATTTAATATCTGGAAAACCCCATTGTCTCAACCCAAAATCCCCTTAAGCTGATAAGCAACTTCAGCAAAGTCTCAGGATACGAAAGCAATGTAGAAAAATCACAAGCATTCTTATACACCAATAACAGACAAACAGAGGCCAAATCATGAGTGAACTCCCATTCACAATTTCTTCAAAGAGAATAAAATACCTAGGAATTCAACTTACAAGGGACGTGAAGGACCTCTACAAGGAGAACTACAAACCACTGCTCAATGAAATAAAAGAGGATACAAACAAATGGAAGAACATTCCATGTTCATGGGTAGGAAGAATCAGTATCATGAAAATGGCCACACTGCCCAAGGTAATTTATAGATTCAATGCCATCCCCATCAAGCTACCAATGACTTTCTTCACAGAATTGGAAAAAACTACTTTAACGTTCATATGGAACCAAAAAAGAGCCTGCATCGGCAAGTCAATCCTAAGCCAACAGAATAAAGGTGGAGGCATCACGCTACCTGACTTCAAACTATACTACAAGGCTACAGTAACCAAATCAGCATGGTACTGGTACCAAAACAGAGATATAGATCAATGGAACAGAATAGAGCCCTCAGAAACAATGCTGCATGTCTACAACTATCTGATCTTTGACAAACGTGAGAAAAACAAGAAATGGGGAAAGGATTCCCTATTTAATAAATGGTGCTGGGAAAACCGGCTAGCCATATGTAGAAAGCTGAAACTGGATCCCTTCCTTACACCTTGTACAAAAATTAATTCAAGATGGATTAAAGACTTAAACGTTATACTTAAAACCAGAAATATCCTAGAAGAAAACCTAGGCATTACCATACAGGACATAGGCATGGGCAAGGACTTCATGTCTAAAACACCAAAAGCAATGGCAACAAAAGCCATAATTGACAAATGGGATCTAATTAAATTAAATAGCTTCTGCACAGCCAAAGAAACTTCCATCAGAGTGAACAGGCAACCTACAAAATGGGAGAAAATTTTTGTAACCTACTCATCTGACAAAGGGCTAATATCCAGAATCTACAATGAACTCAAACAAATTTACAAGAAAAAAACAAACAACCCCGTCAAAAAGTGGGCAAAGGACATGAACAGACACTTCTCAAAAGAAGACATTTATGCAGCCAAAAAACACATGAAAAAATGCTCACCATCACTGGCCATCAGAGAAATGCAAATCAAAACCACAGTGAGATATCATCTCACATCAGTTAGAATGGTGATTATTAAAAAATCAGGAAACAACATGTGCTGGAGAGGATGTGGAGAAATAGGAACACTTTTACACTGTTGGTGGGACTGTGAACTAGTTCAACCATTGTGGAAGTCAGTGTGGCGATTCCTCAGGGATCTAGAACTGGAAATACCATTTGACCCAGCCATCCCATTACTGGGTATATACCCGAAGGACTATAAGTCATGCTGCTATAAAGACACATGCACACGTATGTTTATTGAAGCACTATTCACAATAGCAAAGACTTGGAACCAACCCAAATGTCCAACAATGATAGACTGGATTAAGAAAATGTGGCACATATACACCATGGAATACTATGCAGTCATAAAAAATGATGAGTTCATGTCCTTTGTAGGGACATGGATGAAATTGGAAATCATCATTCTCAGTAAACTGCTGCAAGAACAAAAAATCAAACACCGCATATTCTCACTCATAGGTGGGACTTGAACAATGAGAACATATGGACACAGGAAGGGGAACATCACACTCTGGGGACTGTTGTGGGGTGGGGGGAGGGCGGAGGGATAGCATTGGGAGATATACCTAATGTTAGATGACGAGTTAGTGGGTGCAGTGCACCAGAATCACACATGTATACATATGTAACTAACCTGCACATTGTACACATGTACCGTAAAACTTCAAGTATAATAAAAAAAAATTATGAGTTCATGTCCTTTGTAGGGACATGGATGAAATTGGAAATCATCACTCTCAATAAACTATCGCAAGAACAAAAAACCAAACACTGCATATTCTCACTTATAGGTGGGAATTGCACAATGAGAACACATGGACATAGGAAGGGGAACATCACACTCTGGGGACTGTTCTGGTGTGGGGGGAGTATAATAAAAAAAATTTTGGAAACAATGTAAGCGTCCATCAACAGATGAATGGTTTTTAGGAAATGTGGCATATATACACAATGGAGTACTATTCAGCCATAAAAATAATGAGACATTGTCATTTGCAACAACTGGGTGGAACTGGAGATCATTATGTTAAGTAAATAAGCCAGGCACAGAAAGAAAAACATCACATGTTCTCACTTATTTGTGAGATCTAAAAATTAACAGAATTTAACTCATGGAGTCAGAGAGTATAAGGACGGTTACCAGAGGCTGGGAAGGGTAGGTGGGGTTGGTGGAAGAAGGTGAGGATGGTTAATGGGTATCAACAAATAGAAAGAATAAATAAGACTTACTAATTGATAGCACAATGGAGTGGGTACAGTCAATAATTACATTGTATATTTTAAAATAACTAAAAGAGTGTAATTGGATTGTTTGTAACACAAAGCATAAATTCTTGAGTGGATGAGTATCTCATGTTCCATGATGCGATTATTACACATTATATGCCTGTATCAAAACATCTCATGTGCCATATAAATACATACACCTACTATGTACTCAGAAAAATTAAAAATAAAAAAAATTTAAAAAGCTACTCTACCTAATAAATGCATTCAGAAAAGTTACAAAGTACAAGTTTGACATGCAAAATAGGTTGTATCCCTATACAATCACAATGAATAATTTGTAAATTTAAGATTATATAAGAAAATTATTAAAATTAATAAAATAATTCCTTTTACAATAGCATCAAAAAGAATGAAATATATAGTAATACATTTAACAAAAGAAATGAAAGACTTACACTCTGAAAATTAGAAAGGGAAAACAAAATTGTTGAAAAAATTAAAGAAGACCTAAATATAAATGCTCGTGGGGATGGATACTCTATTTTCCATGATGTGATTATTATACATTGCATACCTCTATCAAAACACATCATGTACTCCATATATATATACACCTACTAAATACCCATAAAAATTAAAAATTATAAAAATAAAGAATACCTAAAATATAGAAATACTTCTTGCATTCATAGATTGGAAAATGTAAGTCATTGAAATGTCAATGCTACCCAAAACAATCTACAGATTCAATGTGATGTTTATTAAAATTCCAACTGTTTTGCAGAAATGGATAAGCTAACCCTCAAGTTCATATGGAATTGAAAGTGGCCTTACATAGCCTGAATAATCATGAAAAAGAACAAAGTTGGAAGATTCATATTTCCCAATTTCAAAACTTACTAAAAAGGTCCAATTATCTAAAGAGTGTGTTACTGGTATAGAAATAAATATATAGACCACTGAATTAGAATTTATATTTGAGATATAAACCCTTAACATATATAGATAAACTAATTTTGACATGGGTTCCAAGGGTATTCAATAGTAAAAAGATAATCTTTTCAATAAATGGTACTAAGAAAACTGGACTTCCATATTAAAAAATGATGTCAGATCACCATCTGAAAACATACAAAAATTAATTAAAAGAAATCAATCACCTAAATATATAATCTAAAACATAAAACTCTTAGAAGATCACATAGAGGTAAAATTTCATGACCTTGGATTTGGCAATGTATTTTTCGATATGACACCAAAAGGTGACAAAAGGCAAAAAAAGGAAAAAAATATAAAAGTGGGACTTCATGAAAATTAGAAGCTTCTGTGCATGAAAGTACATTATCAAAAAAGGAGAAGACAATCTACAAAAAAGAGGGTACTTTCAAATCACATATCTGATAAGGCTGTAATATTCAGAATACGTAAATAATACCTACAATTTAATAACAAAAAGACAGACCAATAATAGGCCAAAATCTTGAGAAGATTTTTTTCCAAAGAAGAAATAAAAATGGCCAAAAAGTTCATGAACAAATGTTAAACATCACTGCCAGGCGCGTTGGCTCACTCCTGTAATTCCAGCACTTTGGGAGGCCAAGGTGGGCAAACCACCTGAGGTCAAGAGTTCGAGACCAGCCTGGCCAACATGGTGAAACCCCCGTCTCTACTAAAAATACAAAATATTAGCTGGGCATAGTGGCGCACGCCTATAGTCCCAGCAACTTGGGAGGCTGAGGCTGGAGAATCGCATGAACTGGAGAGACTGAAGTTGCAGTGAGCTGACATCGTGCCATTGCACTCAAGACTGGGCGAGAAGAGTGAAACTCTTTCCAAAAAAAAAAAAAAAGCCATCATTAGTCATCATGGAAATGCAAATCAAAATCACAATGAGATACTACTTCACACTCACCAACTTAGGTTTAATCAAAAAACATGGAAAATAAGTGTTGGTAAGGATACAGATAAATTGGAGCCCTTGTCTATATATGTGTTAATATAAAATGGTGCAGCCACTGTGGAAAATAATATAGTAGTACCTCAAAAGGGAATACATAAAATTATCATGTGACTCAGCAATTGCACTCCAGGCATACAACCACAATAATTGAATACTGGGACTCATACTTGTACACCAATGTTCACTGCAGCATTACTCACAATGAGCAATAGGAGGAAACAACGCAAATCTGTCAGCAGAAAAATGGATAAACAAAATGTGTTATATACATAAAATGGAATATTATTCAGCCATAAAATATGAATTTATGATACATACTACAATATGGATGAATCTTAAAAACATAATGCTGGCCGGGCGCAGTGGCTCACGCCTGTAATCCCAGCACTTTGGGAGGCTGAGGCGGTCGGATCACGAGGTCAGGAGATCAAGACCATCCTGGCTAACACGGTGAAACCCTGACTCTACTAAAAATACCAAAAAATTAGCTGGGCGTGGTGGCGGGCGCCTGTAGTCCCAGCTACTCGGGAGGCTGAGGCAGGAGAATGGCGTGAACCCGGGAGGCGGAGGTTGCAGTGAGCCGAAATCGCGCCACTGCACTCCAGCCTGGGCGACAGAGTGAGACTCCGTCTCAAAAAAAAAAAAAAAAATGCTAAGCGAAATAAGCCAGATGCAAATGTAAAAATATTGTATGATTCCCCTTATATAAAATATCTAGAATTGGCAAATTCATAGAATCAGAAAGTAGATTAGAGTTTACCAGAAACTGCAGGAAGGGAGAGTTAAAGTTATTGCCTAAGAGCGACAGATTTTGCTTGGGATGATTAAAAGCATTTGGAAATAGATAGTAGTGATGATTGTACAACATAAATGTAATCAATGCTACTGAATTGTACATTTAAAATGGTTAAAATGCCAAAATTTTGTTATATATATTTCACCAGAATAAATTTTTTACAGAATGAATGTTTTACAAAAATTAAGCTTCTTGTGGTAATAAAGTCAATTTAGAAGTCTGTATTAGTTGCTTTCACATGGATTTATCAGCTGACAAAAGATAAAAGCGTAAATATATCGCCCAAGATAGTAGAGATATAATGGCCACAACATTAAACTAATATTAGCGGGGGAATTTTAAGAGATACTGCCAAGGATGATTTGAAGAGCTAATCTACCTGCCAATAACACAATACTAGTAAGACTGCAAATATAGACTATTGACTGGTAACAGATCCTCAGGTACCATTTGAATACTTCCAAATGGAAAATAAGTACATTATAGTTATTGTTGTTTATTCTTGGAGCTGGTTGAGGCTTTTTCTTGCTGCTAAACTAAAAATGTAATGATTTTTAAATTTAATCAAAAGTTCTTGATTATTTGTATTTCCAAATTGGAAAATTCATACTTATCACTCCACTAGCAAGGAGGTACATTTCTCTGGTACTGTTATTTAACATTAAAGAGCTCTTTGCAGCTTACATTTAACTCAAAATCTCGACTGTCCTTTTCACCCAGAAACTTCAGGAAGAATAAAGAGAATTAGTGAAATTGTAATAATGTAACTGTCCAAAACTGTAGTAACCCTCAAACTTCCAAGGCACAAAAAGTCATTCTTATCTGCTAAAAGTAACTTCATACCTCTTAAGGACCCACAAGTTATCTCCTTATGAGTTATTAACAGGCTGTCTCATGCAGTGTCATGAGAAATTTCACTTCCAATCCTGTATTCTAGTCTATTACAGGCTAATGACAGAATAATACATACTACTCAAATGATATCTCCAGCTTTATTTACAACAAACACAAGGAACATTTTCAAAACTCTTACCTAAACATTCTCTGATTGATTCACAATCCTGGAGATTTGGTCTTCTGAAAAAGGCATCAAAGAAAAACTGTTGTTGGGCTTCAATTGAAGTGACCAAATTAGGTACTGTTTTATTCATTTACATATCAGTAAAACTCTAGTGTTGATCCTGGGATTCATGTTTCTTCACTTAAATGACTACTAGACTTTATTCCACTAAAATAATTTAAACTGAGGATTATTAAAAATCCTGCACAAGCTGCTGACTTCAGAAGTGAAAAGCTTCTATCGAAGACAATGAACAAAATTAATTTTCTCATTCTTCAACATCCTTTTTTGTCTCTTTGCTTTACTGATAGTTTTGTCTATAATTACATTTTGATACCTCCTAGAACACTAATATAATTTATTTTATATTCCTTCTATTATTTTGAACCCCTGTGATCTTCTTATGCCACTTAAAGAAAATAAAAGAGCTCATTTTTCCCACTCCATAGCAACTACTCTGAACTTAGCTGATTGCTGAATCTTCTACCTCATTACGCTGATAAAAATTTAATAGTTTTTTTGTCTTTTAATACTTCAAATGGTAGATTACCTTTAATTACCTTCTGGTAATTAAGTTTCCTTCATATCTCAAATTCAGTCTTGAAAAATTAGACCTTGACTTTATGACATCAAAATGCTTCTGCTGAGGTTATTACAATCCTATGAGCTATTGGCCAATCCCATGGCCAATATGAAAGACACTAATATCTAGGTTATCTATTATACTCAGTCTGTTCTCTTCAGTGGCACTTCAGCCTGCTTTGAAAAACTATTTCACTCTTCACAGGATGTTTGTATACTAGAGGAACATAAAATTAGCTGTCTCCTATTAGAGTAAATGATGCATATATTCCCAATACAGTCTGTGCCATAATAGGATACTGTTTCTTACATGAGCATCAGGCTTACATGTGACTACCTTATATTTACTTAGCCAATGTATTTAGTTAGATACATTCAGATATTTAAAAACCACCACATGTTCTTTTTTTATTATTTTACTTATAGTTCCAAGATACATGTGCAGAACGTGCTGGTTTGTTACATAGGTAAACATGAGCAATGGTGGTTTGCTGCACCTATTGACCTGTCCTCAAAGTTTCTTCCCCTTGCCCCCACTCAACAGGCCATGGTGTGTGTTATTCCCCTCCCTGGGTCCATGTGTTCTCATTGTTCAACTCCTACCTATGAGTGAGAACATGTAGTGTTTGGGTTCCTGTTCCTGTGTTAGTTTGCTGAGGATGATGGCTTCCAGCTTCATCCATGGCCCTGCAAAGGATATGATCTCTTTCCTTTTGATGGCTGAATAGTATTTCATGGTTTATATGTACCACACTCTCTCTCTCTCTTTTTCTTTTTTTAAGAAAATTTACTTTAAGATTTGGGACACCTGTGCAGAACGTGCAGGTTTGTTACATAGGTACACATGTGCCATGGTGGTTTGCTACACCTATCAACCCATCATCTAGGTTTTAAGCCCCACATGCATTAGGTATTTGTCCAAATGCTCTCCCTTCCCTTCCCTCTAACACCCCGACAGGCCCCAGTGTGTAATGTTTGCCTCCCTGTGTCCATGTGTTCTTTTTCAACTCCCACTAATGAGTGAGAACATGCTGTGTTTGGTTTTCTGTTCCTGTGTTAGTTTGCTGAGAATGATGGCTTCCAGCTTCATCCATGTCCCTGCAAACAACATGAACTTATTCTTTTTTATGGCTGCATAGTATTCCATGGTGTATATGTGCCACATTTTCTTTATCCAGTCTATCTTTGATGGGCATTTGGGTTGGCTCCAAGTCTTTGCTATTGTGAATAGTGCTGCAATAAACATATGTGTGCATGTGTCTTTATAGGAGAATGATTGATAATCCTTTGGGTATATACCCAGCAATGGGATTGCTCAGTCAAATGGTATTTCTGGTTCTAGATCCTTGAGGAATCGTCACACTGAAGCAGGACTGCTGGGCAGGACCGCTGGGCAGGAAGCTGGGCAAGACCGCTGGGCAGGAAGCCGGGCAAGACTGCTGGGCAGGAAGCCGGGCATGACTGCTGGGCTGGAAGCTCTAGGGGATGTGGCACATCTGGCTACAGGAGATGGGGGTGGGTGGAGTTGACTGCTCTGGCATCTGGGTGTTTCCAGGGCAATAGGGGGCTGCACCCCTTAGCAAATTCAGGCAGAAGTAGAACTGCTGGGCCAGAAGCTCGATCAGGCATGACTCACCTGGCTACCAGCAGTGGGGGTGGGTGGGGATGCCATCCCTACTGTCTGGGTACCTCCTGGGACAAAAGGAGGCTGTGCCCATCGGCTGAGTTTCCACAGAAGCGGGCTTACTGGGCCAGAAGCTCTAATACACATATCCCACCTGGCTACTAGTAGTGGGGGACAGCAGGGTGGGTGTTTCTCAGGACAACAGGAAGCTGCACCCTCTAACCGAGCTCACACAATAGCAGGGCCACTGGGTCAGAAGCTCTAGTGGGCATTGCATTCCTGGCTCTCAGTGGCAGGGATTAGATCAGTGGGGTCATGCACCCTGCCATCCAGGTGTTTCTCAGGACAACAGGTGGCTGCACACTCCAGCTGAGTTCCCACAGATGCAGGACAGCTGAGCCAGAAGTTCTAATAGGCATTGCCCACTTGGCTGTCAGTGGCATGGGTGGGTGGGGTCACCTCTCCTGCCATCTGAGTGGTTCCTGGGACAACAGGAGGCTGTGCATGCCAGCATAGTTCAGACAGAAGTGAGGCTGCTGGGCTAGAAACTCTAATAGGTGTTACCTGCTTCATTAATAGTGGTCAGGGTGGGTGGAGTGTCATGTGCATGGCTGACCAGGTGTTTCCCAGGATAACAAAGCTGGGACTTCCACCTGACTTTAGAAAGAAGCAGGGCTGCTGGCCTATAAGCTCTAGCAAGCATTACCTGCATGGCTATCAGTGGTGGGGGCAGGCAGGGTCATGTACTCTGCCATTTGGATGTTTCATGGGACAACATGAAGCTGTGTCCTCCAGCTGAGTTCACGCAGAAGCGGGGCTGCTGTGCTGGAAGCTCTAGCATGCATTGCTTGCCTGGCTACCATTGGCAGGGGTGGGTGGGGTCACACATTCTGCAATCCAGGTGTTTCCTGGGACAACAGGAAGCTGTGACCTCTAGCTGAGTTTACACAGAAACGAAGCTGTTGGGGCAAAAGTTATAGCAGGCATTGCTTGCCTGGTTGCCAGTGGTGCGAGTGGGTGGAATCATACACTCCAAAATTTGGTTGTTCACCAAAACAACAGGAAGCTGTGTGCTCCAGCTGAGTTCACACAGAATCAGGGCCACTGAGCAGGAAGCTCTAGGAAGTGTTGCTCACCTGGTTTCCAGTGGCAGAGTCGGGTGGGGTCATGTGCTCTGCCATCCAGGTGTTGCTTGGTAAAACAGGAAGCTGCACCCTCTAACTGTGCTCAAACAGAAGTGGGCTGTCGGGCCAGAAGCTCTAACAGGTGTTGCCCACCTGGCTTCCAGTGGCAGGGCAGGTGGGGTCACACACTCTGCCATCCGGGTATTTTCCAGGACAACAGGAAGTGGCACCATCCAGCTGAGTTCACAAAAAAGCAAGACCACTAGGCCAGAAGCTCTAGCAAGCATTGACATTCTGGCTATCAGTGGTGTGGCTGGATGGGGTCATGTGCCCTGCTGTCAGAATGTCTCCTAGAACATCAGGAGGCTTCACCCTAAAGCTGAGTTCACACAAAAGGGAGACCATGAGGCTGAAGGCTATATCAGGCATTTCCACTTTGGCTACCATTGGCAAGGTGGGTGAAATAGCTGGCCGAATTCAAGCCAAAGTAGGACCGCTAGGCTAGAAGCTGGTGCTGAGCCTCTTCCAGCAAGGGGAAGTAAAGCAATCTTACTGCTCCCAGATACTGCCACTTTGGCCTCTATTGGAGCTATGGTGCAAGTGCTGGTGTTTTCTAGGGCCCAAGGCTTGTAGAAGTCCCCTTGGACTCGAGAGTTGCCTGTGAAAAAGTCTGAACAGTTTTCTGCCTCAGTCTTAGAAGTGTAGGAGGGGGACGGGGGAAGGGGGATTCTCCCATTCCTAGTCTTGCACAGGTCCCTGTTGGAGTGTGAATCTCCCTAGGTGCTCTCACTCACTCTTTCTCATATTAGAGAGGTTCTCCTGGCTCTCTGCTGAGTCCAGGCTGGCTGTTGACCAGCTTTGATCCTCTGCTCTCTGTGTTCCCCTGCTGCATTGATGGATCCTGACCTGGTTTCTCAGAAGATCAACCTGCAGAGTTAGTGCTCACTAGCCCTTTTGTTTCCTTTCTTTGAGAACAGCACACATGAGCTGCCTCTAGTCTACCATCTAGGCACTGCCTCTCATGCAGGTAAAAATGACCCAATTACTCAGATTAAAAGCTTCCAAAACCATTCTGAGTTCCTAGACACTATTCAAATGAAAAATAACAAAAATCTGATATGTAAAAAAATAGGCCTGACCTATTGGCTACAAGAGTTCAAGGGGATTTCAAAATTTTTTTGGGAAGAAGCTTTAAGATGGCTGACTAGAGGCATCTGGTACTCACGTACTCCACAAAGACGAATGGAAGACGTGAGTACTGGATGCCTCTAGTCAGCCACCTTAAAGCTTCTACCACACAAAACCAAATTAGTGAGTAGACAGTATCATCTTGAAGAGATCACCTAAGACAGAATGCTGAAATTTAACAGAAAAAAGACAGAAAACATTTAAGGCAAGGGAGGAGAGAGAAGCAAGGTAGTCTGCTTGGTCAGAATTGGCTTGGAGCCTGGAAAGGATCTTCAGTTAATGGAAAGTGAAAGGCTGCCAGCAGTCCAAATTCCCAGCATGATCTTCTGCAATCCTAACCATTGTAAAGCCCCTTGGCCCTTGTAGGCCTGGAGACTAATGTAGGGAGTGGCCTGGAGAACACATTGTGACACTGCTCCACAGAAGAAGCTCACTCTGTGTCCCAAACACCTCCTGAGTCCTAGGCAGTTACAAGGCACCATTTGGAAGGTCTAGTCCCCATCAGACTGCATCCTGCCTTAGGTCTCAACAGTTTTTGTATATTCACATCCTTGGAGCCTAATTGATATCCTCCACCCACATCCAGGTACCACTGCTGGCTAGTGCCAACAGGATTAAAGCAGGAACCATTAACAGTGAGCCTGCTACCCCCAGTAGCAGGACCAACACACATGTACAAGTGCAATGAAGACAAGCTACCCTGCTTGCAAAAATCACCTGGTGCTGAAGTATATGCTCCCCAGCTGCATGCCTAGTGCTGCTGCCAATGCAAGCAACCTCACCCTCCTGAGCATCAGGGAAGCAACAAAACTACTGCTGCACCAACCTGCACATACTGCACATATCCAGGCCCCTGTCTACCATAGTCGGTGCTCACATGAACCACTGAGGGGCCTGAGAGCAGGCCCATCTGGCCCAACTATGCCCCTGCAGAGCCTGAGGCCAACATCTGGGGGCCTGGGAATCACCCTGCCCCATTCATCACCTTTGACATCTGAGCACTCCTCCTAGGAGACTGAAGAACACCCAACATGCCACGACTGCAGCTGGCACCCACCCACACAAACTGCAAGCTTGAGTACTTTTGTGCACAGCATATCACAGAAACCACCAACACTAGAGGAAACCACCTGGGAGCCAGAGTGTTGTTCTGCCCTTATTACTGCCATCACTCATGCTACACCCTTTACCCAAGGCCCCAAAGACTCACTCACCCACTTGGGCAAATGGTGAAACTGCCTGTACCTGAGCAAGCTGTTTGGGGTCCAACAAATCAGCCTACCTAGACCTGCTGTCATTGGGGCCCAAAACTAGGCACACTAAATCCACTGCTGCCACATTGGAAGCCTGAAGACAGGCATACTTGGCATTCACATCCACACACAAACATCACAACAGCCTCTATTAGCAACTGCACTATAAACCACTGAAGAAATCATAGCAATAACTGCTGTTTACAGTCAAATAACTCATACAAGGACTATATTACTGCAAACACCCAGAATCAAACCCAAAGTTCCCTACCCAACCAACAACATAAATCCATCTTTAAAAAAAACCCATCTTTGTGAAAATAAATTCAAAAAATTGAAAGAAGCTATTTGTACATTAGATACACAGATATCAACATAAGGACACAAGAAATATAACAAAGAAAAGACAACATCTCCAAAGGAATGCAACAACTTTCCAGCAACAGATCCAATGAAAAAAAATTATGAAATCTTAAAAAAGAATTGAAAATGGTATTAAAAATCTCAAAAAGATACAAGAAAACAGATATTATTTTTAAATAACAATTTAAGATATTAATGAGAAATTTACAAAAAATAGATATCATAAAAAAATCTGGAACTAATTAATTCATTGAATGAAATAAAAATATATTTGTAAGTTTCAAAACTAGGCTAAATCAAACAGAATTTCAGAACTTGAAGACAGATCTTTTCAAATAACCCAGTCAGAAAAAAACAGGAAAAAATTAAAAAGAATAAGGAAAGTCAACAGGACATATGGGACACCATAAAGTGACTAAATATTCAAAATTGTGATGTCCCAGAAGGTGAAGGGGAAACAAAATAAATAGAACAGCTATTTAACAAAATAATAGCTGTAAACTTCCTAAGCCTAGCAAAATGTTTAGATATCTAATACATAATAAGCAGAAATTCCAAAATATACACAACTAAAATTTCTTCCCCAAGTCACATTACAGTCAAACTGTAAAAAGTCAAAGAGAGAATTCTAAAAACCCCCAAAAATGCACATAAAGGCGCATATAAAGGAACTTTCATGAGACTAACAGCAAAATTCTCAGCAAACCTTACATGCCAGGAGAGAATTGGATAATATATTCCAAGTGGTGAAAGAAAAAAAACTGCCAGCCAACAACGCTATACCCAGTAAAGGAACTTTTCGTAAATGGATGAGAAATAGTCCTTCCCAGAAAGGCAAAAGCTGAGAGGGTTTATCACCACTAGAATGCCCCTACCAGAAATGCTTAAGAAAGTCGTACACCTGGAAGTGAAAGGACAATAGCCACCATTATGAAAACGCATAAACATATAAAACTCACTGGTAGAGGAAACACAAAAAATAATAAAAAGAAAGCACTGAAATGGTACCACTACAGAAAATCACCAAACCCCAGTGATAAATAGAGAAAAATAAAGAAACAAAGAATATATAAAACAACGAGGAATCAACTAATAAAATGACACAAGCAAGTCCTGACATATCAATAATAAGCTTGAATGTAAGCAGGTTAAATTCTCCACTTAAAAGATATTGACTGGCAGAATGAATTTTTAAATGACCCAATTATATGCTGCTCACAAGAAACTCACTTCACATGTAAATGCGTATCTAGTAAAAGTAATGGGATGAAATAAAATGTTCCATGGAAATGAAAACCAAAAGCAAGCAGGAGTAGCTGTACTTAAATAACAGACTTTAAAGAAAAAAAAGGCAAAAAGACAAAAAGTATTACACAATAATAAAATAATAAATTCAGCAGGAGAATATAATACCTCCTGAGTCCTAGGCAGCTACAAGGCACCATTTTGAAGACCCACACAAGACTGCATCCTGCATATATATATATATACACACACACACATATATATGTATATACATATATATACACACACATACGTATATATGTATATATGTATATATACACACACATGTATATATGTATATACATATATATACACATACATGTATTATATACACATGCACATTCTATATATATGTGTGTGTGTATATATATATTGATATATATGTACATATATAGAAGGTCATAAACCTGGAAGTGAAAGGATAGTATCCACCATTATTAGAACACATAGGGAGCCTACTGCAGCTCGGTGAAGCTGCCATAGCCATACTGTCTCTCTAGATTCCTCTGCTCTGGGCAGGGCATCTCTGAAAGACAGCAGCCCCAGTCAGGGACTTACAGATAAAACTCCCATCTGCCTGAGACAGAGCACCTGGGAGAAGGGGTGGCTGTGAACACAGATTCAGTGGACTTAAACATTCCTGCCTGCCAGCTCTGAAGAGAGCAGGGGATCTCCCAGCACAGCACTTGACCTCCACTAAGAGACAGACTGCCTCCTCAAGTGGGTCCCTGACGCCCATGTCTCCTGACTGGGACACACCTCCCAGCAGGGACATCTCATACAGGAGAGCTCTGGCTGCCTTCTGGTGGGTGCCCCTCTGGGACAAAGCTTCCAGAGGAAGGAATAGGCAGCAATCTTTGTGTTCTGCAGCCTCTGCTGGTAATACCCAGGAAAACAGGGTCTAGAGTGGACCTCCAGCAAACTCCAGCAGACTTGCAGCAGAGGGGCCTGTTAGAAGGAAAACTAACAACAGAAAGGAATAGCATCAACATCCACAGAAAAAACAACCACACAGAAACTTCATCTGAAGGTCACGAACACTAAAGACCAAAGGCAGATAAATTCACAAAGATGAGGAAAAACCAGTGCAAAAAGGCTGAAAATTCCAAAAACCAAAAGGCCTCTTCTCCTACAAAGGATCCAAAATCCTCACCAGCAAAGGAACAAAACTGGATGGACAATAAATTTGATGAATTGAAGGAAGTAGGCTTCAGAAGGTGGGTAATAACAAATTCCTCAGAGCTAAAGGAGCATGTTCTAACTCAATGCAAAAAAGCTAAGAATCTTGAAACAAGGTTAGAGGAAATGCTAACTAGAATAACCAGTTTAGAGAAGAATATAACTGACCTGATGGAGCTGAAAAACACAGCACGAGAACTTCGTGAAGCATACACAAGTATCAATAGCCAAATCGATCAAGCAAAAGAAAGGATATCAGAGATTGAAGATCAACTTAATGAAATAAAACATGAAGACAAGATTAGAAAAAAAAGAATGAAAAGGAGCAAACAAAGCCTCCAAGACAGATGGGACTGTGTGAAAAGACCAAATCTATGTTTCATTGCTGTACCTGAAAGTGACTGAAAGAATGGAACCAAGTTGGAAAACACTCTCCTGGATATTATCCAGGAGAACTTCCCCAACCTAGCAAGACAGGCCAACATTCAAATTCAGGAAATACAGAGAACACCACAAAGTTACGCCTTAAGAATCATCAGATTCACCAAGGGTGAAATGAAGGAAAAAAAGTTAAGGGCAGCCAGAGAGAAAGGTGTGGTTACCCACAAAAAGAAGGCCATCAGACTAACAGCAGATCTCTCTGCAGAAACCCTACAAGCCAGAAGAGAGTGGAGGCCAATATTTAACACTCTTAAAGAAAAGAATTTTCAATCCAGAATTTCATAACCAGCCAAACTAAGCTTCATAAGCCAAGGAGAAATAAAATCCTTTATGGACAAGCAAATGTTGAGAGATTTTGTCACCACCAGGCCTACCTTACAAGAGCTCCTGAAGAAAACACTAAACAAGGAAAAACAAAGACAAAAACACAAACAAAAAACAAGGTACCAGCCACTATAAAAACCTGCCAAATTGTAAAGACCATTGACACTATGAAGAAACTGCATCAACTAACAAGCAAAATAACCAGCTATCATCATAATGACAGGATCAAATTCACACATAACAAAATTAACCTTAAAAGTAAACGGGCTGAATGCCTCAATTAAAAGACACAGACTGGAAAATTGGATAAAGAGTCAAGACCCATCACTGTGCTGTATTCAGGAGACCCATCTCACATGCAAAGACACACCTAGGCTCAAAATAAAAGGACAGAAGATTAACCAAGCCAAAAAGAAAAAAAAAAAAAAAAAAAGCAGGGGTTGCAATCCTGGTCTCTGATAAAACAGACTTTAAACCAACAAACATCAAAAAAGGCCAAGAACATTAAATAATGGTAAAGGGATCAATGCAACAAGAAGAGGTAACTATCGTAAATATATATGCACCCAATACAGGGGCACCCAGATTCATAAAGCAAGTTCTTAGAGACCTACAAAGAGACTTAGACTCCCACACAATAATAGTAGGTGACTTTAACACCCCACTATCAATATTAGACAGGTAAACAAGACAGAAAAGTAAGAATATTCAGGACTTGAACTCAGCTCTGGACCAAGCCGACCTAATAGACATCTACAGAACTCTCCACGCCATATCAACAGAATATACATTCTTCTCAGCACCACATTGCACTTATTCTAAAATTGATGACATAATTGGAAGTAAAACACTCCTCAGTAAATGAAAAAGAATGGAAATCATGACAAACAGCCTGACAGACCACAGTGCAGTCAAATTAGAACTCAAGATTAAGAAACTCACTAAAAACCACACAACTAGATGGAAACTGAACAACCTGCTCCTGAATGACTGCTGGTAAATAACGAAATTAAGGCAGAAATAAATAAGTTCTTCGAAACCAATGAGAACAAGGACATAACTTACCAGAATCTCTGGGATACAGCTAAAGCAGTGTTTGGAGGGAAATTTATAGCACTAAATGTCCACAGGAGAAAGCAGGAAAGATCTAAAATTGACACCCTAACATCAAAATTAAAAGAACTAGAGAAGCAAGAGCAAACAAATCCAAAAGCTAGCAGAAGACAAGAAATAACTAAGATCAGAGCAGAATTGAAGGAGATAGAGACACAAAACACCCTTCAAAAAATCAATGAATCCAGGAGCTGGTTTTTTGAAAAGATCATCAAAATAGATAGACCTCTAGCCAGACTAATAAAGAAGAAAAGAGAGAAGAATCGATATCACCTCTGATCCCACAGAAATACAAACTACCATCAGAGAATACTAGAAACACCTCTATGTCAATAAACTAGAAGACCTAGAAGAAATGGGTAAATTTCTGGACACATACACACTCCAAAGACTAAACCAGTAAGAAGTCGAATACCTGAATACACCAATAACAAGTTCTGAAATTGAGGCAGTAATTAATAGCCTACCAACCAAAAAAACCCAAGACAAGACAGATTCACAGCCGAATTCTACCAGAGGTACAAAGAGGAGCTGGTACCATTCCTTCTGAAACTATTCCAAACAATAGAAAAACAGGAACTCCTCCCTAACTCATTTTATGAGGCCAGCATCATCCTGATACCAAAACCTGGCAGAGACACAACAACAGCAACAAAAAAGAAAACTTCAGGCCAATATCCCTGATGAACATCGATGTAAAAATCCTCAATAAAATACTGGCAACCTGAAACCAGCAGGATATCAAAAAGCTTATCCACGATGATCAAGTCAGCTTCATCCCCAGGATGCAAGGGTGGTTCAACGTACACAAATTAATAAATGTAATCCAACACATAAACAGAATCAATGGACAAAAACCATATGATTGTCTCAATAGATGCAGAAAAGGCCTTCAATAAAATTCAACACCTCTTCATGCTAAAAACTCTCAATAAACTGGGTATTGATGGAAAGTATCTCAAAATAACAAGAACTATTTATAACAAACCTACAGTCCATATCATACTGAATGGGAAAAAGCTGGAAGCATTCCCTTTGAAAACTGGTACAAGACAAGGATGCCCTCTCTTACACTCTGATTCAACATATTATTGAAAGTTCCGGCCAGGGCAATCAGGCAAGAGAAAAAAATAAGAGGTATTCAAATAGGAAAAGAGGAAGTCAGATTGTCTCTTTTGCAGATCACATGATTGTATATTTAGAAAACCCTGTCATCTCAGCCCCAAATCTCCTTAAGCTGACAAGCAACTTCAGGAAAATCTCAGGTCTCACTGCTCAAGGAAGTAAGGGAGGACACAAACAATTGGAAAATCATTCCATACTCATGGACAGGAATAATCAATGTCATGAAAATGGCCATATTGCCTAAAGTAATTTATAGATTCAATGCTATCTTCATCAAGCTACCATTGCCTTTTTTCACAGAATTAGAAAAAATTACTTTAAATTACATATGGAAGCGAAAAAGAGCCCATATTGCCAAGACAATCCTAAGCAAAAAAATAAAAGCTGAAGGCATCACACTACCTGACTTCAACTATACTACAAGGCTACAGTAAACAAAACAGCACGGTACTGGTACCAAAACAGATATATAGACCAATAGAACAGAACAGAGGCCTCAGATATAATGCCACACGTCTACAACCATCTGTTCTCTGACAAACTTGCCAAAAACAAGTAATGGGGAAAGGGTTCCCTATTTAATAAATGGTGTTGGGAAAACTGGCTAACCATATGCAGAAAACTGAAACTGGACCCCTTCCTTACACCTTATACAAAAATTAACTCAAGATAGATTGAAGATTTGAATGTAAGACCTAAAAGAAACAAAAACCCTAAATGAAAACCTAGGCAATATCATTCAGGACAAAGGCATGGGCAAAGGCTTCATGACTAAAACACCAAAAGCAATGGCAACAAAAGTCAAAATTGACAAATGGGATCTAATTAAACTAAAGAGCTTCTTCACAGCAAAGGAAACTATCATCAGAGTGAACAGGCAACCTACAGAACGGGAAAAAATTTTTGCAATCTACCCATCTGGCAAAGGGCTAATATCCAGAATCTACAAAGAACTTAAAGAAATTTACAAGACAAAAAGCAAACCACCCCATCATAAAGTGGGCAAATGATATGAACAGATACTTCTCAAATAAGACATTTATGCGGCCAGCAAACACATGAAAAAAAGCTCATCATCACTGGTCATTAGAGAAATGCAAATCAAAATCACAATGAGATACTATCTCATGCAAGTTAGAATGATGATCATTAAAAAGTCAGGAAACAACAGATGCTGTAGAGGATGTGGAGAAATAGGAACACTTTTACACTGTTGGTGGGAGTGGCAATTAGTTCAACCATTGTGGAAGACAGTGTGTCAATTCCTCAAGAACCTAGAACCGGAAATATCATTTGACCCAGCAATCCCACTACTGGGTATACACCCAAAGGCTTATAAATCATTCTACTGTAAAGACACACGGACACATATGTTTATTGCAGCAGTATTCACAATAGCAAAGACTTGGGACCAACCCAAATGCCCATCAATGATAGACTGGATAAAGAAAATGTGGCACATATACACCATAGAGTATATGCAGCCATAAAAAACGATGAGTTCATGTTCTTTGCAGGGATAGGGATGAAGCTCAAAACCATCATTCTCAGCAAACTAACACAGGAACAGAAAACAAAACCCCACATGTTCTTACTTGTAAGTGGAAGTTGAACAATGAGAAGACGTGAACACAGGGAAGGAAACATCACACACCAGGTCCTGTTGGCGGTGGGGGTGGGTGGGGGTGGCACTAGGGGAGAGAGAGCATTAGGAGAAATACCTAATGTAGGTGACGGGCTGATGGGTGCAACAAACCACCATGGCATGTGTATACCTATGTAACAAACTGGCACATTCTGCACAGGTATCCCAGAACTTAAAGTATATATAAAAAATAAAACAAACATATAAAACTCACTATATATATATATATATATATATATATATATATATATATATATGTATATATATGTATATATATGTGTATATATACGTATATATATGTGTGTATATATATATACACGTATATATATGTGTATATATATATGTATATATATATGTGTGTATATATATATATATATGCCCAACACTGGTGCACCCAGTTGCCACTGAGGGACCAAGATGATTGGCACACTCCTAATGTATCATCAGAGTGGAGAGAAGAAAGAAACAGTAGCTAGCAAGACGGAGGAAGCGGGGCTACTCCACGCGGGGACTTGTTCCTGGCCGCCAGTAACTCCAGAAGAATGCATGAGTTCAAATGGTAAAAAAGCAACCTGTTCTCTCCATTGGCTTCTTGAATGCAAGCAGAAGGAGACCTCTCAACCACCATGGACACTCGAGTTGGCAGGGATACCTGCTTAAAGAAGTGGTAAGGGTAGCAATCCAGCTGAGGTGAAGCCCAGAGAGTTTCGTGCAGCAGCATCTGTAGTGGAGCAGAGGCAGAGACAGCCATTCCCCCAGGCTTGACTTGCTCCCATAGGAGACGTTAGCCCTAGAGGAACTATTGAACCTTAACTCTGCAGGGTGTTCTTGTCCACCACATGGGGCTGGTCTGACATGAGCACCCCTTAATTTCCTGGCCTCTCCAGTTGGCCCCAGCCTAGTCACACTTGTTCAAAGAAGCCTTGAGTGCCCTAGGGACCTGCATCATGGCTTCTGTGCTGGTGAAACGTTTCTGACCAATGGAGAGCTCCAACAGTGCTGCCCCCATGGCCACACAAGAGACTTTCTGCTACCTCCTCACAATGCAGCTTCCCGTGGGCCAACAGCAACCCCGCACATCACTTTGATGACAAGTGTGTACGTGGGCATGTTTGCTTTCCTTGGTTTGTCAGTGCACCTCTATGCATGCACCCTGCCCTTCCACTGCTACAGCAAATATACAAACCACCACCCTCTCTCCACAAACCACCATTGCAGTCAGAGCCTTGGCAAGCACAGAATCAGCAAGGCCCACCCTTGCACCAACACTGTCACAGGAGAAAAACTAAGCATAAAGAAAAAGGAATTCTCCTCCACCCTGAGCAACCACCCATATCTGTGGCACAAAAAGAATGCACACAGACCTACGCCCCCCAGAGCTCCAACCCCATGCCAACACCACCACCATCATGAACCTTGCAAAAAAGGACCCCTTGGCCCCAAGCCGAACTGCCTTCACCACTGTGATGAACACTCACATAGAGGCAGTCCCCCAAGCCCCTGTTAGCACCCTGTCACAGGTGACAAGTGTGCACCCTGCCAGACTGCTGCTGTTGCTGGCACATGCAAAAACGAACAGATTCTTCAGTAACCGCATTACAAAACATTTTGGCTGACACCACCCATCAGAGTCTAGTGACCAGCTGTTGGAGAGCACCTTGGCCCCTCAGTGTAGTGCATTTCTTTTTTTTTTTTTTTTTTTTTTACACCTGCAATGATACACTTCTTTTTTTTTTATATATACTTTAAGTTTTAGGGTACATGTGCACATTGTGCAGGTTAGTTACATATGTATACATGTGCCATGCTGGTGCGCTGCACCCACTAACTCGTCATCTAGCATTAGGTATATCTCCCAATGTTATCCCTCCCCCCTCCCCCCACCCCACCACAGTCCCCAGAGTGTGATATTCCCCTTCCTGTGTCCATGTGAT
Organism: Homo sapiens; assembly: GCF_000001405.40. Classification (NCBI taxonomy): domain Eukaryota; kingdom Metazoa; phylum Chordata; class Mammalia; order Primates; family Hominidae; genus Homo; species Homo sapiens. The sequence continues at coordinate 56,056,602 of NC_000023.11, read as the reverse complement.
CTCATTGTTCAATTCCCACCTATGAGTGAGAATATGCGGTGTTTGGTTTTTTGTTCTTGCAATAGTTTACTGAGAATGATGGTTTCCAGTTTCATCCATGTCCCTACAAAGGACATGAACTCATCATTTTTTATGGCTGCATAGTATTCCATGGTGTATAGTGTAGTGCATTTCAAACATCAGAGAGACAGAGAACAATGCTGGGGCCTGATAAAAGGCCCCCAGAGTGAGAGCAAATGGTACAAGAATTCAAAGTAGAGTGTTGTTCCCCTAAAATCTTCCAGAAATGAAGCCAGTTGGCTTAAGTGACTTCATACCACAATCAAACCATAAAGGGCGTAAATAAAATACAAGAAAAAAATCCAAGTTCAGCAACTTAGACCAAAAATTTTAAAAATAAAAAAAACCCATAAGCCCATAAAGATGAGAAAACCAACACAAGAACCCTGACAACTCAAAAGGCCAGAGTGCCTTGGTCTTCCAAATGACTGCACCACCTCTCCAGCAAAGGTTCTGAACAGGGCTGATGGCTGAAATGACAGAAATAAAATTCAGAATATGAATAAAAAGGAAGATCATTGAGATCCAGGAGTACATCAAAACCGAATCTATATAAGCTAAGAATCAAAATAAAATAATATAAGAGCTGAAAGATAAAATAGCCACTATAGAAAGAAATATAACTGAACTAATAGAGCTGAAAATCACACTACAAAAATTTCATAATGCAATCAAAAGTATTAATAGGAAAATAGACCAAGTGGAGGAAAGAATCTCAGAGCTTTAAGACAGGCTTTCTGAAACAAGACAGCCAGACAAGAAGAGAGAAAAAAAATTAAAAAAATCAACAAAACCTCTGACAAATATGGGATTGTGTAAAGAGACCAAATCTTTGATTCACCAAAGTCCCTGAGAAAGATGGAGAGAGTGTAAACAACTTGGAAAACATATTTCAGATTATCATCCATGAGAACTTCTTCAACCTAGCTAGAGAGGCCAAAACGCAAATTCAAAAAATGCAGAGAATCCCAGTAAAATACTTCTGAAGAAAATCATCCCCAAGCAACATAATCATCAGATTCTCCAAACACAAAATAAAAGTAAAAATGTTAAAGGCAGCTAGAAAACAAGGTCAGGTCACCTAGAAAGGGAATCCAATCAGACAAACAGTGAACTTCTCAGCAGAAACCCTACTGGAAAGACAATATTCAACATTCTTAAAGAAAATAAACTCCAACACAGAATTTCATATATAGCCAAACTAAGCTTCATAAGCAAAAAGAAAATAAGATAATTTTCAGACAAGCAAATGCTAAGAAAATTTGTTGCCATCAAACCTACTTTAAAAGATCCCCTGAAAAAGTCACTAAATATGGAAAAGTAAGCCCATTACCAGCCACTACGAAAACATACTGAAATACAGAGGCCAGTAACAATATAAAGCAACTACATAAACAAGTCTGAAAAATAGCCAGCTAATATCATGTTGACAAGATCAAATGTACACATATCAATACTAACCTTGAAGGTAAACAGGCCAAATGCCCCAATTAAATGGCACAGGGTAGTAAGGTCGATTAAATTCCAAGACCCATTGGCAAGCTGTCTTCAAGAAATCCATCTCACATGAAATCACACACATAGACTTAAAGGGATGCAGAAAAATCTACCAAGAAAATGGAAAAAAAAGAAAGCACAAAATGTAATCCTAACTTCAGGCAAAACAAATTTTAAACCAATAACATCAAAAAAGACAAAGAAAAGCATTATGTGATGGTAAAGGGTTCAATGAAACAAGAAGACCTGTCATAAATATATATGCACCGAGCATAGGAGTACTCTGATCCGTAAAGCAAGATCTTAGAGACCTTCAAAGAGACGTAGACTCACACACAGTGAGAGTGGGAGACTTCAACACAACACTCAACATATTAGAAAGATCATCAAGGCAGAAAATTAACAAAGATATTCAGGACCTAAACTCAGCACTAGCTTAACTGGACCTGATAGATATCAACAAAACTCTCCACTCAAAAACAGTAATATATACATTCTTCTCATATCCACATGACAAATACTCTAAAATCAATCATGTAATCATAATTAAAACAATCCTAAACAAAAGCAAAAGAACAGAAATAATAACAACCAATCTCTCAGACCACAGCACAAAAAAATAATAAACCAGGACTAAAAAATTCATTCAAAACCATACAATTATATGAAAATGGAATAACCTGCTCCTGAATGATGTTTGGGTAAATGATGAAATTAAAATAGAAATCAAAAAGTTTGTTCAGACTAATTAGAATAAAGATACAACATCCCAGAATCTCTAGAATACAGCTAAGGCAGTGTTAAAAGGAAAATTCATAGCACTAATTGCCCATATCAAAAAGTTAGAAAGCATGCCACTGCACTCCAGCCTGGGCGACAGAGAGAGACTCCGTGTCAAAATAAATAAATAAATACATAAATAAATAAATAAAAAGAAAGATCTCAATTTAACAACTTAACATCACAACTAGAAGAACTAGAGAACCAAGAAAAAGCCAACCCCAAAGGTAGCAGAACACAAGAAATAACCAAAATCAGAACTGAAAAGAAGATAGAGATATGAAAAAGCATTAAAAGATTAACTCAAGGAGTTGGTTTTTTGACATAAAATAATAAAATAAGTGCATAGCTAGCTAGAATGAAGAAATAGGGAGAGAAGATCTAAATAAACACAATCAAAAACTATGAAATGGATATTACCACAAACCCTACAGAAATACAAATTAACACCAGACAGTATAATAACCCACAATGCATATAAATAAAAAGATATAGAAAAAGATAGATGAATTCCTGGACACATACACCCTCCCAAGATGAAACCAGGAAATAATTGAATCTCTGAACACACCAATAATGAGCACCAAAAGTGAATCACTAATAAATAGCCTACCAATTAAAAAAGGCCCAAGACCAGAAGAATTCACAACTAAATACTAACAGATGTACAAAGAAGAGCTGGTATCATTCCGGCTGAAACTATTCCCCAAAAAAAAAAAAACAAAGAAAAGACTTCTCCCTAAATTATTTCACGATCCTGACATCAAAACCTAGCAAGTAAACAACAAAAAAACCCACCCCAGGCCAATATCCTTGATGAAAATTGATGTAAATATCTTCAACAAAACACTGACAAACTGAAGCTGGCAGCATATTAAAAAACTTATCCACCAAGATCAAGTACATTTTATTCATAGAATTAAAAATTGGTTCAACATACACAACTCAAAAAATGTGATTCATTATATAAACAAAACAAAAAATAGGGGGAGGAGCCAAGATAGCAGAATAGGAACAGCTCCCAGCGTGAGCGACGCAGAGGACAGTGATTTCTGCATTTCCATCTGAGGTACCGGGTTCATCTCACTAGGGAGTGCCAGACAGTGGGCGCAGGTCAGTGGGTGCGGGCACCGTGCGCAAGCCGAAGCAGGGCGAGGCATTGCCTCACTTGGGAAGTGCAAGAGGTCAGGGAGTTCCCTTTCTGAGTCAAAGAAAGGGGTGACAGACGGCACCTGGAAAATCGGGTCACTCCCACCTGACTACTGCGCTTTTCTGACGGGCTTAAAAAACGGCCCACCACGAGATTATATCCCACACCTGGCTCGGAGGGTCCTACGCCCACGGAGTCTCGCAGATTGCTAGCACAGCAGTCTGACATCAAACTGCAAGGCCGCAGGAGGCTGGGGGAGGGGTGCCCGCCATTGCCCAGGCTTGATTAGGTAAACAAAGCAGCCAGGAAGCTCCAACTGGGTGGAGCCCACTGCAGCTCAAGGAGGCCTGCCTGCCTCCTTAGGCTACACCTCTGGGGGCAGGGCACAGACAAACAAAAAGACAGCAGTCACCTCTGCAGACTTAAATGTCCCTGTCTGACAGCTTTGAAGAGAGCAGTGGTTCTCCCAGCACGCAGCTGGAGATCTGAGAATGGGGAGACTGCTTCCTCAAGTGGGTCCTTGACCCCTGACCCCCGGGCAGCCTAACTGGGACGCACCCCCCAGCAGGGGCACACTGACACCTCACACGGCAGGTATTCCAACAGACATGCAGCTGAGGGTCCTGTCTGTTAGAAGGAAAACTAACAAACAGAAAGGACATCCACACCAAAAACCCATCTGTACATCACCATCATCAAAGACCAAAAGTAGATAAAACCACAAAGATGGGGGAAAAACAGAACAGAAAAACTGGAAACTCTAAAAAGCAGAGCACCTCTCCTGCTCCAAAGGAACACAGGTCCTCACCAGCAATGGAACAAAGCTGGATGGAGAATGACTTTGACGAGCTGAGAGAAGAAGGCTTCAGACGATCAAATTACTCTGAGCTATGGGAGGACATTCAAACCAAAGGCAAAGAAGTTGAAAACTTTGAAAAAAATTTAGAAGAATGTATAACTAGAATAACCAATACAGAGAAGTGCTTAAAGGAGCTGATGGAACTGAAAACCAAGGCTTGAGAACTACGTGAATAATGCAGAAGCCTCAGGAGCCGATGCAATCAACTGGAAGAAAGGGTATCAGCAATGGAAGATGAAATGAATGAAATGAAGTGAGAAGGGAAGTTTAGAGAAAAAAGAATAAAAATAAATGAGCAAAGCCTCCAAGAAATATGGGACTATGTGAAAAGACCAAATCTACATCTGATTGGTGTACCTGAAAGTGATGGGGAGAATGGAACCAAGTTGGAAAACACTCTGCAGGGTATTATCCAGGAGAACTTCCCCAATATAGCAAGGCAGGCCAACGTTCAGATTCAGGAAATACAGAGAACACCACAAAGATACTCCTCGAGAAGAGCAACTCCAAGACACATAATTGTCAGATTCACCAAAGTTGAAATGAAGGAAAAAATGTTAAGGGCAGCCAGAGAGAAAGGTCGGGTTACCCTCAAAGGGAAGCCCATCAGATGAACAGCGGATCTCTCAACAGAAACCCTAGAAGCCAGAAGAGAATGGGGGCCAATATTCAACATTCTTAAAGAAAAGAATTTTCAACCCAGAATTTCATATCCAGCCAAACTAAGCTTCATAAGTGAAGGAGAAATAAAATCCTTTACAGACAAGCAAATGCTGAGAGATTTTGTCACCACCAGGCCTGCCTTACAAGAGCTCCTGAAGGAAGCACTAAACATGGAAAGGAACAACCGGCACCAGCCGCTGCAAAATCATGCCAAAATGTAAAGACCATCGAGACTAGGAAGAAACTGCATCAACTAACGAGCAAAATAACCAGCTAACATCATAATGACAGGATCAAATTCACACGTAACAATATTAACTTTAAATGTAAATGGACTAAATGCTCCAATTAAAAGACACAGACTGGCAAATTGGATAAAGAGTCAAGACCCATCAGTATGCTGTATTCAGGAAACCCATCTCACGTACAGAGACACACATAGGCTCAAAATAAAAGGATGGAGGAAGATCTACCAAGACAATGGAAAACAAAAAAAGGCAGGGGTTGCAATCCTAGTCTCTGATAAAACAGACTTTAAACCAACAAAGATCAAAAGAGACAAAGAAGGCCATTACATAATGGTAAAGGGATCAATTCAACAAGAACAGCTAACTATCCTAAATATATATGCACCCAATACAGGAGCACCAAGATTCATAAAGCAAGTCCTGAGTGACCTACAAAGAGACTTAGACTCCCACACATTAATAATGGGAGACTTTAACACCCCACTGTCAACATTAGACAGATCAATGAGACAGAAAGTCAACAAGGATACCCAGGAATTGAACTCAGCTCTGCACCAAGCGGACCTAATAGACATCTACAGAAAACTCCACCACAAATCAACAGAATATACATTTTTTTCAGTACCACACCACACATATTCCAAAATTGACCACATAGGTGGAAGTAAATCTCTCCTCAGCAAATGTAAAAGAACAGAAATTATAACAAACTACCTCTTAGACAACAGTGCAATCAAACTAGAACTCAGGATTAAGAATCTCACTGAAAACCACACAACTACATGGAAACTGAACAACCTGCTCCTGAATGACTACTGGGTACATAACAAAATGAAGGCAGAAATAAAGATGTTCTTTGTAACCAATGAGAACAAAGACACAACATACCAGAATCTCTGGGACACATTCAAAGCAGTGTGTAGAGGGAAATTTATAGCACTAAATGCCCACAAGAGAAAGCAGGAAAGATCTAAAATTGACACACTAACATCACAATTAAAAGAACTAGAAAAGCAAGAGCAAAAACATTCAAAAGCTAGCAGAAGGCAAGAAATAACTAAAATCACAGCAGAACTGAAGGAAATAGAGACACAAAAAACCCTTAAAAAAATTAATGAATCCAGGAGCTGGTTTTTTGAAAGGATCAACAAAATTGATAGACTGCTAGCAAGACTAATAAAGAAGAAAAGAGAGAAGAATCAAATAGACGCAATAAAAAATGATAAAGGGGATATCACCACCGATCCCACAGAAATACAAACTACCATCAGAGAATACTACAAACACCTCTATGCAAATAAACTAGAAAATCTAGAAGAAATGTGTAAATTCCTGGACACATACACCCTGCCAAGACTAAACCAGGAAGAAGTTGAATCTCTGAATAGACCAATAACAGGAGCTGAAATTGTGGCAATAATCAATAGCTTACCAACCAAAAAGAGTCCAGGACCAGATGGATTCACAGCCGAATTCTACCAGAGGTACAAGGAGGAACTGGTACCATTCCTTCTGAAGCTATTCCAATCAATAGAAAAAGAGGGAATCCTCCCTAACTCATTTTATGAGGCCAGCATCATTTTGATACCAAAGCCAGGCAGAAACACAACAAAAAAAGAGAATTTTAGACCAATATCCTTGATGAACATTGATGCAAAAATCCTCAATAAAATACTGGCAAACCGAATCCAGCAGCACATCAAAAAGCTTATCCACCATGATCAAGTGGGCTTCATCCCTGGGATGCAAGGCTGGTTCAATATACGCAAATCAATAAATGTAATCCAGCATATAAACAGAGCCAAAGACAAAAACCACATGATTATCTCCATAGATGCAGAAAAAGCCTTTGACAAAATTCAACAACCCTTCATGCTAAAAACTCTCAATAGATTAGGTATTGATGGGACGTATTTCAAAATAATAAGAGCTATCTATGACAAACCCACAGCCAATATCATACTGAATGGACAAAAACTAGAAGCACTCCCTTTGAAAACTGGCACAAGACAGGGATGCCTTCTCTCACCACTCTTATTCAACATAGTGTTGGAAGTTCTGGCCAGGATAATCAGGCAGGAGAAGGCAATAAAGGGCATTCAGTTAGGAAAAGAGGAAGTCAAATTGTCCCTTTTTGCAGATGACATGATTATATATCTAGAAAACCCCATCGTCTCAGCCCAAAATCTCCTTAAGCTGATAAGCAACTTCAGCAAAGTCTCAGGATACAAAATCAATGTGCAAAAATCACAAGCATTCTTATGCACTAATAACAGACAAACAGAGAGCCAAATCATGAGTGAACTCCCATTCAAAATTGCTTCAAAGAATAAAATACCTAGGAATCCAACTTACAAGGGATGTGAAGGAACTCTTCAAGGAGAACTACAAGCCACTGTTCAATGAAACAAAAGAGGATACAAACAAATGGAAGAACATTCCATGCTTATGGGTAGGAAGAATCAATATCATGAAAACGGCCATACTGCCCAAGGTAATTTAAAGATTCAATGCCAACCCCATCAAGCTACCAATGACTTTCTTCACAGAATTGGAAATAGCTACTTTAAAGTTCATATGGAACCAAAAAAGAGCCTGCATTGCCACGTCAATCCTAAGCCAAAAGAACAAAGCTGGAGGCATCATGCTACCTGACTTCAAACTATACTACAAGGCTACAGTAACCAAAACAGCGTGGTACTGGTACCAAAACAGAGATATAGACCAATGGAACAGAACAGAACCCTCATAAATAATGCCGCACATCTACAACTATCTGATGTTTCACAAACCTGACAAAAACAAGAAATGGGGAAAGGATTCCTTATTTAATAAATGGTGCTGGGAAAACTGGCTAGCCATATGTAGAAAGCTGAAACTGGATCCCTTCCTTACACCTTATACAAAAATTAATTCAAGATGGATTAAAGACTTACATGTTAGTCCTAAAACCAAAAAAACCCTAGAAGAAAACTGAGGCAATACCATTCAGGACATAGACATGGGCAAGGGCTTCATGTCTAAAACACCAAAGACAATGGCAACAAAAGCCAAAATTGACAAATGGGATCTAATTAAACTAAAGAGCTTCTGCACAGCAAAAGAAATCATCATCAGAGTGAACAGGCAACCTACAGAATGGGAGAAAATTTTTGCAATCTACTCATCTGACAAAGGGCTAATATCCAGAATCTACAATGAACTCAAACAAATTTACAAGAAAAAAACAAACAACCCCATCAAAACACGGGCAAAGGATATGAACAGACACTTCTCAAAAGAAGACATTTATGCAGCCAAAAAACACATGAAAAAATGCTTATCATGACTGGCCATCAGAGAAATGCAAATCAAAACCACAAGTGAGATACCATCTCACACCAGTTAGAATGGCAATCATTAAAAAGTCAGTAAAGTATAGGTGCTGGAGAGGATGTGGAGAAACAGGAACACTTTTACACTGTTGGTGGGACTGTAAACTAGTTCAACCATAGTGGAAGTCAGTGTGGCTATTCCTCAGGGATCTAGAACTAGAAATATCATTTGACCCAGCCATCCCATTACTAGGCATATACTCAAAGGATTATAAATCATGCTGCTATAAAGACACATTCACACGTATGTTTACTGCGGCACTATTCACAATAGCAAAGACTTGGAACCAAGCCAAATGTCCAACACTGATAGACTGGATTAAGAAAATGTGGCACATATACACCATGGAATACTCTGCAGCCATAAAAAATGATGAGTTCATGTCCTTTGTAGGGGCATGGATGAAGCTGGAAACCATCATTCTCAGGAAACTATCGCAAGGACAAAAAACCAAACACCACATGTTTTCACTCATAGGTGGGAATTGAACAATGAGAACACATGGACACAGGAAGGGGAACATCACACACCGGGGACTTTTGTGAGGTGGGGGAGGGGGGAGGGATAGCATTAGGAGATATACCTAATGCTAAATGATGAGTTAATGGGTGCTGCACACCAACATGGCACATGTATACATATGTAACAAACCTGCACATTGTGCACATGTACCCTAAAACTTAAAGTATAATAATAATAAAAAAACGAAAAAAATAAACAAAAAAGACAAATACATAGCATAAATAAAAAAAAACATCACAACTTCTGGAAATCAAGGACACACTTAGAGAAATGCAAAATGTACTGGAAAGTCTCAGCAATAGAGTCAAATAAGCAGGAGAATGAAACTCAGAGCTCAAAGACAAGGCTTTCAAATTAACCCAAATCATCAAAGACAAAAAAAAAAATTAAAAAATGAACAAAGCCTCCAAGAAGTTTCGGACTATGTTAAATGTCCAAACCTAAAAATTATTGGTGTTCATGAGAGAGAAGAGAAATCTAAAAGTTTGGAAAACATATTGGAGGGAATAATCGAGGTAAACTTCCCTGGCCTTGCTAGAGATCTAGACAGCCAAATAAAAGCTCAAAGAACACCTGGAAAAAAGATCATCGCCTAAGCACATAGTCATCAGGTTATGTAAAGTCAAAACAAAGGAAAAAATCTTTACAGCTGTGAGGTAAAAGCATCAGGTAACCTATAAAAAATGTATTAGATTAACAGCCAATTTCTCCACAGAATCCCTACAAGCTAGAAGAGATCGAGGTCCTATGTTTAGCCTCCTTAAACAAAATAATTAGGAAAGAATTTTGTATCCAGTGAAACAAAGCTTCATAGATGAAAGAAAGGTACCGTTTTTTTTTTCCAGAAAAACAAATGCTGAGAGAATACGACACTACCAATTCAGCACTAAAAGAACTTCTAAAAGTACCCTCAAATAGAACCTCCTTAACGCATAAATCTCACAGGACATATACAACAAAAACACACTGAAAAATGCACAGGGTATTCAGACAACAAATAGCACAATGAATAAAATAGTACCTGACATCTCAATACTAACATTGAATGTAAATGAGCTAAGTGTTCCAAAGTACTAATAACAGAGTAGGTAGTATCACCCTAATCCTAATACCAAAACCAGAGAAGGGCATAACAAAAAAAGAAAACTGCAGGCTAATATGCCTGATGATCATAGATGCAAAAATTCTCAACAAAATACTAGCAAACAATATTGAACAGCATATCAACAATATAATCCACCATGATCAAGTGGGTTTCATACCTGGGATTCAAGGATGGTTTAACATATGTCAGTCAATAAATGTGATACACCACATAAACAGAAGTAAAAACAAAAATCATACAATCATCTCAAAAGATGCAGAAAAAACATGTGACAAAATCCAGCATAACTTTGTGATGAAAACTTTCAGCAAAACTGGCATAGAAGGGACATAACTTAAGGTAATAAAAGCCACTTTTGACAAACCCACAGCCAACTTTATACTGAACAAGGAAAAGATGAAAGCATTCCCCCTGAGAACTGGGAAGAGACAACGATGCCTGCTTTCACCACTTCTATTCAACATAGTACTGGAATTCCTAGCCAGAGCAATCTTTGCTGATGATATGGTCATGTACCTAGAAAACCCTAAAGACTCATCCAAAAAGCTCCTAGATCTGATAAATGCATTCAGCAAAAATTCAGGACACAAATTTAATGTACACAAATCAGTAGCTCTGCTATACACTAACAGTGACCTAGCAGAGAATCAAATCAAGAACTGAACCCCTTTTTACAACAGGTGCAAAAAAAGTAAAATAATTAGTAATATACCTAACCAAGGACATGAAAGACATCTACGAAAACAAAAAACAAACAAACAAAAACACTGCTAAAAGAAATCATAGATAACACAAATGAAAACAAATCTTATTTTCACAGATGGGTAGAATCAATATTGTGAATATGACCATACTGCTAAAAGCAATCTACAAATTCAATGCAATTCCCGTAAAAATACCACCATCATTCTTTACAGAACTAGAAAAAATAATTCCATAATTCATACAGAACGAAAAAAAAAGTTTTCATAGGCAAAGCAAGACAAAGCAAAAAGAACATATCTGGAAGCATCACATTACCAAACTTCAAACTATACTATAAGGCCCTAGTCACCAAAACAGCATGGTACTGGTAAAAATATAGGCACATAGACCAATGGAACAGAATAAAGTACACAGAAATAAAGCCAAATACTTACAGCCAACTGATCTTTGACAAAACAAACAAAAACATAAAGTGAAGAAAGGACACCCTATTCAACATATGGTGCTGGAATAACTAGCAAGCCATACGTAGATGAACGAAACTGGATCCTCATCTCTCACCTTATACAAAAATCAACTCAACATGGACCAAAGAATTAAATCTAAGACCTGAAACAATAAAAATTCTAGAATGTTGGAAAACCCCTTCTAGACATTGGCTTAGGCAAAGAGTTCATGACCAAGAACCCAAAAGCAAATACAACAAAAACAAAAATAGATTGGACTTAATTAAACTAAAAAGTGGCAAAGCAGGAAATCTGTCCATACATAACTTTAGAAATGGGGCTGAATCCTGGAAGCCAGGCAGCATCATTCTGCAGTCTCCTCTTCCACAGCACCTCACAAGTTAAGACTCACTGGCTTGGAATCCCATCCAGCCAATGGCAATGGGTTGGAGTCTACCTGAGATGGGTCTGACTTCCCAGGGTGAGAAGGAGCCATGATCTCTGCGATTTTGTTGACTAAGCCATTGTATCCTGCCAGCTGTGGGTAATAAAGATGGTATGGACAAGGGATGGTCCCCCACAGTGCAGCACAGCTGCCTTGCCAGATTGTGGCGAGACTGTTTCTTTAAGTGAGAGCACAATCCATTTTTCCTCACTGGGTGGGACCTCCCTGCAGGGCCTTCAGACAATCCAGGCAGATTGCTATGGACAAAGCTTTAACCTCTCCATAGGGTGAAGCTCCCAGTGGGATGATAAGCTGACATCTCTGTAGTTCAGTTGACTCAGCAACTCCAGCCTGCTGGCTTTGAAGAATACAGGCAGTCTGGACAAAAAGTAAACCCTGCAACACAACACACTTTGTCTCCCAGAAAGCAGCCAGACTGCTTCTTTGGATGGGTGCCTGAACTCATTCCTCCTTACTGCATGAGAGGTCCTAACGGGGACCTCCAGCCATCATATACAGGTGTACAGGCCAGGAACAGGTCAGTACCCCGCTGGGATGAAGCTTCCAAAAGAAGGAGCTGGCTGCCATCTTTGTTGTTTCACAGTCTTCACTGGTGATACCTCCAGGTACAGAAGAAAGTGAGGCAACTGGGGTCTAAAGCAGACTCAAAGCAAACTGCAACAGCCCTATGGCAGAGTGGCCTGACTGTTCAAAAAAAATTACAAACAGAAAACAACAACAACATCAACAAAAAAGAACCCACAAAAACCTCATTCAAATGTCAGCAACCTCAAAGATAGAAGGCAGATAAAGCCACAAAGACAGAAAGAATCAACAGAAAAATGCTGAAAACTCAAAAACCAGAGTGCCTCTTCTCTTCCAAATAACTGCAACACCTCTCCAGCAAGGGCACAAAACTGGCTGAGACTGAGATGGCTAAATTGACAGAAGTAGGCTGCAGAAGGTGGGTAATAATCAACTTCGCTGAGCTAAAGGAGCATGGGGTAACCCAATGCAAAAAAGTTAAGAATCATGATAAAACAATGCAGGAGCTGATAGCCTGAATAGCCAGTTTCGAGAGAAACATAACTGACCTGATGGAGATGAAAAACACAACATCAATCACAAGTATCAATCACAGAATAGAAAAAGCAGAGAAAAGAAACTCAGAGCCTGAAGACTATCTTTCTGAAATAAGACAGGCAGAGAAAAACAGAGAAGAAAAAAACAAAAAGGAATGAAGAAAACCTCTGAGAAATATGGGTTCATTATAAAGACACTGAAACTATCACTGATTGGGGTACCTGAAACCGACAAGGTGAATGGAACCAAGTTGGAAAATATACTTCAGGATATCATCCAGGAGAACTTCCCCAACCAAGCAAGACAGGCAAACATTCACATTCAAGAAATGCAGAGAACCCCTGTAAGATACTCCATGAGAAGATCATCTCCAATACACATAATCATCCAATTCTCCAAGGTCATAATGAAAAAAAAAAATTTTAAGGGCAGCCAGAAAGTCCAGATTACCTACAAAGGGAAGCCTATCAGATTAACAGCGAACCTCACAGTGGAAACCCTACAAGCTGGAAAAGATTGGGGGCCAATATTCAACATTCTTAAAAAAAAAGGATTTCCAAAACAGAATTTCATATTTGGCCAAACTAAGTTTCATAAGCAAAGGAGAAATAAGATATGTTTCAGACAAGCAAATGCTGAGGAAGTTCATTAACACCAGGCCTGCCTTGCAAGAGGTCCTGAAGGAAGCACTATAAAAAAGAAACCATTACCAGACACTACAAAAACATACTGAAGTACACAGTCCAGTGATATTATGAGGCAACCACATAAAGAAGTCTGCAAAGTAACCAGCTAGCGTCTTGATGACAGGATCAAATTTACACAGAACAATACTAACCTTAAGTGTAAACAATCTAAAAAACACAGAATGGCAAGATAAAGAGCCAAGACCCATCTAATTGCTGTCTTCAAGAGACCCCTCTCAGGCAAAAACACACACATAGGCTCAAAATAAAGGAATAGAAGACAACTTTACAAGCAAATGAAAAACAGAAAACAACAGCGGTTGCAATTCTAGTTTCTGACCAAAGAAACTTTAAACCAACAAAGATTTAAAAAGACAAAGAAGGGCATTACATAATGGTAAAGTGTTCAATTTAACAAGATAAGCTAATTATTCTAAATATATATGCCCACATTCCAGGAGCATCCAGACTCAAGCAACTTATTAGAGACCTAAAAGAATCATAGACTCCCACACAAAAATAGTGGGAGTACTTTAACACCCCACTGACAGAAAATTAACAGATATTCAGGACCTGAACTCAGCTCTAAATCAGTCGGACCTGCTACAGAACTCTCCACCCCAAATCAACAGAATATACATTCTTCTCATTGCTACATGGCACTTACTAAAAAATTCATCATAAAATCAGAAAGAAAACACTCCTCGGCAAATGCAAAAGAACTGAAATCATAACAAACAGCCTCTCAGACCACAACACAAATTAAACCTCAATGTAAAGAAATTCACATAAAACCATACAAGTACATGGAAATTGAACAACCTGCTCCTGAATGACTCCTGGGTAAATAAGAAAATTAAGCCAGAAATCAGTAAGTTCTGTGAAACTAATGAGAACAAAGGGACAACAAACCAGAATCTCTGGGATGCAGCTAAAGAAGTGTTAAGAGAGAAATTTATAGCACTAAATGCCCACATCAAAAAGCTAGAAAGGGCTGGGTGTGGTGGCTCATGCCTGTAATCCCAGCACTTTGGGAGGCAGAGGCAGGCAGATCATGAGGTCAAGAGATCAAGACCATCTGGCTAACATGGTGAAACTGCGTCTCTACTAAAAATACAAAAGTTAGCTGAGTGTTGTGGCATGTGCCTGTAGTCCCAGCTATTCGGGAGGCTGAGGCAGAAGAATCCCTTGAACCCAAGAGGTGGAGGTTGCAGTGAGCTGAGATCATGCCACTGCACTCCAGCCTGGTAACAGAGTGAGACTCGATCTCAAAAACAACAACAACAACAACAACAACAACAACAACAACAAAACTAGAGAGATCTCAATTTATCAACCTAACATCTCAACTAAAAGAACTAGAAAACCAAGAGCAGCCAAATCCCAAAGCTAACAGAAGACAAGAAATAACCAAGATCAGAGCTAAACTGAAGGAGATAGAGACATGAAAAACCATTCAAAAAGTCAATGAATCCAGGAGAGGTTTTTTGAAAAAAAAAAAAATAGATAGACTGCTAGCTAGACTAATAAAGAGAGAATAGACACAATAAAAAATAATAAAAAGGGTTGGGCGAGGTGGCTCATGCCTGTAATCCCAGCACTTTGGGCGGGTGGATCACCTGAGGTCAGGAGTTCAAGACGAGGCTGGCCAACATGGTGAAACCTTGTCTTTACTAATAATACAAAAATTAGCTGGGCATAGTGGCGCACACCTGTAAATCTAGCTACTTAGGGGGCTGAAGCAGGAGAATCGCTTGAACCCGGGAGTGGAGGTGGCAGTGAGCCGAGATCATGCCATTGCACTCCAGCCTGGGCGACAAGAGTGAAAAGAGTCTCCAAAAAAGAAAAGAATTAAAAAAGGATAAAGCGGATGTCATCACTGACCTCACAGAAATACAAACAACCATCAGAGAATACGATAAACACCTCTATGCACATAAACTAGAAAATCTAGAAGAAATGGATAAATTCCTGGACACATGCACCCTCTCAAGACTGAACCAGGAAGTTGAATCCCTGAGTAGACTGATAACAAGTTCTGAAATCGAGGCAATAATAAATAGCCTACAAACCGGAAAAAAAAAAAAAAAAAGCCCAAGACCAGACAGATTCACAGCTGAATTCTACCAAAGGTACCAAAAAAAAAAAAAAAAAAAAAAAAAAAAAAAAAAAAAAAAAGCTGGTATCATTTCTACTGAAACTATACCAAAAAATTGAAAAGGAGGAACTCCTCCCTAACTCATTCTATTAGGCCAGCATCATCCTGATAACAAAACCTGGAAGAGATACAGCAATGGAAGAAAACTTCAGGTCAATATTCTTGATGAACATTGATGCAAATATTCTCAACAAAATAACCACATCCAGCAGCACACCAAAAAGCTTATCCACCACAATCAAGTAGGCTTCATGCTAGAGATGCAAGGTTGGTTCAACACACATAAATCAATAAATGTGATTAATCACGTAAACAGAACTAAAGACAAAAACCACATGATTATATAAATAGATGCAGATAAGGCTGTCGATAAAATTCAACATTCCTTCTTGTTAAAAACTCTAAATAAACTAGGTATCGAGGGAACAGAAGTCAAAGTATTAAGAATCATCTATGACAAACCCACAGTCAATATCATACTGAATGGGAAAAATCTGGAAGCACTGCCCTTGAAAACTGGCACGAGAAAAGGATGCCCTCTCCCACCACTCCTATTCAACATAGTATTGGAAGTTCTGGCCAGAGCAATCAGGCAACAGAAGAAATAAAGGGTATACAAATTGGAAGAGAGGAACTCAAATTATCTTTGTTTGCAGATGACATGATCCTGTATCTTGAAGCCCCCATTGTCTCAGCCCAAAAGCTTCTTAAGCTGATAAGAATCATCAGTAATGTCTCAGGCTACAAAAGCAATGTGCAAAAATCACTACTATTCCTATGCACCAATAACAGGCAAGCAGAGAGCCAAATCATGAATGAACTCTCATTCACATTTGATATAAAAATAATAAAATGCCTAGGAATAGAGCTAACAAGAAAAGTGAAGGACCTCTTCAAGGAGAACTAAAAACCACTGCTCAAAGAAATCAGAGAGGACACAAACAAATACATATTCCATGCTCATGGATAAGAAAAATCAATATAATAAAAATGGCCACACTATCCAAAGTAATTTATAGACTCAATGTTATTCCCATTAAACTACCATTGACATTCTTCTTGGAATTAGAAAAAATGATTCTGAAACTTATATGCAACCAAAAAAGAGCCCAAATAGACAAGACAATCCTAAGCAAACAGAACAAAACTGGGGGCATCATGCTATCTGACTTCAAACTATAGTATAAGGCTACTGTAATCAAAACAGCATGATACTGGTACAAGAACAGAAACATTGACCAATGGAATATAATAGATAACTCTGGAATAGAATAGATACTCAGAAATAAGACTGCACACCTATACCCATCTGATCTTTGGCAAACTTGACAAAGACAAGCAATGGAGAAAGGATTCCCTATTTAATAATTAGTGCTGTGAGTGCTGGCTACCCATAGGCAGAAAACTGAAATTAGGCCTCTTCCTTACACCATATACAAAAATTAACTCAAGAGGGATTAAAGACTTAAATGTAAAACCCAAAACTATAATAACTCTAGAAGAAAATCTAGGCAATACCATTTAGGACATAGGCATGGGCAAAAATTTCATGACATAAACACCAGAAGCAATTGCAACAAAAGCAAAAATTCAAAAATGAAATCTAACTAAACTAAAGAGCTTCTACACAGCAAAAGTAACTATCATCAGCATGAACAAAGAACCTACAAAATGGTAGAAACTTTTTGCAATGTATCCCTCTGACAAAACTCTAATATCCAGAATCTATAAGGATATTAAACAAATTTACAAGAAAAAGAAAAACCACATTAAAAAGTGGGCAATAAACCTCAACAGCCACTTCTCAAAAGAAGACATAAATGGGGCCATCAAACATAGGGAAAAAAAGCTCACCGTCACTGATCATTAGAGAAATGCAAATGAAAACCACAATGAGATACCATCTCACGATAGTCAGAATGGCTAAAAAAGTCCAAGAACAACAGATTCTGGTGAGGTTGTGGAGGAAAAGAAACACTTTTTCACTGTTGGTGGAAACGTACATTAGTTCAATCATTGTGTAAGAGAGTGTGGCAGTTCCTCAAAGACCTAGAGGCAGAAATACAACTTCTCCCAGCAATCCCATTACTGGGTATATACCGAAAGGAATATAAATCGTTCTATTATAGATACATGCATGCATATGTTCATTGCAGCACTATTAATAATAGCAAAGACATAAGAACAATCCAAATGCCCATTAATGATAGACTGGATAAAGAAAATGTGGTACATATAAACTATGGAATGCTATGCAGCCATAAAAGGTAATGAGATCATGTTCTTGTAGGGACATGTATGGAGTTGGAAGCCATTATCCTTAGCAAACTAATGCAGGAAAAGTAAAACAGTGCATGTTCTCACTCATAAATGTGGTCTGAATGATGAGAACACAGGGACACATGGCAGGGAACAACACACTGGGGCCTGTCAGAAGGTGATGTGTGGGGTGAGTGACACCATCAAGAATAGCTAATGGATGCTGGGCTTAATATCTAGGTGATGGCATAATCTGTGTAGCAAACCACCATGGGCACATGTTTACTTATGTAACGGATCTGCACATCCTGCACCATATACCCATGAACTTAAAATAAAATGATAAAAAAAGAAAATTTGGTAAATATACACAATGGAGTACTATTCAGTCATAAAAAGAATACGACCCAGTCATTTGCAACATGGTTAGAACTGAAAATCATTATGCAAACTGAGATAAGCTAGGCAGAGAAGGACAAACATCACATGTTCTCATTTATTCGCAGTATCTAAAAATCAAAACATTTGAGCTCATAAACATAGAGAGTAGAAGGATGGTTACCAGAGGCTGGGTTGGATAGTGAGGGGCTGGAAGTGGTGGGGAGGTGGGATGGTTAATGCATACAAAAAATATTTAGAAGAAATAAATAAGACCTACTATTTGACAGCAAAACAGGGTGACTGTAGCCAATAATAACTTAATTGTACATTTTATAACAACTGTGTCCAATGGTGTTATTGAATTTTTTGTATCACAATGGATAAATGCTTGAGGGGATGGATACTCCATTCTCCTTGATGTGTTTATTTCACATTGCATGCCTATATCAAAATATCTCATGTACCCCATAAATATATACACCTACTATGTAAACACAAAAATTAAAGAAAAAAAAGTAAAATAAAGAAATTATAAAAAGGATTGAACCAAGAAAAAATAAATAGAAAACCTGAATAGTCCAAAAAACAAGTAATAAGAGTGAATCAGTAATAAAAATAATCCCAACAAAGGAAGGTCCTGAACCAGCTGGCTTCACTGCTGAATTTTACCAAACTTTTTTAAAAAAATTAATATCAATTATTCTCAAACTATTTCTAAAAAATTGAAGCACAGAGAATTCTTCCTAATTCAGTCTATGAGGCCAACATAACACTGATATCAAAACCAGACAAGGACACAACAATAAAAAAAAACAGACCAATCTTCCTGACGAACACAGATGTAAATTCCTGAACAAAATATTAGTAAATGGAATCCACCAACAAATGAAAAAGATAATACACCACGATCAAGTGGGATTTATTCCAGGAATGCAAGGATAGTTCAACATATGCAAATCAAGGATGCCCATTCTCACCACTCTTATTCAACATAATACTGGAAGTCCTAGACAGTGCAACTAGGTAAGAGAAAAAAATAAAGGACATCTATATTGGAAAGGAGGGTGTCAAATTGTACATGTTTGCAAATGGCATGATCTTATATACACAAAAAAACTAAAGACTTCAGTGAAAATCATTTGAATTGATAAATCAGTAAAGTTGTAAAATAAAATCAAAATGCAAAAATCAGTAGTGTTGCTATACAGGAACAACAAACTAGCTGAAAAAAATCAAGAAGGCAGTCACATTTGCAATTGCCTTAAAAATTAGGAATAAACTTAATGAAGGTTGTAGCAGATTTCTACAAGAAAAATTACAAAACACTCATAAAAAATGAAGAAGATACAAAAAATGGAAAGACATCTCATGCTTATGAATCAGAAAATTTATTATTGTTAAAGACAGTACTACCCAAAGGAATCTACAAATTAAATGCAACTCCTATCTTGACACCAATAACATTCTTCAAAGAAAAAAAATTTTAAATTCTAAAATATGTATGGAACTACAAAAGACTCTAAATACCTAAAACAATCTTGAGCAAAAAGAACAAGGCTGCAGGAAGCACACTGCTGAACTTCAAAATATACTACAAAGTCGTGGTAATCAAAATAGTATGTCACTGGCATAAAAACAGAAACATAGAGCAATGTAATAGAAAACAGAACACAAATACTAATCCACATATCTACAGCCAACTGATTTTTGACAAAGATGCCAAGAACATTCATTGGGGAAAGGACAGTCTTTTCAATACATGGTGCTGGGAAAATTGGATATTCCTATATGGAAGAACAAAACTAGACCACCAACTCTCACCCTATACAAAAGTCCACTGAAAATGGATCAGAGACCTTAATGTAAGAAACAAAACTATAAAACTACTAGTAGAAAATATAGAGAAAATGCTTGAGGAAATTTTTCTGAGAAAATAATTTATGAATAAAACCTCAAAAGCATAGATGAGATGATAAATATGCTAGTTACCATGATCTGTTCACTATACATCATATGTATCAAAATACTACTATGTACCCCATAAATATGTATAATTATTATGTGTCAATTAAAAAATAAAATAAATTAAAAATGAAGTATAAGATTTAAAAAGCCCGTATAGTCAAGGGAAGCTTCAGTAACAACAAAGCTGGAAGCATCATGCTATCTGACAAAAGCACAAATTTTAAAAAATAGTATTATATCAAACTAATAAGATTTTTGCACAGCAAATGAAACAATCAACAAAGTGAAAATACCATCTACATTATGAGAGAAAATATTTGCAAATTATTTATCTGACAGGGGATCAACATCCAGAATATGTAAGAAACTCAAACATCTCAACAGCAAAAAAGCCAAACAATCCAATTAAAAAGACGTGAATGGGTGAACAATCTGAACAGACATTTCTCAAAAGAAGACATATAAATGGCCAACAAATATATGAAAAAAATGTTCAACATCACTAATCATCAAAGAAATGCAAATCAAAACCCAATGAGATATCATTTCACCCCAATTAAGGAGGCTTTATCAAAAACACAAAAAATAACATATGTTGGCAAGGATGAAGAGAAAAGAAACTCTTATACAATCTTGGTAAGAATTTAACTTAGTACCACTATAATGAACAGTATGAAGTTTTCTCAACAACCTGTAAGTAGAACTACTATATGATCCAGTAATCCCATTACTAGGCATTTATTTAAAGGAAATAAAAACAGTATGTCAAAGAGACATCTGTTACCCCATGTTTGTTGCAGTACTATTCACAATAGCCAGGGTATGGAATTGACCTAAGTGTCTAAGAA
This sequence comes from Homo sapiens, assembly GCF_000001405.40. Taxonomy (NCBI): domain Eukaryota; kingdom Metazoa; phylum Chordata; class Mammalia; order Primates; family Hominidae; genus Homo; species Homo sapiens. The sequence continues at coordinate 56,035,367 of NC_000023.11, read as the reverse complement.
CAGATGGCTGCATAAAGAAAATGTGGTATATATAAACAATGGAATACTATTTGGCAATGAAAAGGAATAAAATCCTGGAATTCTCAGCAACGTGGATGGAACTGGAGGATATTATGTTAAGTAAAATAAACTAGGAACTGAAGGTTAAACCATGTATGCTCTCAGTCATATGTGGAAGGTAAAAAATGGTGATTTCATAAAAGTAAAAAGTAGAACAGAGGATACCAGAGGCTGGGAAGCATATAATGAATGAGGAATAGGGAGAGATTTCTTAAAGGACATAAAATTATAGCTAGATAAAAGAAATAAGTTCGGCCGGGCGCTGTGGCTCACGCCTGTAATCCCAGCACTTTGGGAGGCCGAGGCGGGCGGATCACGAGGTCAGGAGATCGAGACCATCCTGGCTAACACGGTGAAACCCCGTCTCTACTAAAAATACAAAAAATTAGCCGGGCGTGGTAGCGGGCGCCTGTAGTCCCAGCTACTCGGGAGGCTGAGGCAGGAGAATGGCGTGAACCCGGGAGGCGGAGCTTGCAGTGAGCCGAGAACGCGCCACTGCACTCCAGCCTGGGCCACAGAGCGAGACTCCATCTCAAAAAAAAAAAAAAAAAAAAAAAAAGAAATAAGTTCGTGTTCTATACCATTGTAAGATTGTAAGATGACTATAGTTAAAAATAATTTATTTTTTCAAATAGCCAGAAAGTGGATATTGAATGTTCTCAACTCAAACAAATGATAAATGTTTGAGATGATAAATATGTTAGTTACCCTGATCTTATCACTATATGTATCAAAATATTACTATGTACCCCATACATATATATAACTGTGTCAATCATAAAACAAAATAAATTATAATGTATAAAATTTAAAAACCCAAATAGCCAAGGCAAACTTCAGCAAAAAGAACAAAGCTGGAGGCACTATCTGATTTCACATTATATTAGAAGGCTATATTCATTAAAACAGCATGGTACTGGCATAACAATAGACACATACACAAAGAAATGGAATAAAAATTCCAGAAATAAACACATGTGTTTTCATTCAATTGATTTTTGACAAAGATGCCAATAATATACAATGGGAAAAGGACAGTCTTTTTAATAAATGATGTTGGGTAAACTGAATATCCATATGCCGAAGAATGAAATTGGACCTTTATTTCACACTGCACATGAAAATCACCTCACCATGGATTACAAATTTAAAGAAAAGACCTGAAAATGTAAAAATACTAAAAGAAAATATAGCAGAAAAAACTACATGAAATTGGTCTGGCAATGATTCTTTGGGATTACATCCAAAATCTTAGGCAACACGAACAAAAATAGACAAACCTGTTTGTAACAAACAAAAATGATTTTGTAACGCAAAGGAAACAACAAATATTTGCAAGCCAACATCTGATAAAGATTTGCTATACAAAATATGTAAGGTATTCAATATGTAAGGTATTCAAACAAAGGTATTCAAAATATGTAAGGTATTCAAACAAATGACTAGCAAGAAACAACTATTTTAAAACAGACAAAAGATCTGAAAAGACATTTCTCAAAGAAGACATACAAATGGCCAACAGGTACATGAAAAAAATGTTCAGCATTACTAATCATTAGGGAAATGCAAATTAAAACCACAATATAATATAACCTCATGCCTGTGATGGTGGTTATTATAAAAAAGAGAAGTGATAACAAGTGAAGAGAAAGGAACTCAGGTATACTGTTGGTGGGAATGTGAATTATAATATTACAGCCATTATAAAAAAGTGTGTGGTGGTTCCTCAATAAACTAAAAATAGAACTACCATATGATCCAGAAATCCCACTTCTGTGTATATATCAAAAGGATTTAAAATTAGTATGTAGAAGGGATGTCTGCACTCCTATATTCATTGCATCATTTTTCAAAATAGCCAGCATATAAAATCAATCTAAGTGCCCATCAAAAAAAATTGATAAAGAAAATGCAGTATGTATACACAATGGAGTAACAGCCCTGAAAAGGAAAAAAATCCTGTCATTTGCGACACCGTGGATAAAACTGGAGGACATTATGCTAAGTGAAATATGCCAGCCACATAAAGAAAAATACTGAATAATCTCACTTTTATTTTGAATATAAAATAATCTAAATCAAAGAAATAGAGAGTAGAATGGTGGCTATCAGAGGTTGGGTTGGGGAATGGGGAGATGTTGCTAAGAAGGTACAGGTTTAAGTTAGATAGGAAGAATACATGATAAGTATTTGAGGAGATGGATATGTCACTTTTCTTAGTTCAATCATACTGCATTATATATCTATATCATATGTTCCTCATAAATATATAGAATTATTATTTGTTAATGTATTATAAAATTTAAAAACACAAATGGTGGCAAGGATGTGGAGCAATGAAGTTCTAATACATTGTTGGTAGGACTGAGAAATTTTAAAGCCAGTCTGGAAAACAGTTTGGCAGTTGGTAGTAAAGTTGAACATTTACTTAACATAATCCCTAGTAATTCCACTCTTAGGTATTTACCCATCCCAAAATACAAACACAAATCTGTCCACAGGAAAATCTGTCTGCAAATGTTTAAAACAGCTTTATTCATAGTCACTAAATATTGGAAACTACTGAAGTGTCCATCTATAGATAAATGGATAAACAAATTGCTATATTCATACAATAGAAAACTACTGAACAACAACAATAAAGAATTACTGACATGCACAACAACACAGATGAATCTTGAGAAAAATGTTGAGTAAAAGAAGCAAGAATCAAAAGGCTATAAACTTATAATTTCACTTATATAACAGTTTATAATGAACAAAATTGCAGTGAAAGAGATCTTATCAGTAGTTGATAAAGGCTGGGAATTAGAGGGAGGAGTTGATTACAAAAGAGCACAAGGGAGCCTTTTCAGGTGACAGAAACATTATTTATCTTGATTATAGTGGTGGTTACAGAATGGTATACATTGCCAAATTTCAAAGAACTGTAGATGTAAAAAGAATAAATTTTACTAAATATAAATTATACCTCAATAAAAAAATGAAAGACTTGAGGCATATACAACAAAAACCAAATAAAACAAATATTTAAGGGCCAGGAATGGTGGCTCATGCCTGTAATCACCAGCACTTTGGGAGGCCAAGGTGAGAGAAGAGAAAAAGAGACCCCTCATATTGTTTTATATTGTTTTATACTCGGTACCTGTTTTAAGAAGAAACAAGGAAGTGGAAACCAAAGGCAGGCAGCCCGGCGCCAGGCACCAGACCCAAAACCAGACCCAAAACCAGGTCTGGGCCTTCGTGACCTAACCTGGTAGTTAAAATTCAACCCATGACCTAGCAACCGATGTTATCCATAGATTCCAGACATTGTATGGAAGGACATTGTGAAACTTCTCCTTCTGTTCTGTTTCACTCTGATTACTGGTGCATGAAGCCCCTGTCACATACCCCCTAGATCGCTCGATCGATCACGGCCCTTTCATGTAAAATCTTTAACGTTGTGAGCCCTTAAAAGGGACAGAAATTGTGCACTCGGGGAGCTCGGATTTTGAGACATTAGTCTGCCGATCCTTCCAGCTGATTAAAGCCACTACCTTCACTACCTCGGTGTCTGTGGGGTTTTGTCCGCAGCTCGTCCTGCTACATTTCTTGGTTCGCTGACTGGGAAACGAGGTGACTGATGGACAGCCGAGGCAGCCCCTTAGGCAGCTTAGGCCTGCCCTGTGGAGCATCCCTGCAGAGGACTCCAGCCTACCCGAGCGACATGATCCAAAGAGCGCTCCCGGGTAGGCAATTGGCCCGGTGGAACGCCTCACCAGAGCAGTGTGTGGCAAGCCCCCATGGAGGACCAAAGCAGTGGCTGAACACAGGGAAGGAAATGGCACTTGGAGTCCAGACATCTGAAACTTGGTAAGAATAGTCTTTGAAACTTGCCCACTCCATCTGAGTGGAAGCATGGCCTGACCACCCACAGCATGCCTGTATCGGCACTTTTGTTCTGGTTTTGACTTGACTTGAATTGCTTGATACTTTGGTTTTGGTTTTGACTTGGCTTAAATTTCTTGATACTCTGATTTTGGTTTGGTATAAACGATAAAGGTGTGTGTGTGCCCTCTTTACCTGTTCTTTGTTTTGTGGTAAGTGTGTGGTGTGAGCATGATATTTTGTCTTGAGAAAACATGGGTCAGGCACAAAGTAAGCCCACCCCATTGGGAACTATGTTAAAGAATTTCAAGAAAGGATTCAAAGGAGACTATGGAGTTACTATGACTCCAGGAAAACTTAGAACTTTGTGTGAAATAGATTGGCCAGAATTAGAGGTAGGTTGGCCATCAGAAGGAAGCCTGGAGAGGTCTCTTGTTTCAAAGGTATGGCACAAAGTAACTGGCAAGCCAGGACACCCAGATCAGTTCCCATATATAGATTCCTGGTTACAGCTAGTTTTAGATCCCCCACAGTGGTTAACAGGACAGGCAGCAGCAGTACTAGTAGCAAAGGGACAGTTAGTTAAGGAAGGTCCTCACTCCACCCGCTGACAGAAGCCAGCCCCTAAAGTTCTGTCTGACCCAGAGCCCAAAGACTCATGGCAGGAGATGGCACCAACAGTGCCCCTCCCTTACCAAGCAGAGAGGCCCCCTAATCCTGAGCTCACAGCCCCTAGACCACCCAGAGTAGACAAGAAAGGAAGTGAAGCTGCAGGAGAAACTCCTCCCTTGGTGGCTCGCTTACAGCCCAAGACTGGAACACAAATGCCCCTGAGAGAGCAGCAATATACTGGGATAGATGAGGATGGACACATGATGGAAAGGCGTGCCTTTGTGTATCACCCTTTCACTTCTGCTGACTTCCTCAATTGGAAAAATAATACTCCATCTTACACTGAAAAGCCTCAAGCTCTAATTGACTTGCTCCAAACTATTATACAGACTCATAATACTACTTGGGCTGATTCCCACCAGCTACTCATGTACCTCTTTAACACAGATGAAAAGCGAAGGGTGCTCCAGGCAGCAACTAAATGGCTAGAGGAGCATGTCCCAGCCGATTACCAAAATCCCCAGGAATACATAAGAATTCAGCTGCCAGGAATGGACCCTCAATGGGATCTGAATGAAGGACCAGATATGGAGAGGCTAAGACAATACCAGGAGGCATTAATTGAAGGTCTGAAAAAAAGGGGCTCAAAAGGCCACCAACGTAAATAAAGTTTCTGAAGTCATCCAAGGAAAGGAGGAAAGCCCAGCCCAATTCTATGAAAGACTGTGTGAGGCCTATCATATGTACATTCCTTTCAATCCAGATAGTCCTGAAAATCAGCATATGATTAACATGGCCTTAGTTAGTCAAAGTGCAGAAGATATCCAAAGGAAATTACAAAAACAGGCTGGTTTTGCAGGAATGAATATCTCGCAGTTACTGGAGATAGCTAATCAAATATTTGTAAACAGTGATGCAACAAGCCGCAGAGAAAGCCATAAGGAGGGAGAACGCCAGGCCAGGTGGAACGCTGATTTGCTGGCTGTGGCAATTAGGGGAATCCCCACGAAGGGACAGGGAAAGGGGTGTTCTGGGAGGAATGCCCAGTCCAATCGCTCACGTCTGCAGCGTAACCAATGTGCCTACTGTAAAGAAATAGGACATTGGAAAGATAAATGTCCCCAACTAAAAGAGAAGCAAGGTGATGCAGAGCAAAAAGACCATAGAAAAAGACGAAGGGACTTTGTTTAATCTGGCCGAAGGGCTTCTAGACTGAAGGGGATCGAGCTCAAATGCCCCCAAGGAGCCCATGGTCAGGATGACAATAGGGGTCAAGGACATTAAGTTTTTGGTCAATACCGTGCTGAACACTCAGTAGTAACCACCCCAGTGGCCCCCTTATCTAAGAAAACCGCTGATATAATAGGAGCAAGAGTCTCCACCAAGCAGGTTTTCTACCTACCGTGGACCTGCTTGGATAGAAGGACATAAAGTGACTCATCAATTTCTGTATATGCCTGACTGCCCCTTGCCTTTGTTAGGCAGAGACTTGCTTAGCAAGCTGAGAGCCACCATTTCCTTTACAAAACAGGGCTCTTTATAGCTGAAGTTACCGGGAACAGGAGTTATCATGGTCCTTATGGTCCCCTGAGAAGAATGGAGCCTTTTTCTAACCGAGCCAGGTCAGGAGATAAAACCGGCACTAGCTAAGCAATGGCCCCGAGTATTGGTGGAGGACAATCCTCCAGGGCTGGTGATCAATCAAGCCCCTGTACTCATAGAAGTTAAGCCTGGGGCCCAGCCAATCAGACAAAAGCAGTATCCGGTTCCCAGGGAAGCTCTTGAAGGAATACAGGCACATTTTAGACACTTGAAAGCTTTTGGAATTATAGTTCCTTGCCAGTCTCCATGGAACACCCCCCTCCTACCTGTCCCCAAGCCAGGGACCAAGGACTATCGGCCCGTACAGGACTTATGCTTGGTTAACCAAGCTACTGTGACTCTGCACCCAACAGTTCCTAACACTTACACATTGTTAGGATTGCTGCTGGCTGAGGATGGCTGGTTCACTTGCCTGGACTTGAAGGGTGCCTTCTTTAGCATTAGACTAGCTCCTGAGAACCAAAAACTGTTTGCCTTTCAGTAGGAAGACCCGGGGTCAGGTGTCACCACACAGTACACTTGGACTCAGCTTCCCCAAGGGTTCAAAAATTCCCGCATCATCTTCAGGGAGGCGTTGGCTCGAGACATCCAGAAGTTTCCTGCTAAAGACCTAGGCTGCGTCTTGCTCCAGTACGTGGACGACCTTCTGCTAGGACACTCCACAGCAGTCGGGTGTGCAAAAGGGATGGATGCCCTACTTTGGCACCTGGAGGACTGTGGATATAAGGTGTCCAAGAAGAAAGCTCAGATTTGCAGACAGCAGGTATGCTACCTGGGATTCACTATTCAGAAAGGGGAGCACAGCCTGGGGTCAGAAAGAAAGCAGGTCATCTGCAGCCTACCAGAACATAAAACCAGAAGGCAAGTAAGGGAATTTCTAGGAGCTGTGGGTTTTGCAGATTATGGATTCCAAACTTTGCGTGCTAGCCAAACTGTTGTATGGGGTTACAAAGGGGGGCGACTGAGAGCCCTTTGAATGGGGGCCTCTACAACAGCAAGACTTTTGTAAGTTAAAAGAAAAACTTATGTCAGTCCCAGCTCTGGGACTACCAGATTTGACCAAGCCCTTCACACTCTATGTGTCAGAAAGAGAAAAAATGGCAGTTGGAGTTTTAACTCAAACTGTGGGGCCCTGGCCAAGACCAGTGGCCTACCTCTCAAAACAGCTAGATGGAGTTTCAAAAGGCTGGCCTCCATGTCTGACAGTCCTGCCAGCTACAGCCCTGTTAGCACAAGAAGCAGATAAGCTAACCCTTGGGCAAAACTTAAATATAAAGGCCCCCCATGTGGTGGTAACTTTAATGAATACCAAAGGACACCATTGGCTAACAAATGCTAGATTAACCAAGTACCAAAGCTTGTGTGAAAACCCCCGCATAACCATTGAAGTCTGTAACACACTAAATCCTTCCACCTTGCTCCCAGTATCAGACAGCCCTGTTGAACACAACTGTGTAGAGGTGTTGGACTCAGTCTATTCTAGCAGACCGGATCTTCGAGACCAGCCATGGGCATCAGTAGACTGGGAGTTATACGTAGACGGGAGCAGCTTCATCAACCCACAAGGAGAAAGATGTCCAGGATATGCGGTGGTAACCTTGGATAATGTTATTGAAGCCAAGCCATTGCCTCAGGGCACTTCAGCCCAGAAAGCAGAACTCGTTGCTTTAACTCGGGCTCTAGAACTCAGTGAAGGTAAGACTGTAAACATTTATACTGACTCTCGATATGCCTTTCTAACCCTTCAAGTACATGGGGCATTATATAAAGAAAAAGGCCTGTTAAATTCTGGGGGAAAGAACATAAAATATCAACAAGAAATTCTACAATTATTAGAGGCAGTGTGGAAACCCCAAAAGGTGGCAGTCACGCATTGCAGGGGACACCAGCAAGTTTCCACCTCAGTGAGCCGAGGAAACTCCTGGGCAGACACAGAGGCATGAAAAGCAGCATCTACTCCCTACTGGGCATCAGTCACAGCCCCCCTACTCCCTCAAACACCTGATCTGGTCCCTACTTATTCTAAAGAGGAAAAAGACATTCTTCAGGCAGAAAGAGGACAAAATAAAAGAAGGATGGATAAAGTTACCAG